>NC_000007.14:98870415-99173445 GCF_000001405.40 Homo sapiens | reverse complement strand
CAAGGTGGGTGGATCACCTGAGGTCAGGAGTTTGAGACCAGCCTGGCCAACACAGTGAAACTCCGTCTCTATTAAAAATACAAAAAATTAGCCAGGCATGGTGACGCATGCCTGTAATTCCAGCTATTTGGGAGGCTGAGGCAGGAAAATTGCTTGAACCCAGGAGGGCGGAGGTTGCAGTGAACTGAGATGGAGCCATTGTACTCCAGCCTGGGCAACAAGAGTGAAACTCCTTCTCAAAAAAAATAATAAAAAATAAAGAACATTTGTTTAGTAATTGCCTTTTAAAAGGTCTTAAAGCAAAACCTTCAAGACAGAGTAGAATGGTCTTATAGTTATCCGGACAGACTTTTTCTTTTTCTTTTTTTTTTTTTTTTTTTTTTGAGATGGAGTTTCGGTCTTGTCACCCAGGCTGGAGTGCAGTGATGTGATCTAGGCTCACTGCAACCTCCGTCTCCCAGGTTCCAGTGATTTTCCTGCCTCTCCTGCCAAATAGCTGGGACTATAGGTGCCTGCCACCATGCTGGGCTAATTTCTGTATTTTTGGTAGAGACAGGGTTTCACCATGTTGACCAGGCTGGTCTCAAACTCATGACCTCAGGTGATCCACATGTCTCAGCCTCCTAAAGTGCTGGGATTACAGGCGTGAGCCAACATGCCTGGTCTCTACACAGACTTCGACTTGCAGATACAATATCATTGGTTCTTAGTGCTGCAGGGACAGTGTTACTGGCCTTCTTTCCTCTGGCAATTAATATCCTGACACTGACAAGATCTAAGATAATTTTCTCTAGAAACTCAATCTCTCTTATTCTTCCTAGAAAGAAAGAGAGTGCGTGTGTGTTTCTATATTTCAAGGCAGCACCACCACATGCAGCTAACCTTTTAAAGAATTCTGTAGAGATGGGGTCTTACTATGGTCAGGTTAGTCTTGAACTCCTGGCCTCAAATGGTCCTCCCACTTCAGCCTCCCAAAGTGCTGGGATTACAGACATAAGCAACCGCACCTGGCCTACATATTATTTTTGAACCATGACTTTCTTGTATACTTAATTTTTATAACTTAAATGAACTTTGATACAATGTACATATTTTACAGAGCTATAGATATTTAAAGCAAAGGAGGACCCATGCCTCTTCCACCCCATCCCCAGAGGCCAGAACTTTCTACTCTTTGGTCTGTTTATTCTAGTCTATGCTTTTGTAATTCTAAACATTATGCTCATGCTACATCTAAAGACGATGTTCGAATTTACAGAAGAGATAGCCATTTTTTTATACCTCCCTTTCTTCGCATCGTAGATATCTAATTTTTGTTAGCTTGATGTCCAGATTTTATCATAATGATGTAAATTATATTCAGAAGTGTGTTTTCCTTAGTATTAATCCACATCTTCACTCATATGCTTTGTTTTCCTTGGGTTTACCTCATATCAAATTCTTACAGCCTGTGTAAACCTCCTGCTGAATGTAATACGTCAGTAATCTACCAACATGCTTGTCATCCACACCCACTGGAGAGCTCTGTCATGCTCCAGCCTGGAATAGTTGTCCTCATCCTCTGGTACACGTCTATTGTCCTGGGATCGGCTTTTACCATCATTGTGGGGGCTCCACTCACTTTTCCTGGGTCAGTGTCCCTGTTTGCAGGATCTCACACCTGCCTGTGCTTGTTTTCCCCTTTATTTTAGGGACAAGGTCTTACTCTGTCGCCCAGGCTGGAGTGCAGTGGAACCATCACAGCTCAGCTCAGGGCAGCCTTGCTAAAGCAATCCTCCCGCCTCAGCCTCTTGAGTAGCTGGGTCTACAGATGTGTGCCACTATGCCCAGCTAATTGTTTAATTAATTTGGCTTTTAAAATTTTAATTAATTTGGCTTTGGGAAGCCAAGGCGAGAGGATTGCTTGAGCCAGGGAGTTGGAGGCTGCAGTGAGCTATGATGGTGCCACTGCACTCCAGCCTGGGCTATGAAGTGAGACCCCATCTCCAAAACAAACGATCGCATGAGGAGGTAGGCATGGGATCCAGGAAACAGGGAAGCTGACCTTGAATTCCTGGGATCAAGCGATCCTGCTGCCTTGGCTTCTCAAAGTGTTGGGATTACAGGCGTGAGCCACTGAGACCCACTGGCTTTTAATATGTATCTTCTGAGAGAAGGTGCATGGGAGGTTAAATTTCAGACACTGCTCATCCAAAAACATGTACTTTATTTTTTATTTTTATTTTTGAGACAGAGTCTTGCTCTGTTACCCAGACTGGAGTGCAGTGGCACGATCTTGGCTCACTGCAACCTCCACCTCCCGGGTTCAAGCGATTCTCCTGCCTCAGCCTCCCGAGTAGCTGGGATCACGGGCGCCCGCGAACACGCCCAGCTAATTTTTGTATTTTTTTTATTAGTAGAGACGGGGTTTCACCATGTTGAACAGGCTAGTCTTGAACTCCTGACCTCAGTGGGATTGCAGGTGTGAGCCACCGCACCTGGCCTTTGAAAACATGGACTTTGTTTTGACTCCTGGTTGACAATCCAGCTGCAGACAAGTGTTCTAGACTGGAAACTATGACCTTCAGAATGTTGCAAGCATCGATCATTATCTTCTAGTTTTCAGTGTTGGGTTCAAAGTCTTCTACTCTGATTGCCAATTATTTTGTGCATGACTCTCTTCCCCTGTCTCAACTCTACTGACTGAAATTTGTAGGTTGTGTCTCCAGTATTCTTAAATGTGCTGTCCTGAATAGAAACCTATTTTCTGTACATCCAAGTATCAGCCTTGCAGTCTAGAATTGTCCTTTTAATTTTTAAAAAACAGCTTGGAACAGTGGCTCACGCCTATAATTCCAGCACTTTGGGAGGCTGAGGTGGGAGGACCCCTTGAGTCCAGGAGTTTGAGACCAGCCTGGGCAACATAGCAAGACCCCATCTCTAAAAAGAAAAAGAAAAAAATAGAATTATCTCCCCTGCCACCACCATTTTTTTTTCCCACTGAAACGGATCCTCTCATTTTCTTGTCCCATTCTCTATTTTCCATCTTTATTTTTTACTTTCTGGGGTATTCTACTTTATCTCTTCTTCCAGGCTTTTCATTTCTGCAGTCACTTAATTCGAGACACTTTGTTTTCACAGGCTTCCCTTTTCAAGCCTCCTTCTTCATTAGCGCAAGATCCTATCTGTGCTATCGACCTAGCTTTGTTTATGCATTGATTCTTGGGGGGGTGTTTGTTGTTAGTTTGGTGTGCCTATGGCAAAGGCTTCCATCAGATGTCTGATGTCCTTGGATCTCTGCTTGTAATAGAAAGGTCCTCAGGCTGTGAGCGGGGCCTGTCATTGGTGGATATCTGCTGGGTGACCCCACAGAAACCTGGCCATTCCAACAAGTGATCCCAACGATCAGAGCTGCAGATTTTTTTTTGAGACAGTCTTGTTCTGTCACCCAGGCTGGAGTACAGTGGCACAATCTCTGCTCACTGCAACCTCCGCCTCCTGGGTTCAAGTGACTTCTCCTGCCTCAGCCTCCCAAGTAGCTGGGATTACAGGTACAAGCCACCATGCCCGGCTAATTTTTGTATTTTTAGTAGAGACAGGGTTTCACCATGTTGACCAGGATGGTCTTGAATCCCTGACCTGAAGTGATCCGCCCACCTCGGCCTCCCAAAGTGCTGGGATTACAGGCGTGAGCCACTGCGCCTGGCCCAGAGCTGCAGATCTTTTTTCATGGGCTGGTTAGTTTTCCTAAAGAGGAGTCCTTCAACCATTCATTTGTGAGACTTATGCTTCCCTCCTTCCATTCTCTGGGCAGGGCACAGGAACAAGGTCAGGTTATTTATCTATTTTTGAGATGGAATCATGCTCTGTCGCCCAGGCTGGAGTGCAGTGGTGCAATCTCAGCTCACTGCAACCTCCATTCCCAGGTTCAAGCGATTCTCCTGTCGGCCTCCTGAGTGGCTGAGATTACAGGCGTGCCCCACCATGCCTGGCTAATTTTTGTATTTTTAGTACAGATAGGGTTTCACCATGTTGGCCAGGCTGGTCTTGAACTCCTGACCTCAAGTGATCTGCCCACCTCGGCCTCCCAAAGTGTTGGGATTACAGGCGTGAGCCACTGTACCCAGCCAAGGTCAGGTTGTTCAGTAAGCAAAATACTCATTTTTCTCAGTTTTGCTCCCTCAGATGCTGTCCTCCCCAAGTCCAGAGTCCTTACACCTACCTTCTCAGGGACCTGCCAAGCTTTCAGCCTGGGGGCTAAAATTCCAATAAAATTGTTTCAGTTTACATTATTTTAAAAAATTATTTATTTGAGACAGGGAGTCTCTCTGTCGCCAGGCTGGAGTGAAGTGGCGCGATCTCAGCTCACTGCAACCGCCGCCTCCCGGGTAGCTAGGATTACAGGCGTGTGCCACCACGGCCAGGTAATTTTTGTATTTTTGGTAGAGATGGGGTTTCACCATGTTGGCCAGGATGGTCTCAATCTCTTGACCTTGTGATCCACCCACCTTGGCTTGGCCTCCAAAGTGCTGGGATTACAGGTGTGAGCCACCGTGGTTACATTAATGGAGAGTTCAGGATTGGAAGGAAACTAATGTCAAGGGCTAGATGTACTTTAAAGTTCTTTGAAGTGGGTGGCGGTGCCTCCATGTCAAAGGTAAGGAAACACAGCCGGGTGTAGTGGTGTGCACCTGTGGTCCCAGCTACTCAGGAGACCGAGGTGGAAGAATCGTTTGAGGCCAGGAGTTTGAGACCAGCCTAGGCATCATAGCAAGATCCCATCTCTACAAATTTAAAAAAATTAGCTGGATGGGGCAGTCCCTAGCTGCTTGGGAGCCTGAGGTGGGAGGATCACTTGAGCCCAGGAGGTTGAGGCAGCTGTGAGCCATGATCCTGCCACCACACCCCAGCCTGGGGGACAGAGCCAGACCCTATCTCTTAAAAAAGAAAAAATAAGGAAACAAGTCCCAAAGCGGTAAAGATGAACACCAAGTAAGAGCAGGGCCAGGATTTACCCTTCTGGTCTGGAAGCACATGTTTTGTGTATGTGGGAGGGGAGGGGGGTTTTGCTCTGTTGGGGATACTAACCCCCCTATTCCCACATCCCTCAGAGTGCTGGCTATGGCCACTTGTCTGAGAACCATCCAACAACATGGCAAAAATGCAGAATTCTTGCACTTCAAACAGACTCTGGGGGGTAGGACCTAAGTATCAATGTGTTTAACCAGCTTCCCAGGGGCATTTGAGAGGCAAATGCTAAAGCAGATGAAGTTCCTGCCCTCAAGAGGTTTAGATTCTAGTTAGGGAAACAGACAATAAACCAATGTAAGGTAAGTCAAGTTCCAGGAAGAAAAAGCAGGATAAGAAAACATGCCAAGAGTGTTGTTTTAGACTTGGTGCCAAGGCAGTGGTTCCCTTTTGGACACCACGGACTGGTTTTGTGGAAGGCAATTTTTCTACGGATAGAGGGGTGTGGGGGTGGGGGAATGGTTTGGGGATAATTCAAGCACATTCCACTTATTGTGTACTTTATTATCACATTGTAATGGATAATGAAACAATTCTATAACTCACCATCATGTAGAATCAGTGGGAGCCCTGAGCTTGTTTTCCTGCAACTAGGTGGTCCCATCTGGAGGTGATGGGAGATAGTGACAGATCATCAGGCATTAGATTCTCATAAGGAGGCCAGGCACAGTGGCTCATGACTGTAATCCTAGCACTTTGGGAGGCCAAGGTGGGCGGATCACCTGAGGTCAGGAATTCGAGACCAGCCTGGCCAACATGGTGAAACCCTGTCTCTACTAAAAATGCAAAAAAAAAAAAAAAAAAAAAAAAAAAAAAAAAAAAAAAGTTGGGTGTGATGGCATCAGCTTGTAGTCCCAGCTACTTAGGCTGAGGCAGGAGAATTGCTTGAACCCGGGAGGTGGAGGTTGCAGTGAGCCAAGGTTGCGCCAGTATACTCCAGCTTTTTTTGACCCTATCTGAAAAATTCTGAGGAGTATGCAGTCTAGATCCCTTGCATGTACAGTTCACAATAGGGTTCTCTCTCCTATGGGAATCTAATGCTGCCACTGATCTGACAGGAGGCGGAGCTCAGCTTCGCTCACCTGCTGCTCACCTCCTGCTGGGTGGCCCGGTTCCTATCAGGCTACGGACTGGTCTAGGGATTAGAGACTGCTGTGCTAAGGCAAGGCTGGCCCTGAAGGAGGTGAAGAAGGTAGTCTGGTAGATCTCCGGGAAAGGCATCCCAGGCAGAGGAGACAGTGGGGCCAGGGCACAGAGGTGGGAGCTGGCTCCAGGTGTGTGAACAGCAGGCTCCGTGGCTGGAGCGAGGTGGAGTTGGGGTATGAGAGGCTGAGGTTGGAGAGCGTCATATCAGGGAGCCTTGTAAGCTTAGATGCAGACTTTGAATTTTATTCTAAATATTATGGGAATCTCCCAAACACATGTGACATTTGGTCCCCTTCACTTTTCATATAACACCTGTGAATGCAGAACATTCTTCAGAAAAAGCTGTGTGGGCAGTGGTCAAAAGGGGAGTAACTAGACTGGGCATGGTGGCTTACGCCTGTAATCCCAGCACTTTGGGAGGTCGAGGTGGTGGATCACGAGGTCAGGAGTTTGAGACCAGCCTGGCCGACATGGTGAAACCTTGTCTCTACTAAAGATACAAAAAATTAGCTGGGCGTGGTGGCACATGCCTGTAATCCCAGCTACTTGGGAGGGTGAGGTAGGAGAATCACTTGAACCTGGGAGGCAGACCTTGCAGTCAGCCAAGATTATGCCATTGCACTCCAGCCTGGGCAACAGGGTGAAACTTCATCTCAAAAAAAATAAATAAAATAGAAAGGCCGGGCACGGTGGCTCACACCTGTAATCCCAGCAGTTTGGGAGCCTGAGGCAGGTGGATCACTTAAGGTCAGGAGCTCCAGACCAGCCTGGCCAACATGGTGAAACCCCATCTCTACTAAAAATACAAAAATTAGCTGAGCATGGTGGTGCACACCTGTAATCCCAGCTACTCAGGAGGCTAATGCTGGAAAATCACTTGAACGTGGGGGGCAGGGTTGCAGCAAGCCGGGATCACGTCACTGCACTGCAGCCTGGATGACGGAGACCATCTCAAAAAAAGTAACGAGGAAGGAAAGGACCTAGAAACATAGTAGGTGCTAGGCAGTGTGGTCATGGATAGGAGATGTTGAAAGAGGGATTAAACTGGGCATGCTGATGTGTACCTGTAATCCCAGTGTATTAGTCTGTTTTGGCATTGCTATAAATAAATACCTGAGTCTGGGTGGTTTATAAAGAAAAGATGTTTAATTGGCTCATGATTCTGTAGGCTGCACAGGAAGCATGGCTGGGAAGGCCTCAGGAAATTTTCAATCATGGCAGAAGGTGAAGGGGAGGCAGGCACGTCTTACATGGCCAGAGCAGAAGGAAGAGAGAGAAGGGGGAGGTGCTGCACACTTTTAAACAACCAGATCTCATGAGAACCCACTATGACAAGAACAGCAAGGGGGAAATCTGCCTCCATGATCCAATCACCTCCTACCAGGCCCCACCCCCAACGTTGGGGATTACTATTTGACATGAGATTTGGTCAGAGACACAAATCGAAACCCTATCACCCAGTTACCTGAGAAGCTGAAGCTGGAGGATCCCTTGAGCCCAGGAGTTCAAGTCCAGCCTGGACAACATAGCAAGACTCTGTCTCAAAGGGATTGGGCTTGATCTGTACAAGTTGAGTGTAGAGATTAAGCTAAATTTTGGCTCAGAAGTGTCACACCAAAACATCATGCCCAAAGCAGGTCTTTGGTGGCCTTTGATAAATGAAGAGAAACGGTGTTTGGGTGTTAGTCTAAAATACTGCTGGAAGACAGTTCACCTGCACCAACTTCTCATTTAGTGATGACAGCAAGTCTATGATTTAGTGGACATTGGGGCCTGCAATCAGTATCTTCATCTCCTTCTGCAGTGATTATCTGTCCACTGCTGAGAGCTATGCTGAGGGTGGGGTGCTCCTCGAGGGGCTGTGCCATCCCATATGGAGATGGGGGCAACTGGGAGACTCTGTACCCTCTTTCCTCCTCAGCTCAGGATGCCCTAGGTGGCAGATCTTTGGCCAAGCATACTCTTTCTCTGAGCCTTTTTTTTTTTTTTTAAAAAGGCAAGGCCTCGCTCTGTCGCCCAAGCTGGAGTGCAGTGGCTGTGAGTAGGGCCTGTCATTGGTAGACATCTGCTAGGTGACTGCACAGGAACCCGGCCATTCCAACAAGTGATCCCAATGATCAGAGCTGCAGATTTTATTTTATTTTTATTTTTTGAGACAAAGTCGTGTTCTGTCGCCCAGGCTGGAGTGCAGTGGCATGATCTCGGCTCACTGCAACCTCTGCCTCCTAGGCTCAAGTGATCCTCCTGCCTCAGCCTCCTGAGTAGCTGGGATTACAGGCACATGCCACCATGCTCGGCCTCCCTAGTAGCTGGGACTACAGGCGGGTACTGCCATACCCGGCTACTTTTTGTATTTTTAGCAGACGGGGTTTTGCCATGTTGACCAGGCTGGTCTCAAAACTTCTGACCTCAGGTGATCCTCCTGCCTCGGCCTCCCAAAGTGCTGGGATTACAGGCGTGAGCCACCACACCCGGTCTGAGACTTTGAATCTTAAACCCAGGGGCTGGGGACAGAAGAAATAGCTCATGTGTCTTTGATGACTCCAGTGGCAAGCCCTGCTGTGGATGTTTCCAGTGGCTACCTGCATCCTGCCTCTCCAGGCCTCCTTTTTGGTCTTAGGTGCTCTCCCATACTCTTTCGAGAAATTTTTTTTTTTTTTAAATTCTTTAAGTTTTAGGGTACATGTGCACAATGTGCAGGTTAGTTACATATGTATACATGTGCCATGGTGTGCTGCACCCATTAACTCGTCATTTACATTAGGTATACCTCCTAATGCTATCCCTCCCCCTACCCCTACCCCACAACAGTCCCCGGAGTGTGATGTTCCCCTTCCTGTGTCCATGTGTTCTCATTGTTCAATTCCCACCTATGAGTGAGAACATGAGGTGTTTGGTTTTTTGTCCTTGCCATAGTTTGCTGAGAATGATGGTTTCTAGTTTCATCCATGTCCCTACAAAGGACATGAACTCTTCATTTTTTATGGCTGCATAGTATTCCATGGTGTATATGTGCCACATTTTCTTAATCCAGTCTATCATTGTTGGACATTTGGGTTGGTTCCAAGTCTTTGCTATTGTGAATAGTGCCGCAATAAACATACATGTGCATGTGTCTTTATAGCAGCATGATTTATAATCCTTTGGGTATATACCCAGTAATGGGATGGCTGGGTCAAATGGTATTTCCAGTTCTAGATCCCTGAGGAATCACCACACTGACTTCCACAATGGTTGAACTAGTTTACAGTACCACCAACAGTGTAAAAGTGTTCCTATTTCTCCACATCCTCTCTAGCACCTATTGTTTCCTGACTTTTTAATGATCACCATTCTAACTGGTGTGAGATGGTATCTCATTGTGGTTTTGATTTGCATTTTCGAGAAATTCTTTTTAAGTAGCCAGAGTAGGTTCCTGTTGCTTGAGACTGAGGGATCTTAAGTGATGCCCATGAGGAGTAGAAAATGATACCGTAACTCGAGACATTATTTAAATCCAAAAGATTAAGTCCCATTCTGTCAAAATAGAGACAGTATATAACATTTGAATTTTTACATTAAATAATGTTAAATAGGTAATATTTGTTATATATAAAATACACACTAGGCCAGGCGTGGTGGCTTATACCTATAATCCCAGCACTTTGGGAGGCTGAGGTGGGAGAATCACTTGAGGCCATGAGTTCAAGACCAGCCTGGGCAACACAGCATGACTCCATCTCTATAAAAATAAAAAATTAGCTGGGCATGGTAGTGAGGATCTGTAGCCCCAGCTACTCAGGAGGCTGAGGTAGAAGGGCCACTTGAACCCAGGAGTTCAAGGTTACAGTGAGCTACAATTGCACCACTGCACTCCAGCCTGGGCAACAAAGTGAGACCCTGTCTCAAAAAAAAAAAAAAAAAAAAAAATATATATATATATATATATATATACACACACTCATATTTATAGTGCATATATAAAATATGTATATTATATATAAATATATTACAAATTTAATATATTTGTAATTGAAAAAACATATTGAAAAAATGGTCCTATGACTTCAATACAATAATTTTTGTTTGCATTTCTTTTCTAGGTTGAATTTACATACACTTTTTTTTTTCTGAGGCAGAGTTTTGCTCTTGCTGCCCAGGCTGGAGTGCAGTCACGCAGTCTCGGCTCACTGCAACCTCCGCCTCCCAGGTTCAAGTGATCCTCCTGCCTCAGCTTCCCGAGTAGCTGGGATTATAGGAGTGTGCCACCACATCCAGCTAATTTTTGTATTTTTAGTAGAGCTAGGGTTTCTCCATGTTGATCAGGCTGGTCTTGAACTCCCGACCTCAGTTGATCTGCCTGTGTCAGCCTCCCAAAGTGTTGGGATTACAGGCGTGAGCTACCGTGTCCAGCCTTACATATACTTTTTTTCAAAGAATCTGATTGGAATACAGATTCTTTTTCAACATCTTAAAGCATTTTTCCCCCTATTCGTAGATTGTAGTTGAAGGGAGGTGGAAAGGTGAGATGGTTTACAAAGATAGGTCTTTGAGAAAAAATTTTTTTAATTAAAAGAGCTGGAAGCCCTGTTGAGCTTAGTCACTGTTGTCCGAGTGATCTAACCTTGTTGGCTCAAAATACTGTCAACCTCTTTTTTTCCTTCTCTTTGCATGACAAAGCAGCCTTTGTAGTTTGAAGATACTAATACTGACTTGCCTAGCAAGGTTTAAAAAAAGGAGCAATTTGCCTTTGGTATATGGTCTGGGTGCAAAGAGATGGTGTTAGTCACCTTCTGGCTGGGTGCCCACCTGCTTAGACTCGGGGAGTTGGGACGACTGGTGAGGCAACAAAGAGGAAGGAAGGTGTGAATGGCTATAGGTTGGTTTACGGTGTGAACACTGAACTGGAACAACTTTGACCTTTTGCATTTGCCCAGAAATTGTAATGTACCTCAAAGAATGCAATTCTCAGCTGGGCATGGTGGCTCATGCCTGTAATCCCAGCACTTTGGGAGGCCAAGGCAGGTAGATCACCTGAGGTCAGGAGTTCAAGACCAGCCTGGCCAACATAGTGAGACCCTGTCTCTGCTAAAAATACAAAATTAGCTGGGTATGGTGGCACATGCCTGTAATCCCAGTTACTCGGGAGGCAAGGTTGGAGAATCACTTGAACCCAGGAGGTGGAGGTTGTAGTGAGCTGAGATTGCACCACTGCACTCCAGCCTGGGCAACAAGAGCAAAACTCAATCTCAAAAAAAAAAAAAAAAAAAAAAAAATTGCAATCTTGGTTAGCCATGCACACTGCGTAACTTATCTGCTGTTTTTTCCTGAAACATGGACTGTGTTAATGATAATGGCATGCATTATAAGGCAGCACAGTTTGCTTTAAGGCATAAAAGAATAACTTGGAGCCATGAGCCCTGGGGTCAGTTCTACTCTTTTTCTAAATAGCCTAAGCCTGGACATGTCATGTAATTTCACTGTTAAGTGCCTCATTTGTGGATTCTTTTCTGTCAATTCCTTTGGGCTTCAGTTTTTTTCATCTGTAAAAGAAGGGGTTCAAGTGTCAAACAAGGCGATGCAAAAATGGTTATCCTCAATTTCCAAGTAAACTGGAGCTCATAAGGTTAGCCAACTTGCCCTTCATCTTTCAGTAAGTGGCAGACAGGGAATCACTAATAACTAATTCAAAGCCTCATGAATTAGTTACTTGCTATATAACAAATTTCCCAGAAACTTAACAGCTTAAAAAAATTATTATACAGAGTTTCTGTAAGGCAAGAATCTGGGGGACAATTTAGATGGTTCTGGCTCTCAAGGTCTTTTATGAGGTTGGACTTAAGCTGTCAGCCAGAATTGTGGTCTCATTTGAAGACTCAACTGGGAGAGGACCTACTTACAATGGTAGTATGTGGTAGTTAGAGGGTTTCAGTTCTTCAGTGGCTGATGGCTGGATATTTCAGTTCTACGCTACACAGGCTTTCCCTTGGGCTTCCTGAATCTCCAATAACAGGGAAGTTTGCTTCTCCCAGAGCAAGTGATCAGAGAGAGAGAGAGAGAGAGAGAGAGAGAGAGAGAGAGAGAGAGAGAGTTTGTGTACATGGGAGACAGAATCCCCAAGACAGAAGCCATGGTCCTTTATAACCTAATCTTAGAAGGCATGGTGGCTCACGCCTGTAATCCCAGAACTTTGAGAGGCTGAGGTGAGCACGTCACTTGAGGTTAGGAGCTCGAGACCAACCTGGTAAACATGGTGAAACCCTGTCTTTACTAAAATATACGAAAATAAGCCAGGTGTGGTGGCACATGCCTGTAGTCCCAGCTACTCGGGAGGCTGAGGCAGGAGGATAGCTTGAACCTGGGAGGTTGCAGTGAGCTGACATCATGTGACTGCACTCCAGTCTGGGTGACAGAGAAAGACTCTGTCTCAAAAAAAAAAGGTGGCATACAATCACTCTGCTATACGATAACCTTGTAGGATGTGGGAGGAGCTATGCAGAGGTGTGAAGACCAGAAGACAGAGGTCATTGGGAACCATCTTGGAGGCTGGCTTCCCTACTCATCCACTCCACCCTGGAGTGGATCATTTGTTCTCATTTGAAAAGACATCATTTAAATGATAACCTAGGGCCACTGAAGTCTCAGCAA
Source organism: Homo sapiens (assembly GCF_000001405.40). Lineage (NCBI taxonomy): Eukaryota > Metazoa > Chordata > Mammalia > Primates > Hominidae > Homo > Homo sapiens. The sequence continues at coordinate 99,160,665 of NC_000007.14, read as the reverse complement.
AGAAATAGAAGAGAATCAAATGTAAGTGTTAGAACTGACAAATACTATAACTGGAATTTAAAATTTACTGGATGATGGCTGGGTGCAGTGACTCAAACCTGAATCCCAGCACTTTGGGAGGCCAAGGCAGGAGGATTGCTTGAGCCTAGGAGTTCAAAACCCACCTGGGCAACATAGCGAGACCCTGTCCCTAAAATAAATAAAATTTACTGGATGGGCTTAACAGCAGAATGGAGGAGACAGGAAAGAATCCATGAAGTTGAATATAAAACAATAGGAAGCTGCAATTAAACCCCTAGATGCAACTACCAATTTATAAGAAATACAAAAGACAGAGGAGAGGCCGGGTGCGTGGCTCACGCCTGTAATCCCAGCACTTTGGGAGGCCGAGGCGGGCGGATCACGAGGTCAGGAGATTGAGACCATCCTGGCTAACACGGTGAAACCCCGTCTCTACTAAAAATACAAAAAAAATTAGCCTAGCATGGTGGCGGGCACCTGTAGTCCCAGCTACTCAGGAGGCTGAGGCAGGAGAATGACGTGAACCTGGGAGGCGGAGCTTGCAGTGAGCCAGGATCGTACCACTGCACTCCAACCTGGGCAACAGAGCGAGACACTGTCTCAAAAAAAAAAAAAAAAAAAAAAAAACAAAAACAACAGAGGAGAAACACTAAGCTACACTTCAGAAAAGCAAGCAGCAGACTCCAGACCATGAGAAATCCTGCAGACAAGCTACTTCTTTCCTTCTCTTAATAAATTCCAACTAAAAAATTGCTTGGGGGGAACTTATAAATTTAGACTTAAATGACGTATTGACTAACCAGAGTGGGCCTCATTTGTATTCTGATACCACCAAACAATTGAGAAAATAAAACACATATGACATTTATGAGACAATTGGAAACTTGAGCATTGAATGGAGGTTTGATGATAAAGAATGATTGGCTGTTTTGGTTTAATCATCATATTGGGGCTATGTTAATTAGAAATAAAGTCCTTTTAGAGAAATCGGAATGATCATAGATGAAGTGATGTGATGTTTGGAATTTGTTTCAAAGTAATACGGGAAGAGGGAAGTGACAGATACACACATGGGGTGGAATTGGCAATGTGATCATGGTTACCAGGGCTGGTGATAGGTCCATGGGGAGTTCTGTTCTATTCTTTCTGTGGGTGGTTGAAGTTCTCCATAATGTAAAGTTGGAAAGACAAAAAGCTGTTACATCCCCCTATTCCATGAAGCTGACCAACTGCCCCCTGCCCCACCTGGCAGCGAACTGGAAGTTTATTCCTTTTTTTTTTTTTTTTTTTTTTTTTGAGACAGTGTCTCCCTGTGTCACCCAGGCTGGAGTGAAGTAGCACTATCATAGCTCAGTACAGCCTTGAACTCCTGGGGCTCAAGGAATCCTTCCACCTCAGCCTCCCAAGTAGCTGGGACTACAGGCATGCACTACCATGCCTGGCTAATGACATTGCTTTTATGAAGCAAAACATAGGATGTTGTCGGGCATGGTGGCTCACGCATGTAATCCCAGTGCTTTGGGAGCCTGAGGCGGGCAGATCACCTAAGGTCAGGAGTTCAAGACCAGCCTGACCAACATGGTGAAACCCCGTCTCTACTAAAAATACACAAGTTAGCCGGGCGTCGTGGTGTGCACCTGTAGTCCCAACTACTCGGGAGGCTGAGACAGGAAAATCGCTTGAACCCAGGAGGCGGAGGTTGCAGTAAGCCAAGATTGTACCGCTACACTCCAGTCTGGGTGACAGAGCTAGACTCCCTCTCAAAAGAAAAAAAAAAGATGCTGTTTATGTACATTCCAAGAACAAAAAGGATTATTGGAAATTAGAAATGATAGTAGAACTGGGCTGAGTGTGGTAGCTCACACCTGTAATCCCAGCACTTTGGGAGGCCGAGTTGGGGATCACTTGAAGTCAGGAGTTCGAGACAAGCCTGGCCAACTTGGTGAAGCCCTGTCTTTACTAAAAATACAAAAATTAGCTGGGCATGGTGGTGCACACCTACAGTCCCAGCTACTCAGGAGGGTGAGGCATGAGAATCGCTTGAACTCAGGAGGTGCAGGTTACAGTGAGCCGAGATCGTGCCACTGCACTCCAGCCTGGGCGACAGAGTGAGACTCCATCTAAAATAATAATAATAATAAAAAGATAGTACAAATGAAAACAGAATTGGAAGATGAAATTGAGGATATTTCCCATAAAGTAGAGCAAAATTGCAAAAATAGAAAAGATCAAATTATATAAAGTCCAGAACTGGAGGTCTGAAATCTGAATAGAGGAGTTCTAGAAGTGGAGAAAAAAAACATAGAGGAAAGAAAATTATCAGATAATACCATTTCCCCAAACAGAAGAAAACTGATCCAGTTTAAAGGATCCAGTGAATAGCCCAGAAAAATGGATGAAAGCTGATTTATGCCAAAGCATATCATTGTGAAAATTTAAAACTGATTAAAAAAAAGATCCAGTTGGGTGTGGTGGCTCATTCCTGTAATCCCAGCACTTTGGGAGGCTGAGGTGGGAGGATCGCTTGAGGCCAGGAGTACCAGACCAGCGTGGGCAACATAAGGAGACTCATCTCTATAAAAGTAAAAAATTAGCCAAATGTGGTGGCATGTACCTGTAGTCCCAGCTACTCAGGAGGCCAGGAGTTCAAGACCAGTGTGGGCAACATAAGGAGACCCATCTCTACAAAAAATCAAAAAAAAATTAGCCAGGTGTGGTAGCACCTGCCTGTAGTCTCAGCTACTCAGGAGGCTGAGGTGGGAGGATTGCTTAAGTCCAGGAGGTCGAGGCTGCAGTGAGCTGTGATCACACCACTGCACTCCAGCCTGGGTGACAGTGAGACCCTGTATCAAAAAACAAAAGTTACATCTAGAGTGTAAAAAGAAGTCATATATGAAAGATCAAGAATCACAATGGCTTGCGTTCTTACCTGACAAGAAATTTTAGAATCACATCCATAGGGCATTCAGTTAGCTAATCTATTCATAGGGGAAATCTAACAGGAATACACAGATGTATAGAAGAAATCTAACAGGAATACACAGATGTATAGAAGAAATCTAAATGAGTTGTCCTGAAAAATCAACCTGGGCTCCCATTCTCAAATACAAAAGATCAGACACAAGAAGAAAATCGGGGCTGGGCGCAGTGGCTCATGCCTGTAATCCCAACACTTTGAGAGGCCAAGGCAGGTGGATCACCTGAGGTTGGGAGTTCAAGACCAGCCTGACTAACATGGAGAAACCCTGTTTCTACTAAAAATACAAAATTAGCCGGGTGTGGTGGCGCATGCCTGTAATCTCAGCTACTCAGGAGACTGAGGCAGGAGAATCGCTTGAACCTGGGAGGTGGAGGTTGCAGTCAGCCAAGATTGAGCCATTGCACTCCAGCCTGGGCAACAAGAGCAAAACTCTGTCAAGAAAATTGGCATCATGGAAAAGAAAAAGGCAAATGAACAAAACAACCATTTCCCAGAAGAAACAGTCAGAATCGGGGGGAATTAAAACCAACATCCTCTAATTTATATTCTCAACAGATTTGAGAAGATTCTGTGGCCATAAAACAAAAAGATGCCATGAAAAAGGAACACTCTCAGAAATTAAATGATTACCAGAACAAAAATTCAAGAGAAAGGTTTGAAGATAAATCTTTCAGAATATAGACCAGAAAGTTACAAAGAGATGAAAGTTTGGGGAGAAGAAAAAAAGTCAATTCAGGAGGCTTACCATCTGAGTAACTGAAGTTCTAGAAAAAGACAAAAGAGAAAATATAGGGAAAGACATTAACAAAGAAACCCTAGAAGAAAATTTATCAGAATTGAGGCCAGGCATGTTGGCTCATGCCTGTAATCCCAGCACTGTGGGAGGCCAAGGGGGGTGGATCATTTGAAGTCAGGAGTTTGAGACCAGCTTGGCCAACATGAGGAAACCCTGTCTCTATTAAAAATACAAAAATTTTCTGGGTGTGGTGGTGGGCACCTATAATCCCAGCTACTTTGGAGGCTGAGGCAGGAGAATCACTTGAACCTGGGAGGCGGAGGTTGCAGTGAGCTAAAATTGTGCCATTGCATTCCAGCCTGGGTGACAAGGGCAAAACTCTGTCTCAAACAAAAAAAAAGTATCAGAATTGAAGAAAGTAAATCTCTAGGCTGAAAGGGTTCATTGAATGCCAAGCAGAATAAATAAATAAAAGATCAATCCCTGGATTCAATGCGGTGAAATTTCAGAATACCAAGAATAAACAGAAGACTCTTTCCAGAAACAAAAAATAGATTACCTATAAAAGAATGAGAATCAGACTGGCATCAGATTTCTCTTTGTGGACTCTGAATGATAGAAAAATTCCAAGTTCTGAGGGAAAATTATAACCATAAATTTAGAATCATAAATTATTTAGAACCACATAGCCATATAAGACATCATATTTTCAGATATAAACTCAGAAAGATTACATTTCAAGTACTAAGGAAGTTACTTGAGAATGTACTCCATCAAGAAAGGAAGTAAATTATATACCCCACCTCCCAAAAAGAGAAATATACAAGAAATGATGAAACCAACCCAGAAGTCCACTGAAAAACAATCCCGAGATGAGAATTGAACAGCAAACCTGGAAGCCTGTTTTTTCCATATTAGAACAGACAGGCAGCGAGCTCCAGGTAGACTATCTTCAACAAGAAGAATGAAGTTGATTCGTTCTTGTTGGAAGGATGAAATTGATTCCAAGTAGTAGACAGAATGGCTAAGATGCCAGATGATACTAATGACAAAACATAAATCTGAGCTGGGCACAGTAACTCATGTCTGTAATCCCAGCACTTTGGGAGGCCAAGACAGGCAGACTGCTGGAGCCCAGGAGGTTGAGACCAGCCTGGGCAATATGATGAAAACCCATCTCTATAAAAAATACAAAAAAAAAAAAAATTAGTGTGGTGGCATGCACTGTTAGTTCCAGCTACTCAGGAGGCTGAGGTGGGAGGATCATTTGAGCCCAGGAATTTGAGGCTGCAGTGAGCTGTGATCATGCCACTGCACTCCAGCCTGGGCAACAGAGCGAGATCCTATCTCAAAACCAAGAACAACCCCATAAATCTGTTTCTTCCATCAGTAAAAGGAAGATAAGGCAATGAGGAAACAAGAAAAAAAAATGTGTAAGAAAACTCCAGGTCCAAACATAGCCAACTGAAATGTGGTGTGATTTTGACCTTGATTCTGAAACAATCCATTTATAGAATCAACAGACAAAACAGGGAAGTCAGCAATGCACACAAAAGAGAATGTGACCATTGTCATCCTTGATATTGTCAGTGTTCAGCTGAGAAGGATGAAGGTGGGAGTATAGACTGGAACAGATGGTTCAGTGCCAATATCTTTGTCTAACATGGAGGGGATCATAAGCTACAAGCTGATAGGAAACACAGGTTCAAAAAAATATTTAAAAGTAGAAATAGAAGAACTGAAAATAGTAACTATAAAAATGGAGGCAGGAAGAGGGAAGTGTTAGTCACCTAACTCCTCATCTTTCATAAATGAAGAGCCAACAGATAATGTCCTAAATTGGTGAATCAATAAATATATGTGCATATGTCTATACATATATATAATATACACATATATATAAACTTTTATAAAAAGTATATATGTGTTAGTATAGGTATAGAAAATAATTCTGGAAGCATGTTCACCAAACTGCTGACTTCTGACTAGGAGATAGAATTGAGGGGGTGTGTCAATTTTGTCATTGGTAGCTTTTTAGTGATTTAAAATTTAGGAAAACCTCAAATACATTAAAACTGTGTAATTTCATGGTGTATATTACATGAACATAGATTCAAGACTCACGCCTGTAATCCCAGCACTTTCAGAGGTTGAGGTGGGCGGTTCATGAGGTCAGGAGATCGAGACCAGCTTGGACAACATGGTAAAACCCTGTCTACTAAAAATACGAAAAAAAAAATTAGCCGGGCGTGGTGGCACTCATCTGTAATCCCAGCTACTCAGGAGGCTGAGGCAGGAGAATCGCTTGGAGGTGGAGGTCACAGTGAGCCGAGATTGTGCCATTGCACTCCAGCCTGGGCGACAGAGCGAGACTCCGTCTTGAGAAAAAAAAAAAAAAGACCTAAGTTTCTGAAGCATAACTACATACAGTGAAAGTCTGATAAATGACCTGAAATTCTGATAAATGACCTGGGAGTTACCTGTAATAAAAAAGCATTTTTGCCAGGTGTGGTGGCTTACACATGTAATCCCAGCACTTTGGGAGGCCAAGGTGGGCGGATTGCTTGAGGTCAAGAGTTCAAGACCAGCCTGGTCAACATGGTGAAACCCCATCTCTACTAAAAATACATAAATTAGCCAGGTGTGGTGGCGGGCACCTGTAGTCCTAGCTACTCGGGAGGCTGAGGCATGAGAATCACTTTAACCCAGAAGGCAGAGGTTGCAGTGAGCTGAGATCATGCCACTGCACTCCAGCCTGGGTGACAGAGACTCTGTCTCAAAAAAAAAAAAAAAAGTGTGTGAGCTATTCTCATTTTGGTGAATCATTAATGGGAAAAATATTCTGTATCCCTGATTTACTTGTCTTTCAGAAGTGTGATTATTTAGAAAACATTTAAAGTGTTTTTTGGGAGGGGGAGGGGATCATAACAATTATTAAAAATTATGGAAACTTTTTTTTCTTTTTTTTAGAGACTCTCTGTCACCCAGGCTGAAGTGCAGTAGTGTGATATGATCACACTTGATCTCCTGGGCTCAAATGATCCTCCCACCTCAGCCTCCCAAATAGCAGGGACTACAGGCACGAGCCACCACACCTGGCTGATTTTTATTTTTATTTTTTTTGTAGAGATGAGGTCTTGCTATGGTGCCCAGGCTGGTCTTGAATTCCTGGGCTCAAGCAGTCCTTTCACCTTGGCCCCATAAAGTGCTGGGATTACAGGCATGAGCCACTGCACCCATCTGGAACCTTTATTATTTATAAAGTTCTGGTCACTATCTATGCATTCCATTCAGTAAATATACGAAGGAAACCAAAGTCTGTTTTTGGACACTTGCAGGTTTGCTCAAAGATCAAGAACGATCTTTTTTTTTTTTTTTTGAGACAGTGTCTCGCTCTGTCACCTGGGCTGGAGTGCAATGGTACAATCTTGGCTCACTGCAACCTCTGCCTCCTGGGTTCAAGTGATTCTCCTGCCTCAGCCTCCTGAGTAGCTGGGATTACAGGCACATGCCTGACTAATTTTTTGTATCTTTGTAGAGATGGGGTTTCGCCATGTTGGCCAGGCTGGTCTTGAACTCCTGATCTCAGGTGATCTGTCCGCCTCGGCCTCTTAAAGTGTTGGGATTACAGGCATGAGCCACTGTGTCCAGCCCCAAATACCATATTCTAAGCAACGGTAGGTTTATATCTTTTTAAAGTCATTCACTGTTGGTACCAACCCCCACTCACTTCCTTTCTCCTCCCACTTACATAAAAATTATTCTGCAAAGGATTGCATTTAAGGAGCAGAAACTCCTTCGGGGAAAGATGTGTTAGTCCAACAGATTCCATGAAACATCCTACAATCCTCACCCCGTTTGCGAGGTAAGCATTCTCCTAAGACCAGCCCGTTATTATAAAAATATTCCATTCCGATGCATGGTGGCTTGTCACAATTAACATTTAAACCTTAATTTTTGTCAATGAATTGAGAATTCAACCATAATCTATAAATTCAACTAAAGTAAGTACAGTCTTTCTTTAGTGAAAAATAAAACTGTTTTCCCATTTGATTCTGAGGACTCTCACTTATTAAAGAGAGGCACGGCAGCCCTCATCCTGCACTCAGAGAAGACATCACAGGCCTTGCTCTCTGAGCAGATTGCGATGTCTAAAATGATTATACCTCTAATTGACAACCCGAGATGAAAACTCACAGCAGAAATACATGCGGCTTGTAGAGACAGAACTGCTCAAGCCTTTTAAATAGCAAAGGTTGGGGCTGCCTTACAAGAAATAAAGTTACCAAAGATACGTCCCAAGTATATTTAAATTGGTAAGGTTCCTGAATTAACCACTGTTAATTTTTAAATCTCTTTAGAAACTGTCTAGATAAGCAGCAAAAACACCAAACATGAAGTTACTTTCCGCATATCATCCTGGTGAACCCGCCAAACACTTCCCTTTGTATGCCCATATCCAAGGCATATTGATGTCCACAGAGAAAGGGATGGTTCAGTTGGACCCTTCTGCCTCATTTTTACTTTTTTTTTTCTTTTTCTTTCCTTTTTTTCTTTTTCTTTTTTTTTTTGAGACGGAGTCTCTCTCGCTCTGTCGGGAGTGCAGTGGCACAATCTTGTCTCACGGCAACTTCTGCCTCTGGGGTTCAAGCAATTCTCCTGCCTCAGCCTCCCGTGTAACTGGGATTATAGGCACCTGCCACCACGCCTGGCTAATTTTTGTTGTTGTTGTTGTTTGTTTTTCTGAGACAGAATCTCGCTCTGTCGCCCAGGCTGGGGTGCAGTGGTGTGATCTCGGCTCACTACAACCTCTGCCTCCTGGGTTCAAGTGATATTCCTGCCTCAGCTTCCCGAGTAGCTGGGACTACAGGCGTGTGCCACCATGCCCGGCTAATTTTTTGTATTTTTAGTAGAGATGGGCTTTCACCGTGTTAGCCAGGATGATCTCAATCTCCTGACCTCTAGATCTGCCTGCCTCGGCCTCCCAAAGTGCTGGGATTACAGGCGTGAGCCACCGTGCCCAGCCTATACATTGTTTTAATGATGCATTTATGTGATGGGCTCCATGACTAGAAGTGAACCACAAAATACAGGGACTATATCTTGTTGATCTTTTAAAATTCCTTGCATGTTACCACATTGCCTGATACATAGGAGGTTCTTAATGTTTGTGGCCAGGTGCAGTGGCTCACACCTATAATCCCAGCACTTTGGGAGGCTGAGGCAGGAGGACTGCTTGAGCCCATGGGTTTGAGACCAGCCTGGGCAACATAGGGAGAACCTGTCTCTAGAAAAAAAAATTTTTTTTTTTAATTAGCCAGGCATGATGGTGCACACCTGTGATCTCAGGATTGGGAGCCTGAGGCTGGAGGATCAGTCAAGCCCAGGAAGTGGAGACTGCAGTGAGCTATGATCGCACCACTGCACTCTAGCCTGGGCAACAGGGAAAGACCCTGTCTCAAAAAAAAAACCAAAAACAAACAAACAAAACAGTTTGCTTACTATTCTACAGTACAAAGAGAGGAACAATGAATTAATATTACTAATAGTTGCATACAAATAACAAAATTGTGCTTTCTAGAATATGGTTCCTGGGAAGAAAAAAATCAAAATCTTAAAGCCATTCTATGGACTAAGTCCTAGGTAGGACTAGGTTCAGAGAAGTCCTAGGCAGATAGAGGATTGATGCAGGCTAAACAGACAGACACACAGACGGTGTTGGCTATCAGCACGATGCAGGCACCAGAAAAAAAGGGCAGGAACCTGGATTGGAGATCTCTCTCCTTGAAAAACCTTCGTCATGTTCACTAAGCAGGAATAGTAACTAATAATTACCTAGCATCCCTCCCTCACACAAACCGGATGCCGTTAAACCTCAAATTAATTTAATTTGTTTCTGTGAACGTATTTAAGTAATGAGGTACAGCTCCCCACCCCTTTCTTGGTAGTAGGGGAATCTTTGTCACATTGAACCACATACTTGGTTTTATTTTTGCACAATCAAAGTAAGATTAGAGCCTCGCCAGGACTCAGCAGAAGGATGAGTTTGATTTAAATACTCTGCAGATGCATAGGGCAATGATTTGGTTACGGGTTCTGCACAACTGTACGACTAGAGAATTGGGTCACCTCCTTGCCAGCAGGAACTATGGTGAATATTTGCAAGAGCTGGGCACTCAAATCCCATTCTTCTTGATGAGTACAAGAATGTCTGGCTGGGCGCGATGGCTCATGCCTGTAATCCCAGCAGTTTGGGAGGCTGAGGCTGGCGGATCACTTGAGGTCAGGAGTTCGAGACCAGCCTGGCTAACATGGAGAAAACCCATCTCTACTAAAAAATACAAAAATTAGCCAGGCGTAGTGGTGCATGCCTATATTCCCAACTACTCGGGAGGCTGAGGCAGGAGAATCGCTTGAACCCAGGAGGCGGAGATTGTGGTGAGCTGAGATCGCGCCATTGCACTCCAGCCTGGGCAACAAGAGTGAAACTCCGTCTCAAAAAAAAGAGAAGAATGATTCATGAAGTTTCCAGTTTGTTTAATGTCACTGCGCCTGTAATCCCAGCACTTTAGGGGGCGGCCCAGGTGGGGAGATCACTTGAGGTCAAGAGTTCAAGACCAGTCTGGCCAACATAGTGAAACCCTGTCTCTACTAAAAATATAAAAATTAGCCAGGTTTGGTGGCATGCGCCTGTAATCTCAGCTACTCAGGAGGCTGAGGTGGGAGGATTGCTTGAGCTGAGGAGATCAAGGCTTCCCTGAACTATGATTGCACCACTGCACCCCAGCCTGGGCAACAGAACAAGACCCTGTCTCAAAAACAGAAACAAAGGCCTGGTGCGGTGGCTCATGCCTGTAATCCCAGCACTTTGGGAGGCTGAGGCAGGTGGATCATATGAAGTCAGGAGTTCGAGACCAGCCTGGCCAACATGGTGAAACCCTGTCTCTACTAAAAATACAAAAATTAGCCGGGCATGGTGGCACGTGCCTGCAGTCTGTCTGAGCTACTCGGGAGGCTGAGGCAGGAGAATCGCTTGAACCCAGGAGGCGGAGGTTGCAGGTTGCACGTGAGCCGAGATCGTGCTGCTATACTCCAGCCTGGGTGTCAGAGCAAGACTCCATCTGGAAAACAACAACAACAACAAAAAACAACTTGATGCTCAGATGAAAAGCAAAAGAAGCCTAGATCCTAGACAGAGAAGATTTTAAAGGTTAATATGATCTGGCCACTGGCCTCAGAGGCACCAGCTCAGGAACAGAAATGTGCTCTCAAGAGGCATTCACTATAACTGTCCACTCCCACCAGGGACCCTCTGCACAAAATCCCAGATTTTCTCAGGATAAGAAGCTTCACTAGGAGCTTTTGGAGCCAAGGCAATCACACACATACTAATAAGAACTGCCATTTACCAAGAGCTTGCTGTATTGGAATGCTAAATCTACATTCATGATTTAAGCCTCACCAATAACTTTCAGGGAGAAGTATTATTTCCATTTTACAGATAAGCAAAGCAAGGCTTGGAGAATTTTAGTATCTTGCTTCAGCACCGGCTGGTGATATGGTGGAGGCTGGATAGAGTGTGGGCCTCCGTGGGTCATAGTCTTCCTCTTTTCAGCACACCTGCTACCTTTCAAAAGGGTTGTTATTGTCCTGGATCCTGAACACATACATGCAGGATATGCTCGACATCATTTGCTTGATAATTTCCTTTAGAAAAAATTATTGGGGCCAGGCATGGTGGTTCATGCCTGAAATCACAGCACTTTGGGAGGCAGAGGCAGGCGGATCACTTGAGGTCAGGAGTTCGAGACCAGTCTGGCCAACATGGTGAAATATCATCTCCACTAACTACTAAAAATACAAAACTTAGCTGGGTGTGATGTGGCACGCTTGTAATCCCAGCTACTCGGAAGGCTGAGGCAGGAGAATCGCTTGAATCTGGGAGGTGGAAGTTGCTGTGAGCCGAGACGGTGCCGTTGTACTCCAGCCTGGGCGACACTGCAAGACTCCGTCTCAAAAAAAAAAAAAAAAAACGGTTCTTGGGCTGAGTGCGGTGGCTCATGCCTGTAATCTTAGCCCTTTTGGGAGGCTAAAGCAGGAGGACCACTTGAGGCGACTAGCCTGGCCGACAGAGTGAGACCCTGTGTGTATAAAAAATAAAAAAATTTAGCCAGGTATGTTTGGTGGCACATGCCTGTAGTCCCAGGTACTTGGGAGACTGAGGTGGGAGGATTGCTTGAGCCCAGGAGTTCGAGGCTGAAGTCAGCCATGATGATGGCACTGCCTTCCAGCCTGGGTGACAGAGTGAGACCCTCTCTTTTAAAGAATAAATAAGGAGTTATTAATCTAGGGACTACAGGCCCTTACAGGATTCATAAATTGGTTTCAGGTGATCATAAACCCACTGAAATCAGAGGCAAATTTTGATGTGTATTTGCACATATGAATTTTTCTGGAGGAAGGAGTCCAGAGTTTCCATCAGATTGTCAAAGAGGTTTGGGACTCAGAAACTGGTTAAGAACTACTGCAGTCAGATCCAAAGACAGATTTGCCCACTGGAAAATATTTCAAATGCCCAATAACACTGACTCAGGGAACTGATACATTTCTGGGAAATAAAAGCAGTCAAATGCTACCTAGAAAGCAGGGTCAAAACTGCTCTGTGTAAAGCCATTGCAAAGAGGACACTTGAGGAGGCTCACCGAGTTCCATCTCTGTTTCAGCAGAATTGTTTGACATTTTGCATCTGTTTGTTCCAGATAGCTTTAGAAGATTGTATTTTCGAGGAATGTGATACATGATGAAAGGAAGGGAAGATGATATATCTTAAGTTCAATATGATAGCGTCTGATGATTTTTAAGTGGGCAAATGCTTTTTGTTATTTTTAATCAACTTTTTTTTTTTTTTTAAAGACATGGGGTCTCATTCTGTGATCTAGACTGGAATGCAGTGGCACAATCATAGCTCACTGCAGCCTTGCGCTACTGGGCTCAAGCCATCCTCCCACCTTGGCCTCCTGAGTAGCTGGGACTACAGACATGCACCACCTCACCCAGATAATTTTTAAATTTTTTGTAGAGATGGGGGTCTCGTTATGTTGCCCAGGCTTTTATCAAAAAAAAAAATTTTTTTTTTTGAGATAGAGTCTTGCTCTTATCGCCCAGGCTGGAGGGCAGCAGTGCAATCTCAGCTCACTGCAACCTCCGCCTCCCGGGTTCAAGAGATTCTCCTGCCTCAGCCTCCCGAGTAGCTGGGATTACAGGCGCCTGCCACTACACCCAGGTTATTTTTGTATTTTTAGTAGAGATGGGGTTTCACCATGTTGGCCAGGATGGTCTCAAACTCCTGACCTCAGGTGATCCACCCGCCTTGGTCTCCCAAAATGCTGGGATTACAGGCGTGAGCCACTGTGCCCGGACTTTTATCAACTTTTAATGGAGTAAGTTGTATGGATAGAGTATACAAGCAGCTCCATAAGTACATTTTTATTGAAAATGGTGCTGGAAAATGCCATTCACGTTCATGCCTTTGTGCAGCTGTTCCTTCTATCTATAATGCCCTTCCTCACCACTTTGCCCAGCAAACTTGAACGTTGGCTTTAAGCTCTAGATTAAGATCATCTGTGACTCGAGATGTCTCCATTTCTCTTCTTATGTAGAATTGTTCTGTCATCTATGTTCTAGCCTGCTATACACATCCCCATCACTGTATCATTGTCAGTTGCTCATGTCTGTTTCATCCAGTTAACTGACCCTCTGGAATGCTGAAGCTGTAATAGATTTATTTTGTATTCCTTGTTCCTAGCCACATAGCAGGTGGCCAATGTTTGCCGAATGAGTAAAACATGAGCTTCCAGGTAGGAAGGTCCCCTTTGTGCAGCTGTGGTGAAAGATACTATTGGGTATATCTAGCAATTTCAAATGGTCCCAGTTTATGACGGTTTGACTTACGATTTTTTGATGTTATGGTAGGAAAGCGACACACATTCAGTAGAAACCACACTTCAAATTTCGAATTTTGATTCAAAATTCTTTATAATAACTTTATCGTAAAATAGGCTTTGTGTTAGATGATTTTGCCCCACCGTATGGTAATGAAAGTGTTCTGTGCACATTTAAGGTAGGCTGGGCTAAGCTATAATGGCTGGTAGCTTAGGTGTAGTAAATGCATTTTCCGTTGTTTTTTTTTTTTTTTTTTTTTTTTTTTTTTTTTTTTTAAGACACAGTCTCGCTCTATTGCCCAGGCTGAAGTGCAGTGGCACAATCTCGCCTCACTGCAACCTCTGCCTCCCGAGTTTAAGTGATTTTTGTGCCTCAGCCTCCCGAGTAGCTGGGACTACAGGTGCACACCACCACACCCAGTTAACTTTTGTATTTTTAGTTGACAGGGTTTCACCATGTTAGCCAGGCTGGTCTCGAACTCCTGCTCGCAGGTAATCCCCCCACCTCAGCCTCCTAAAGTGCTGGGATTACAGGCATGAACCACCATGCCCGGCCTCCGCAAATGCATTTTTGACATATTTTCAACATATTATGGGTTTATCAGAATGTAACCCCATTGTACATCAAGGAGCATCTGTACTTGTTAATGAATGAACAAAATGCCTTTCAGAAACCTCCAGAAGCAACCTCCTGACTCAAAGATTAAGGAAACAGTCAAGCCAACGAAGAACCAGCCGTCGGGGCGGGGAGAAAAACAACAAAATTAAGCAATGAAAGGTTTCCAGGTCAGGAACACCTGGGGATAAGAACAGGAGCCTGCACCCAGGTAAGCAGAGAGTGATGTCTGGTTTTGTTTAGAGAGGAGACTCTTTGAATAGGGGGGAAATACTAACGGGATTGGCAGAAGAATGGGGATTACTTGGGAGCATTAGAGACTGGATGGATTAATTCAGACCCAGGCATTCACTCTCTGTGACAATCATCTACAAATGGAAACAGCTGGATTGTGGCTCTACTGCTATTGCTTAAACATTGCTTATATTCTTGGGTCTTTCTTGAGGATAACTGAAAGAGCCGCAAGGTGCCATAGAAATGACCTAGGACCATCCTTTTATTTGACAGATGTGATGCCTTGAATCCTGCCCAGGAGAGACTCTGCTTTCACTAGGGTCATCCGAGGCAGGCAGGCAGGCAGGCAGGCGGGCAGGCAGGCAGGTATGTCTAGGCGCTCTAGGTAGAAGGCTCTGTTCCGAAGACTGTGACCTTAGGACAGGCACAAGGCTGCAGGGGATGGTAGCAATGGCCCAGAGCCTACTTTCCTTGGGACACACACACACACACACACACACACAGTATTAAAAGAATTTGTTCAAGTTGATTGATGAAGAATCAAATAAAAATAAAAAAGAACTTGTACATGAAAATGGGTAGTGGGGTCTGGGAGCGGTGGCTTAGGCCTGAAATCCCAGCACTTTGGGAGGCTGAAGCGGGCAGATCACCTGAGCTCAGAAGTTTGAGACCAGCCTGGCCAAAACAGCGAAACCCCATCTCTACCAAAAATACAAAAATTAGCTGGGTGTGGTGGCTAACGCCTGTAATCCCAGCTATACAGGAGGCTGAGACACGAGAATCACTTGAACCTGGGAGGTGGAGGTTGCAGTGAGCCAAGACCGTGCCACTGCACTCCAGCCTGGGTGACAGAGTGAGACCCTGTCTCAAAAAACAACAACAACAACAACAAGGTAGTGGGTAAAAAACAAGTTTGATAAACCTAGTTTTCCCTCTTTCTAATAATACCAGTTTATTTCTATAACATGCTAACAGAGAGGAGTTTGTTTGCTGGAGAAAGCGCATAATGAGCTTTTTCTGTGTGTGTGTGTGTGTGTGTGTGTGTGTGTTTTGAGACAGTGTCTAGCTCTGTCACCCAGGCTGTAGTGCAGTGGCCTGATCATAGCTCACTGCAGCCATGAACTCTGGGGCTCAAGTGATCCTCCCACCTCAGCCTCCCAGTACCTGGGACTACAGGCGCGCACCACCATGCCCAGCTAATTTTTGTATTTTTTGTAGAGATGGAGTCTCCCTATGTTGCCCAGGCTGGCCTCAAAGTCCTGGGCTCAAGTGATCCGCCCGCCTCGGCCTCCCAAAGTGCTGGGATTACAGGCTACAGCCACCGTACCCAGCCATGAGCTTTTGGTTCTAACCTGCAACCCCGGGAGAAGGGGAAATTTAGCAGAAGACATGGGAACACAAACCACAATGCCACTTTCTTGTTTGGTAAAATTGTATGCAGAATGGATAATAACAAACATCCGCCTCTCAACTTTATCCCTCCCTCTCATCTCGTTTTCCTTGTCCGTATATGGCACTTCTGCGATTCTGGCAACTTTGTTATGGGTCAGTGGAGCACACCCGTTGCACAGAACACACCTAAGGGCTTTGTCTCTTTGAGAAGTCCCTCCCTTGAACTTGCACGATCGAAAGCTCTTAACTGAAAAAAACTGGTATTGCACGCCTGTGTGCAAGGAGCTTGGTGTGGACACAGCCCACGGTTTCATGCAAACCACTCTTCAGTCACTCAGGAGCCCAGAGCCTCGCAGAGACAGGGGTCAAGACAGAGGGCGACCGCGCGCTGGGTCCCGGGGCCAGCTCTGCTCTCCCTTCCCGGGCTCGGGGCCAGACCCTCCCACCCACCGACCACAGGAAGGGTGAAGACCCCAACCCGCGGGATCCGGGCCCCGCGCGCCCGAGGCAGGCGTGCGGGCGACGTAGCAGCGCACCCCGCCCCGCCCCAGCGTACGTGGCGGGGGCGCGCACGCACGCAGGCGCGGGGGCGCGCAGGGCCGGGCCGGCACGGCGGCGGGCGCGCGCGCGGCTCGGAGAGGCGGCGGCAGCGGCGGAAGCGGCGAGGGCGGCGGGCGTCCGGCTCTGAGGTGGTGGAGGCGGCGGAGGCGGCGGCGGAGGCGGCGGCGGCTCGGGACTGGGCTCGGCTGGAAGCAGCGAGGGTCAGAGCGCCGCAGCAAGCGCCGATCTCCCGGCTCGACCATCCGCCTGCCGCCCGGACGCCTGGGCCGCGGAGTTTGTGTCCCGGCTCGGACCCCGGCGCCCAGCCCGGAGCCGTAACCTTGAGGCGGCGGCGGCGGGGCCGGGCCGGGCCGGGCTGGGGGGCGGTGGCGCTGGATCCGCGGCTGCCCGATCGTTGGCGGGAGATGTCGAACCCCGGGACACGCAGGAACGGCTCCAGCATCAAGATCCGTCTGACAGGTACGGCCGGCGGGAGGCCCACCCGCGCCCCGGCGCCCCCTCGCCCGCCCCGGAATTCCCCGCAGGGCGCCCTTGGAAGCGGCCCTCCCCCACGCCGGCCGTTGTCCCAGGACCTCGTCACCCCCTTCGGCGTGCGCCCCTCGCTTCTCCCTCCTGGCCCCGCCCCCTCGCCGTTGCCCGGCCCCGCCCCCTGGCCGCTCGCGCCCCCTCGGTCTCGCGTTCCCTCCCGTTCCCCCGCACCTGCCCCCTCGCATCTCCGTCCTGGCCCCGCCCCTCTCATTTCCATTCATGGCCACGCCCCTTGCATCTCCTTCCCTGGCCCCGCCCCTCGCTTCTCTTTTCCTGGCCCCGCCCCTTGCATCTCCTTCCAGGCCCTTTCCCCTCACCTCTCCCCGGCTCGGCCCCTTGCCTCTCGCTTCCCTTCCTCTCCCTAGCACCTGACCCCTCGCTTCTCCCCCCAGGCCCCGCCCCCTTGCCTTTCACCTCCATCCCTGTGGTCCTTTCTCTTCCCCACCTTTCCTCCCCAAACCTGACCCCGCCCATCTCTCTGGCCCCACCCCCTCGCTCCTCTCTGCTCCCGCCTCCTAACTTTCTGTCCCCGCCCCCTCGCTTCTCCCTGCGTCCAGCTCCCTCGCTTCTCTCTGGTCCCGCCTCCTCACTTCTTTCCTAGCCTGGGCCCTCACTTCTTCCTGGTCCCGCCTCCTCACTTCTTTCCTAGCATCGGCCCTCACTTCTTCCTGGTCCCGCCCCCTTGCTTCTCTCCTTTTTTTCTCCTCCGCCGTTTTTACCCCCTCCCTCCTTCTCCTCGCTTCCCATCCTCTCCGCCCACCTGCCCCCTCGCTTTTCCCTCCTGGCCTTGCCTCTGTTCCCCTGGTCCCATCCCTCACTTCTCACCACTTTCCCATCATCTCTCTTGCTTTCCTGTTTTCCCTCCCACCTGCTCCCTCCCCTCATCCTCCTGGTCTTTCCCACCACTTCCAAGCTATTTTGCTACCTCCCCTTCCACTTGCCCCCTTGCTTCTCCCCTCCTGCCCCCACCCACCCTCTTCTCACTCCCCCATCCTCTTTCGTTTCTCCCTCACCCCCCCACACCGTCCTCCTCCCTTCTTCCCCTAGCCCCGCCCCTCACTTTCAAGCCCCGCCCTCATTCCTGCCTAGCCCCGCCCCCTCGCTGCTGTCTGGCGAGGCCTCCACCCTTTCTTTCCTTCAGCCTGAAATTCCTCAATCCTATCTTGTAGCTGCTCCCAGTCCTGCTCTCTTCACTTCCCCCTGGTCCAGCCCTCTTCAGTCTCAGTCTGGGCCACTTCCTGTCTCTTAGGCCAGACCGCTAGCTACTTTTAACTCTGCTTCTTCAATTTTTACCTTTTCTGCATTTTGTTTCACCATCACCCCCACACTCAGCAACCCAGAGCGCCGTGAGGCTCTGATCCCTACTCCCACACTCACTGGAGGCTTTGGAAGCTGCCCACACGCAGGCTCCTTGATTCATTTTGTCTTCAATGAAAAGTCCGTGTTTCCTGGGTGGCTCTGTAGTGCCACCTTCAAGGGTGAGCGCAACGCTCTGCCGCGGGCCTGCGACTTGGTGGCGCGGATGTGATGCCAACCTGTTTCCCCCCGGGCTCCAGAGGTTCTGGACCAGGCTGCATCCTCGTCTTCCCTTTCTCACTCTCATTGGTACTACTCTCTTTCCAGTTTCAATTCATCCCTAAAGCAGGATGGCCGTGTTGCAAATGCGGCTCTGCTCCGGGACTTTCCAAACTCGAATATTTCCAGCTCTGGAAGGAAACTAAAAAGTTCATTCTAATCCCCGTCAGGGATTTTCCCCTGGATTTTTCTGTTCAGTGGCTCAGTCGGGTGAGAACTCCAAAGTCCTGGTTTGGTCAGGTCCTTTCAAAGAGAGAATGAGCGTTTTGAACACTTTATGGCAGATGCGCAGCCATAAAGTCATCGGTAAAATCCATGCAAACAATAGGTAATTTTTTTAAACTAAAATTTACTTTGAGAGCCCATAGTTGTTGCATGGCCCAACTTTTGTCTTAAGAGAAGGTTTTGTTTTTTTGTATAAAGATATCAAATAATGATTTGGACCCAAACCCAGACCCTGGTTTTGTAACGTAGGAGGTAGTTTCCTCTGGGATCTTTGCTTCTGGGGAAATACATTTCTTTATGCCAGGGCTGATAGGAAACGCTTCTCACTTTGTAGATACAATGTAGATACATTTTTATTTATGTGGTAAGATAAAAGTAACATTTTTGAGATTGTAATACTTGTAAAGCTTTTAACTTGGTTCTGATTTACAGCTCAGTCTGTAATTGACATCAGATTGGTTTCAGTTATCTTGTTAAAAGCGAAAGCAACTGATTTTGTGTTAGAAATATGATGAATGTTTTAGAAGGAATAGGTTTTAATTGAAATGTTTATGTCTGGTGTATGTATATTAATCAATCCTATTTGCCAAGCCTGAGCCTTGAAAGGGAGGACTTGGTTTCTCCTCCTACCAAATTATTTTTGGATTTAGGAATTTAGATTATCGAAGCAAGAATGCTTTGAGGAATTTTTGGATGACATTTGATAGGGAAGGATCAGGTGATGAGTGTTGTTTCTGAAACACCTTTTCCCTTTCCCTTTCCCTTTCAGTAGATGTTATGAATGGTTTGAGAGGATTTGTGAGTGTGATCATCCTTACAATAGGATTGCGGTTTAGCGGTAATGGTACACATGCAATGCCAGTACGTGGAACCTTAGTTTACCTCGAAAGGTTTGAACTAGAAGTTTGTTGACGGTGGAATAGGTTTTAGTCTCATCTTTCTGGTTAAGGGAAGTTTGAATTCTCACTTCTGGGATGTTGAGAAGCAATCTTTCAAAATTTGAATACTTTTGTTACAGGTTTCAGAGTTTATTTCCATGTTTGTTATTTGGAAAAAAAAAAAAGACTGTTAAAAATGAGGGATATTTCAACCAGTCAATGAATAGACACAGAGCGAAATTCAGTGCAAAGATAGTGAAGATGGCCTGGCGCCGTGGCTCACGCCTGAATCCCAGCACTTTGGGAGGCTGAGGCAGATCACGAGGTCAGGAGGTTGAGACCATCCTGGCTAACACGGTGAAACCCCGTCTCTACTAGAAATACAAAAAATTAGCTGGGCGCGGTGGCTCACACCTGTAATCTCAGCACTTTGGGAGGCTGAGGTGGGGCGGATCACGAGGTCAGGAGATTGAGACCATCCTGACTAACACAGTGAAACCTCGTCTCTAGTAGAAATACAAAAAATTAGCTGGGTGTGGTGGCGGGCGCCTGTAGTCCCAGCTACTGGGTAGGCTGAGGCAGGAGAATGGCTTGAACCTGGGAGGTGGAGCTTGCAGTGAACCGAGATTGTGCCACTGCACTTCAGCCTGGGCAACAGAGTGAGACTCTGTCTCAAAAAAAAAAAAAAAAAAAAAAAGGATACTGAAGATACTACATTTAGAACTTTGGGGTCCACGATTCTATTTGGGGGTGAATAGGGCATTAGATTTACAGTTAGGAGACCTAGATTCTAGACAGATTTCTCATTAACTACATGTTACGGAACAAGTTATTTAACCTTTTTGGGTCTCAGTTTCTTTATATATCAAATGAGATTTCAGCTCCATTATAATACTCTTTGATCCTCCTTCTCACAGGATATATCAATTTAGCTACCTACTTATTTCAAATTACTGTTGGGCACTTGGGCTTAGTGGTATTCTTAATCCTGATATTCAGAAAATTGTGTTGGAGTGTAGCACATGTGTTTGATTTATGCCAAGCATTAATTTTGTGTATTGATTACATTTATGACTTTATTTCTTCATGTGGGATTGTTTTTGAAAACTGTTGGGTAATATGTTGAACTGCTTTGGCAACCTGGTCTAAACAGTAGAAGAATATTTGAGCCTTTGTATTTAAAATAATAACATTTTAACGAATGTTTTTGTGGTATTTTAGTAGGAAAATAGTTTTTAAATGGTTTCAGTAGGTTTAGGGGCATAATATATCCAGAATCAAGTGATCTTTTGTTAAAGAGCATTATCTTGTAGTCATTGGAGTTCACTGGCAAATCAAACACTTTAGAAACATTTTGATTGAAAAATCAAGCAGGATTTGCAAAAACTTTGTTCTTATCTGGTACACAAATGAATCCCAGACACATTGTTTAGGCCACTTTGGGTAAAAGAATGGAATTCAGGGTTCTACAATGCTCTTCAAGAAAATTAAATTTTATTGTAATGTCAACCAATTAGTTGAAATACAAGTGCCTAAACTTTTTTGTGCTTTTATGCATTGAAATACTCTCAGATATCCTGGTGTTTTTATATCTTTTGGAGCATGACTGCATATTGTGAAGTAAGAAAAACTCTAATTCCAAACAGAGAGGAACAAAGAGACTTTCCTTGATAGCATGTGGAAATATGAGGTTGTTTTTAAAATTGTAGCTTGTGGGATGTAAGGGTGACTTGTGTTTTGGCATTCAGATGGTGCAACTGTGAGTGAAATAGTTGTGGTAATAGCTGTTGATGATGTTGGTTGATGAATTACAGGTGTCTCAATTGATTCAAAATAGTTAAGTCTCTCAAGAAAGATTAAGAAAATTGTTAAGACTGTTGACTTTGTCAATTTGTACCAGCTAAGAACCTCACTTATGTGAGGCAGGCAAAACTTTTGTTTCAAAAACCATATAACACAGTTGCTGTGATAAGATGGAATAAGTGGTCAGTTTTTAGCTCCCTTTGCATTTACATTTTCCTTAGGGTCTGCCTCAAGTTTAGGAAGATACAGTTAAGGCAGTTCTTTGAGATGAATTATTGGAAGGTGTAGGATGGGTTAGAACAAATGCTGTTGCAAAACTTGAATTGCAATTATACTTTAAGAAGAATCACATTCTGCCAAATAGAGGTTTTTGTCATTGATTTTGTGATTTGATCACATTTGTGTTGCCTTTTAGAACAACTTTCTTTTTTCAAATCCATTTTTTTTTCCTTTTAATCTTCTTGGCCCACCCAACTGACTTTAGACATGAAATCTTTCATATGCTTTATTTCTATCTCCATTTTTACAGTAGTTGTGATTTATCAAACTAGGATTTTTAACTTCAAGTCCATCTGTCAGAGTTTAAAACCTCTAGTCTTGCAGTTACAAAAGTCCTTTCTGAATGTTGGGTTTTTCTTTCTCTTCCACACATTTTCATTTTCTCGGTTCAGTCACAATGTCAGGTTCTAGTGTGGAAAATTGGGTGAAAGAAAGGTTTTGGAGGCTGTGTTATTTATGAAATATTTCCTCATGGATTAAGAAAGAAAAAAAGACAAAACGACAAATAGTGTTTCAATATCACCTCAGTGATCCAGTTAACTAGACTGGCTGTTTTGTACAACATCGTGGGCACTGGTTAACAGTTAAAATAGCTGAATTGTGCGTTTTATTCAGTGGTTCAAAAAAGCCTCAAATGGATGAAATAACTTGATATCTTCGCCATGCTCTGATTTGCTGGGTAAGACAGCTAACTTTTAGGATGCTTATTTGGATCAATTTTTTATAATTTCAAAACCATTTTAGAGGCTAATTTTTTTTTAAACAAGGAATATACAATTTTTTTTTTTTGTCACTGAACAAGTTTTAAATTACTGGTTTGTTATTTTGTAAGTGAATTTGTAAGTGAAAGCCTCCAACTTAAATTAGCTTCTTGTCCAGGGAACTCATTCTGACTGACTAAAGTCCCTAAGGCCTTTCTAGTTAAAGGAAAGCCATGGAGCTATGTTTAAAAAACAAAAGCACATAGCTATGGGGCTTGGGCATATCTTCTTTTTAAAATGTCACTATTACTGTTTTGTCTCCAGATGCAATTTAATCCATTTAGATATTTAAACCAAGTGGAATGTTGTTTCCACATTTCTGGACTAATGGGGGAAAAAACACCCTCATATTGTTTTAAAACAAGGCTTAAATAATGTATAATCAGCGCGTCTGGTGACGCGCCCCACTCTGTAATTCCAGCTGTGTTCACCTCCACTGCAGCTGAAAGGAATTCTAATTGGCTGAGGAATGTCGGCAACATCGTTTATCACTGAGCAGGAACCTATCCTCCTGGCTGCTGGGTGATGCATTTCAGATGTTTTAAGCTCCGGAGCCCAACTTGCAGCTTGCTTTCAGGAGTCTGGAGGAGCATGTCACGAAGCTGCAGATTGTAGATGGCAGCCTGCGTTCTTTGTATGTTGGGCATCCGCTGAGTTCTCTAAAGGGCATGATGCTTTCCTGTGGTTCCAACACTGGACTGGGGATCAGAAGGTCTGAATTTGATTTCTAATTCACACAAGTACCACAATGAAGAAAGGGGAGGGGGTGCATAGGATTATGATCTTTTCATGATTCAGTTTTCCTATCTTTAATGCCAGAGATCTGTCTTTTTAGAGCACAAAAGGACCTGCTAGAGATGGATTAAATATTTTAATGAGTAGTTATGAATTATTTATAGAGTAGCACAGTATTAATACAGTCATAGATTCCTGTTATGTCTTATTCCTAAATAGCCAGGTAAATAATAAAGCTAATAACGTACTTTGACATTGAAGAAAATCTATAGAACCGGTTAATAAACATGGAAAAATAATACAATGAATTGATAAATTATGTATTCAGAAATTCCTTAGAGAAATAGTGTTAGAAGCCAAAACCAGTATTATCTTTATTTTTATTTTATGTTTTTCCCAGGCCAGGTAATGTGCCATCGGACAGTATCATGTTTATTTTTTGTTTTGTTTGGAGATGGGGTCTCACTCTGTTACCCAGACTGGGGTGCAGTGGCACCATAACAGCTCACTGCAGCCTCGACTTCTTGGGCTCCAGTGATCCTCCCACCTCAGCCTCCCGAGTAGCTGAGACCACAGGCATGTGCCACCACGGCTGGCTAATCATTGTAGTTTTGGTAGAGATGGGGTTTCGCCCTGTTGCCCGGCTGGTCTTGAATTCCTGAGCTCAAGCAATCCACCTGCCTCAGCCTCCCAAAGTACGTGGATTACAGGCATGAGCCACTGCACCTAGCCAGCATCATCTTTAAATGATGAAATTGTGGAAACATTCCCATTAAAATCAGGAACAATGCAGGGATGTACACTGTCAAAATAGTTATTATTAATAACTAGAGAAAGACATCAGAAAGCAGGAAACAAAATTGCTGTTATTTATAGACGTTATGATATATCTTTAAAAGCCCAAAAGATCAGCTGAAAAACACTTATAAACAATAAAAAACTTTAGCTGGATGGAAAATTTCTCCATGGCAAAAAATAGGATAAAATCAACATGCAAAGACAAACTAGGAACAACAATCTGTAATGGATACGAAAATGAAAGTCTGGTTTTCCTAATATATAAAGAGCCTTCAAAATCAATTAGGAAAAGGCCAGTACCTAATAGGCAAAGAATATGGACAATTCACAGAAAAGAAAATGGAAATGGATTTGAAACATGTGAAAAGACAACCCTATTTTCTCTCTTCTTCTTTCCTTTTCTTCTTTAGAGATGGGGTCTTGCTCTGTCGCCCAGGCTAGGCTAGAGTACACTGGCGTGATCATAGCTCACTGCAGCCTGGAACTCCTGGGCTCAAGCGATCATCAGCTTCCTGAGTAGCTGGGACTGCAAGTATATGCCGCTGTGCCCTGTTCTCTCTTATGCCCATTTTCTTTCTCTAAAAATTTATTTTTAATTGATAATCAGCCCTATTCATACTAAACAAACTACAAATTAAAAGTAAGAATGAAACAATTTTTCATCTAGAAGAGTGGCAGATCAAAGAGATTGAAAATCTTCTGTGATGAGACAAGAGTGTGGAAAAACAGGTCTTTTACTCTAGTGGTTGAGAATATAAATTGATAGAGTAGGTACCAAGAGCAGTTTGGCACTGTCTATCAGATCATAAATGTTTATGCTCTTTGATCTAGCAATTCTGCATGTAGGACTTTTTTCTTATGGGTGTTTTCACACATTTATGTAAAGTCCGGTGTGTAAAATCATTGCAGCATTGTTTGAAATTATAAAAGACTGAAATCAATGTGAATGTGTATCAGCAGGGACTAGTTAAGTAAATTATCGTGTATTCCCAATGATGTGTAGCTGTAACATAATAAGATAGTGTTTTATATTCTGATATGGAACATTCTCCAAGATATATTATTGAGTGGGGGGAAAAAGCATGATTCAAAACAGAGGCTAGTGTGTGTACTATTTGAATAATAAAACAAGAAATAAAAATAAAGGGGGAAATCTATAGATAGGTCTGTATAGAATACGACTGAAAGATTTTGACTGTTGATTTCCTTTGAAGAGATTCTCCTGTTCTCCTCTTCAGAGGAAAGAGAGAGGAGAGAGGGAGAGAGGAGAGAAAAGAGAGAAGAGAGGGTGACTTTTCATTATATGCCTTTTGTAATATTTAATCTCCTCCCTTTTCTCACCCCCTTGAGCATGTATTGCTTTTCAACAATTAAAAAGATTAAAAAGCTCTTAAATAGATAAGAATTTCTTAGAGCAACTAGTAAGTACACTAACTGCCAATTGTTTTGAAATGTAGACATTCTGAAAAATCAAAATGATTGTGCCGAATGTATTTTAAAAGGCTAAAATATTATAGCATTTCAAAGTACATACTCATATTTATAAGGACTTCCTCACTAGGAAGATTCCTGGGTTCTACAGAATAAAATTCTTGGCTACTTGTCTTATAGCTCTGAACAGACTTATTTTCCCAGAGAGTATGTTTATTATGTAATAGCGAGTTGCCTGACCCCCCAAAAAGCTTGTTCTATCATATTAAAATAAGGCAAAATGATTACTTTCAGATTAAGAAATTTGGACTCTAGATCTTGTTTATATAGTGAGTTCTTTAAAAAACTGAGGTCTTGGTTCTGAATAATAGTGGTTTACATAATTTATTTAGAATGTCATTTGGGGTTATCTCTGACCTATTTTTATAAAATAATCTCATCTTTAAAATAGGAGTAAAATGCTCATTTGCATAAGCCAGTAATAATAATTTAGTATTTTTCCAAGTATTTATAGTCAATGTGTTTGCCATGAACTTTTTTAAGGGATTGTTTTTAATTTTAGAAGTGCTTTAAAAAGCAATATTGGCATCTGGCTCTGTAGAAGTAGAAAACATGGTAACTTCAATGTGATATATTTGCTTTTTTCCCCTCTTAGGTCTTTGGGGTAAAAAAAATCCAAAGTTTACTCAATTTTATTTCTACATATATTACCTACAAATTATAGAGGTGAGACCTGCTTGCTGCCTGTTCATACCTGTCAGTGATACTAATACCTCCCGTCTGTACAGTGTTTCATAGTTTCCAAAGGGTTCTCGCGTGGTTCCTCACTTGAGCCTGGTGAGGAAATACCTGTAAACATGGGTAGAAGTTTTAGTCCCTTGTAAAACTCTGGTATAATATCAAAACCAGGAAATTGTTCACAGATTCTAAGGATTGGGGAAAAGAGAAAAATAAACAAATTGCTCAGGAGTAGAATTTGCAAAAAAAAACGAAACAAAACCAAAAAACTCTGGAAATAAGGCACGTTTAGCCTTACAGAGCGAGACCCTGTCTCAAAAAAAAAAAAAAAAAAAAGTGGGTGGAGAAGCACTTTTCCTGATCTAGATCAAGAAATAGAATATTGCTGGTGCTTGGAATGTCCCTACAATCCTGAAAATAGCTCATTCTCACTTTCTACCTCCCTCAGCCGCACCCCCCTGGCAAAGATAACCACAGTCCTGACTTGTAACAGCCTGTTTTTGAACTTTGTATTAATGGAATCTTACTGCATGCAACTGGTTTCTTTTGTTCAATGTTATTTTTGTGAGATTTATCCGTATTGTTATGTGTGGTTGTACGTCAGTCATTCTCTTTGCTGTTCAATATCCCATTATGGGCATATACCATAATTTATCCCTTTATCTGTTGATGGGCAGAGTCCTTTCTAGTTTTGGCTTTTAAGACTAGTGCTGTTTGGAATTTTCAGGTATATGTCTTTTGGTGAGTATTTGCATACACTTCTGTTGGGTGTATACTCAGGAGTAGAGTCACTGGACTGTGGAATAGGCATATGTTCAACTGTAATGAAACTTGCCAAATGCTTTTCCGAAGTGGTTATACCAATTTACATTTTCCACCAGTGGCGTATGAGAGTTCCAGGTGCTCCTTTGCCAATCTGCGTGTTTTCTTTTTCATTTTAACCCTTTCCTTGAGTGTGGATTGGTGTCACATATTGTGGTTCTACTTTCTTTTTTCTCTAATCTATACCTTAAATGGCAGCCTTAGAGACCTTTTTTTTTTCTTTTTTAATTTTGAAGTAATGATAGATTCACAGGAGATGGGAGAGAAATGTACCGGGAGGTCCTGTGTACCCTTCACTCAGCCTCCCCCAATTTTAGTGTTTTGTATAACTGTGGCATGTCAAAACCAGGAACTTGTTCATGGGTTCTAACGATAGGGAAAAAGTAAGGGCAAAATAATGCAAGCAAAAAGACCCGGGAAACTAACTGTTTACATTGGTGCAATCCAGAGCTTAGTCAGATTTCACTAGCTCCGCGTGCACTGCGTGTGGGTGGGGTGTGTGTGTGTGTAGCAGTCTATGCAGTTTGATCCCATGTACAAATTCATATCACCACCATTGCAATCAAGATGACCAGCTGCACCACCACCCCAGCCTCCTTGGAGCTATCCCTTTCTAGCCGCATCCACCCATCCCCAGTCCCTGGGACCCTGGCAACCACTAAACTGTCACCCCCAAATCTTTTAAGAGCATAAATCAGATCATGTCATTTCCTTCCTTAAAGCCCTCCAGCAGCTCCCTACTCAGAATAAAATCAAACTCCCTCTGTGATCCTGCCATATTCCTCTCTGGCAGCCTCTGTGCCAGGTTCTGCCTTATTCTCCACCCCAGTCCTCAAATGTGGCGAGTTTAATCCTGCTTAAGGGCTTTTGCATGAATTATTCCTCTGTGTGTGTGTGTGTGTGTGTGTGTGTCCGTGTGTCTGTGTGATGTTATAATACTCTTCCTCTTGACTTCTCAATGGCTTCTTCCTGTCATTCAGGCCTTCAGCCTAAATAAATATCATCACCTCAGGGATACCCTCCCTGACCATCCCTTCATAGTCCCTCCCTCACTCACGATCAGGCAGCCTATTCTGCTGTCTTCATAGCACTCACCACTTCATGGTATTTTTGTTTGGTTATTCTCCCATCATCCATCTACCAATGTCCAATCAATTTTTATTTTCTGTCTCTGCTCTTGGTAGTCAAGTTCCGTGAAGCTAGGGTCCTTGCTGTCTGTTTACTTCTGTATCCCCTTCAACACTGCTTGGCACCTGCTGGTGCTCACAAATACCTGGTGAATGAGAGAATTAATGCCCTCCTTGTTTATTGGGTCTCCTGGTCGCCTCTGAGTTGGGCGTCGGAGGACACCTCTCCTGGAGGCAGCATTGCGTTCATAGCCACTTCTTGTTGATATGAGCAGGGATTAGAGATCAAGCAATTACAGGTTGTTGTCAGCCAGGCTTGGGGTTTCTTTGACTATGTGATACCCTAAAAGGCAAGTCTACTCTATCTTGGGCTTCTGGGCCATTCCAGGGGCTTGAACCAAAGCCCGAAATTTTAATTCTGGAATTTGGCCCAGCTTTGTAGCTTTTGGTTTCCAGGTCTTTTCCTTAGCCTCTCCCTCAGGGCTGGCGGGGATAACTGGTTGGGCTGGAGAGACATCATTCATTTGCCCCTTGCCCAAGCTTTGCGGTTGCATCTTGAATAACGTTTCCCATTTTCAGGCTGTGAATACTGGACCTGAGTGCTTGGGAGAGACCTGGGGAAGCCTTCTTTTGCTCACCCTACCCCACAGCCTTATCTCCTGCTAAGTCTTCCCTCCCTTTCTTTCTTCATCCTATCTCTTGGTTCCCCTAGATTGCATTTTGTAGCAGAAAGGGCCTCTTTTCCTCCCTCTTCACTGCATTTTCTTTGAGACAGGATCTTGTTCTGTCGCCCAGGCTGGAGTACAATGGCACAGTCATAGCCCACTGCAGCCTCAAACTCCTGGGCTCAAGTCATCCCCACCTCAGCATGAGCCACCATGCCCAGCTAATTTTTAAACTTTTTGTAGAGACAGGGTCTCACTATATTGCCCAGGCTTGTCCAGAACTCCTGGCTTCAAGCGATCCTCCCATCTTGGTCTCCCAAAGTACTAGGATTACAGGCAAGAACCACCCACCTACCCATTTCCTTGATTCTTTCCTACCAAGTCCCTTAGTGTTCCTTGTAGTCTTGGTGGTTGCATCAGACCACAGTCTGATTGTTTCTTTCCCTGATAATAAAGATAGTTAAATTCTCAGGCCGGGTGAGGAGGGTATTCATTGATTTTTCACCCTGCCTCCTTTCTTCAGCTAATTTCCACATTTTTAATTCTGTCTTTTATGTACAATATCGCACTTCCTAATGTTGTTGTTGTTTAAAAGCAGGATACCTTCAGATGTAAGTAGCAGAAAACCTAGGTTAAATTAGCTCAATAGAGAGAATTTTAGTGACTTCACTGAAAAGCCCAAGTCATTCCAATGGCAAAGCAAGGACCTGGTTTCTCTCTATATCTCAGTGTTTTGACCTCAGCACTATTCATGACCATCTCTTCCCCTTGTGCTCAAAAGCTCCATGGCTGTTTGCTTGCAGCTTTAAATCCAGCAGAAAAGTTAAAAGTCTGCTTCTTCAACAGCTCAGTCCTGGGGTAGAAGGCCTGGAGTTGAATCCTCTTGTCTCATTGGCCTAATTTGGGTCAAGTGTTCATTGCTGAACCAACCGCTGTGGCTGGGATGATGGGATGTGCTCGTTGGACAATTAGGTTCCATCTTTGAATCTAATCAGGGGGTTAGTCCCACCCACAATACAGACTTGGGTTGTTTGGGGGAACAGGAATATGGATGCCAGGTGGGCAATCAATAAATAACTAGATGATACCGATTGTTTTCTTTTAAAATTTATAATGTTAGCTTCATTATGCTGAGTAAAAGGAAGGTACAGCTACCATTTAATGCACTTCTGAAAAAGAAGTATACCTTCTTTGTGGTAGTATGAAGCAAAAGATTTGGTAAAAGTGCCAAGAATTTTTGACCAAGGGTTAGGAGTGGTACCTTTATATGTGAACTTAGCCCCATAAATTTTGTTGTCAATTTGTATTGCAGAATGTTCCTGGATTGTTGTATAATGTTATTTGGGACTTTTTGTTTTTCTTTTTGGAGACGGAGTTTCACTTTTGTCACCCAGGCTGGAGTGCAGTGGTGTGATCTTAGCTCACTGCAATCTCTGCCTTCTGGGTTCAAGTGATTCTCCTGCCTCAGCCTCCCAAGTAGCTGGAACTACAGGCATGTGCCACTGCGCCTGGCTAATTTTTTGTATTTTTAGTAGAGATAGGTTTCACCATGTTGGCCAGGCTGGCCTTGAACTCTTGACCTCAGCTGATTGGCCCGCCTCAGCCTCCCAAAGTGCTGGGATTACAGGTGTGAGCCACTATGCCCAGCCTATTTGGGAGTATTTTTAAACAAAATTCAGGTACAGATTATAGGAATACATTCTTAAATTATTTCTCTAGAGATAACAGAGCAGTTTTAAGAGAGAGAAATACATGCTGATTATCTGTAAATTGAATTCAGGATGTGTAGAAAGAAAAATAATTTAGTTTTTATGCAATAATATGATTTTTATAGGATAGTTGATTATCAGCCCTACCCTATAATAAATTCTT
This sequence comes from Homo sapiens, assembly GCF_000001405.40. NCBI lineage: Eukaryota > Metazoa > Chordata > Mammalia > Primates > Hominidae > Homo > Homo sapiens. Next base: position 99,129,947 of record NC_000007.14, on the reverse strand, counting down.
TGAATTAATGTCTGTTCTTGATATCTGGGGCTCTGTATTTTCACTTCTATATTCTTAAAAAGAAAAAAAGTTTTTGTAAGATGCTTCGCTGAAGTTCGAACCTGTGTTCCAGGAATGGTTGAATCCCACAGACCGCCAAGCTCTTCCGTTTGTGGAATCAGCAAGGTGGAATGATGAAGGGCTCGGCTGGAGCCAGCCTGTGCCTTTACACAAATGACATCATTTCTTAGTTTCCTTAGCTATAAAAATGGGGGAAGGCTGGGTACAGTGGCTCACACCCGTAATCCCAATATTTGGGGAGGTTGAGGTGGAAGGATCACTTGAGCCCAGGAGTTTGAGACCAGCTGGGGCAACACAGCAAGACCCTATCTATACAAAAATAGAAAAAAATTAGCTGGGCATAGTGGTGCACACCTGTAGTCCCAGCTACTTGGGAGCTGAGGTGGGAGAATTGTTTGAGCTCAAGAGGTTGAGGCTACAATGAGCTGTGATTGTGCCACTGCACTCTAGCCTGGGTGACAGGGTGAGACCATCTTAAAATAATAACATAACGTAAAAATGGGGAAATAACTGGAATCACTTCAGTGTTGTTGTGGGTAGTAAATGAAATAATCCACATGCACTGTCTGGTACATAATGTGTTCAATATGTGTTAGCTAATAGTAACATGGTCTTATTTCAATGAATCTAAGATGACCGCTTGCAAGTCATACCATTGTTTTATGTACTACGTAAAAAGAAACACAGGTAATTATATTGCAAAATGTGATTCATTTGAAGATTTCAAAACATATGAAAAAATGTGTCTTGAAATCAATGATATATGGTTTTAGGGCTGCCTCTGACTTGGAAGTCCTGGGAATTGTTTGCATACTCATAAATATACACCATCTGTCTTGGTTTAAACATAATAGAGTATGATCTAAAGTTTCTTTTCAATTTTGTTTTTGTTCTAAACTTAACATTGAATTTGGCCTCGTGTTGCAACACTAGAAATTTAATAATCACTCATTTATTCTGTAGGCTTAAATAATGGATTATATAACACCTAAGATTGGCTTGGCAACTTCGGTTATTTACTTTTCTTCAGTGATTTAGAAAAAATATGAGACATGTTTTTGGACATCGTTGCTATTGCTTGAATAAACCTGTTTGGGAGGTAAAGGCAGGTTAAATGGTAGTGCCGGTAACCTCTTAGAGTAGCACGAACTATTGGCAGAAAGCCTGCTTAGGTAAACACCTTTGATACACCCAGCACATTCAGTTTAGAAAGTACAATATTGATATTTGAAAGCAATGCGTGGTAGTTGATTTTCCACTAAAATTTAAATGTGGACAGGGTATTATAGAGCTTGAATGATAGTCACAGGCTATTTAAGGACCAACTTGTAGAGTAAAAAGTTGCTATGTAATACGCTTAGCATAAATTTAGAAGTAAAACCTGCAAGGATAGCATATAGCCTTGTGAGAATGCCATTTCCCTTAGGAGCCTGGTATTTAGAATGTTATGAATGGGATATTTATTATAAGCCTGTTTTTTTTGTAAAGGCTTGCTTTTTGATATTAATATTGAAATGAATTACGGAAGCCGTTTTGGGGACTTGACCTGTTTACTGACTGCGTCATTCATGGCTTAACCTCATCAGCCAAATGTCAGCAGGATTCTGCTTTTAAGACAACCACATGAGAACAGATGAGCCATTCGGTCATCTTGTCATAAGCCCCAGAGGCTATCTCCTGGCACATCTGGCATGTGATGTATTTAAGTATTATTTGAGGGTGTTGAGTATAATTTTGTAAAAGACTGTACCCTGGTACATTCCATATCTTAATGCATTCTGAAACAGCGATATTATTTTTTTTTGGAAACCCCAGAGGGTTTATTTACTGTATTTTGCATAGGGTTCATCTGAACAGTACAAAAAGTACCTTTTTATTTTAGAAAAGGAGTTTTGGTTTAGAAAATGGAACCTGAATTGAAATAAAAGTAAAATTATTCTCAAAAGGAGACAGTTTATCGATTTAAGTACATTTCGTATCGCCTATGTAGTAGCGTTGTTTATATTTAGAATAGACGCAAGCCAGTCCACGATCTCTCAGCAAGACTTGACAAAAGGATATGATTTTGTCACAGTTACTCCCAGTGTTTCATTTCAAGCAGTATGAGTCAAGGATTTGGTGTTTCTCATACTAGAATAAATTGGACTTTATTCAGGAAAAAAACCCAACTTGTTAATTTGAAGTGCATGTCTCAAAGCCTAAACATTATTTTAGTTAGTATTTCTAAGTAGATAATACATACATATGGTATAAAAGGGTGATTGTGAAAAATATGCCTCCTTTCCCCTCTGTCCCTTGTTAACCAGCTTGCCTCCAGAGAAAGAGCTGTTCTTTTTTTTAATTTTATTTTAAATTTTTTTTAGAGATGGGGTCTTGCTATGTTGACCAGGCTGGTTTTGAACTCCTGGCCTCAAGTGATCCTCCCATCTCGGCCTTCCAAACTGCTAGGATTACAGCCGTGAGCCACCAGGCCCGGCCGAGCTTTTCTTACCATGGTATTCTTGTGTTCTTCCAGAGATTTTTTTAAAATGCCTCTTCCTTTTCTCACTCCCTCCCTCTTTTTCTTTTAACACAGATGGGAGCATTGTGTGTGCATTGTTGTATACTTGCTTTTTGCACATACGGATCAGGGATTTCTCTGTTTCCTTACCTCCTGATCTGCCTGCGTGGCAGGAACATTCACTATGCAATGACTATCCCTGTGCTCGTCAACGTTCCCGTGTGACCTTGCAGTTAGGTGGGACCATGTAACTACTTCTGGCTAGCAAACTGTGAGAAGTGAGTTGTCCCACTTCGGGGCTGAAGCACTAGGAACCTCCAGCTCTGCCACAGAAGCTGTGTGTCATGTGGTGGAGCCTCTATCAGCCTAGATCCCTGAGTGATTACGTGAAGCCGAAGCTGGCCCTTCCCCCCGGCCCCTGCTCAGACCCAACCTATGCTGAACACGTAGTTGAGCAAGAAATAAACTTCTGTTATGTTAATTTGTTTCTACATCACACAGCTCCTCTTGATATAGCTGATTTCTTTTTAATAGCTGTGAAATTCATAACACTTTGAATGAACCCAGTTCAGATGATCAAATGCTTAAGAACAAAAAAGCATCTAATTAAAGAATAATAACTTTAAATATACAAATATCAGATCAATGCATCTTATCCCAATGTGTTGCCACGCAAATATCTGTATACATAATTTCTAATTAAACTTTTTAATTTTTTTAAATTTATTTTTCTGAGATGGCGTCTCGCTCTGTCGCCCAGGCTGGAGTGCAATGGCGCAATCTCAGCTCACTGCAACCTCCATCTCCTGGGTTCAAGCAATTCTCCTGCCTCAACCTCCGAGTAGCTGGGACTACAGGCACATGCCACCACGCCCGGCTGATCTTTACATTTTTAATAGAGACAGGGTTTCACCATGTTGGCCAGGCTGGTCTCGAACATCTGACCTCGTGATCCGCCTGCCTCAGCCAACCAAAGTGCTGGGATTACAGGCGTGAACCACTGCACCCAGCCCAGCCCATAATTAAAAAAAAAAAAAAAGGAATATATGCTTATTGAAAAGTATAAAGAAGAAATAAGTACTTTATTATTTGAAATGAGGCTTGATTCTTTAATATTAAGGCTTATAATTTTTGCATTAGAATTTGATATTAATTTTCTCGTCATTCTAAAGGAAGATAAATACCAACGCCATACATGCTCGCTGTTCTCATTGAATACTACAGTCAATAGAGAGGAGTATTGAAAAAGACTGTCTCTACCAGAAACTTAACAGCCATAGGGAAATGGTACATTCGCTAGAAACAGTTAAGTAACAATACAAAGCGCCCCTGAGTCTAGTTGCTGGGGAGGCCAAATGTGAACTGGCTCTAGAAAGATCTGGGTGGGCTGAGAGACCATGTGGTAATAGCATAAGCGAAGACAGAGTGGACATGAGTCTGGCTGCTTTGCAGGTCAGACGGACAGAAGAGGTGCCAGGCAGGTAGAGGGAAGAGAGGACACTTGGCTTCTGTAGAAGTCGTGAGTTGTCGGGGAGATTGGATCAGGAAATGAGATGATAAATTGTAATTTTATAGGCCTGCTGGGTAGAAAGTAGGGACTTTTCCTTTCATGCCCTGAGGATAGCATGGGATCCAGGGACTGGAGTAGCATGGTAACTAAGGGCCAGGTGCTGGAGGCAAGTGGCCTGGGTTCCAGTCCTGGCTTTGCCACCTTCTAGCCGTGGAAAGTGCCAGCAGGGTGCACGGGTAAGTGTATAGGTAATGTGAGCTGTGATGATGACTGCTGTTGTGCTACTTGGGAAGGAACCTGGTGACACAGAGCGACACCTAATGAGGGAATAGATTAGGCCCCATTCACAAAGTGTGTTACTGTGTTTACACAAATGCTGGATGATAGTCTTTCTAGGATGTTTCATAAGCACTCCTTTATTGGGCCCAAAGTTTAGACTAAGTGCTTTACAAAGGTTCTTTAAAACAAAAACAAAAACAGAAACATTTATTGGCTGGGCACAGTGGCTCATGCCTGTAATCCCAGCACTGTGGGAGGCCAAGGTGGGAGGATGGCTTGAACCCAGGAGCTCAAGACCAGCTGGGGCAACATAGTGAGAACCTCCCATCTTTTAAAAAAACAAAAACAAAAAATTAGCCAGGCATGGTGGTGCATGCTTGTAGTTCCAGCTACTTGGGAGGCTGAGGCAGGAGGATCTCTTGAACCCAGGAGTTTGAGGCTGCAGTGAGCCATGATGGTGCTTCTGAACTCCAGCCTGGACAACAGAGTAAGACCCTGTCTCGAATGAATGAATGAATGAATGAATGAATGAATGAATGAAAATTTTTATTGAATAACTACTATGCTCTAGGTTGTCTGGCAAGTGGAGTACTGGATATAATAAACAGGGTAGAGACCAGAGGAAGTAAATACTGTTTATCCATTCTGTACATGGTTACTAAGTTAATGTCAGGTTTCTATTTGGCCCTTGAAAAACCACTCCAAGTAGGTGAGAAGTGTCTGTAAGTAAGTTAAATTTTTGTATGATGACGGATGTCTTGATAAAGCGCAGTGGCATTCAGAGGGAAGTTTAGTTGGCCCTGCCCTGGATGTCCTTGCTTTAGTATCTTGCTGCTTTATTGTAACATGCTTTCTTAAAACCTTCTTAGAAGTACTAGTTGGATCCCAACTGTGGCTCCTCCAGTCAATGGTAAGTTAGTATTTGTGTAGTGACTTTTTTTTTTTTCCTTTTTGACACTGGACCTACTTCCATTTACAGTCAGATACTGCTTAAAACCTTTTTGTGGGCAAAGTAGGTCAAACCTAAAGTGCACAGAAGGGAACTGTTCAGGTAGAGAGGCAGATTCTGTAGAAGCGCCTGTCCCGTTTTCCCTTCCCTGCCGTTGGATCACTTTTGCTAGAGCTGTGCAGCCTTCATGCCCAAAGCTTGGAGTCTCTCCAAAAGTATTCTAGAATGAGATTCTGCCAAGTGCTAGCATTAAAGCTTCAGTATTGGGACTTTGGAGTGCCCCTTCTGCCCTTTGGCCTTTTTAAATGGAAACTGGGCGAGGCTGGTAAGCTATACCTTACTATTCTAAGGTGACCACCACTTGGAGTGTGGGTTTAAGACTGCTGCCAACCTGGATTTCCAGTACAGCTCTGCTGCTTGCTAGTGGGGTGACTTTGGACAATAATAATAAAGCTATTTGTCAATTATTGAAGCTCTTTACTATTTGCCAGGCAGCAATGAGGCCAAGCACTTTTCATGAGTTGTATTTCCTCCTCTTGATAAACTCACAAGATAGGTCGTATTCTTGTCCCTATTTTTGAGACGGTGAGATGCAATGGAGTCAGCCAACCCAGTTCCACCACATACCAGTAGCCTTGGCCAAATCATGTGCTTCATCTTTAAGCCTCAGACAAGACCTACCCCATCAGGTTGTTGTTGCAAGGAACAAGTGAAGTAACCTGGCACCCAGCTGTTGCCCAGCACATGTTAGGGGCTGACTTGCCTAAGGCTGCACTGAGAGTATTTTGCAAGTGGACTAAAGTTGAACTGCTTTGGGAAGATATTTGGCTTCTTACTTTGTAAGTTGGAGTAAAGATTGTTTCTAAATCTAGTTCTTTTCCTTTTTGTCTCTAGATTAAACTCTTACTATATCATTCAGTTAGGAGCTCTCATGTTTAGCCAACGTTCTCAGAAAGTGATCAGTTCAAGGGCTGTGGCATGGAGGGGAAGTGATGCAAGCTTTATTATGATACAGATGAGTAACCATATAAAATGGAAAATAATATTTGTTCTCCCCACATTCCCATCCCCTCTTACCAACCTAATATTTATCTATCTATCTATTTTGAAATATTTGAGGCAGAGTCTCTCTCTGTCACCCAGGCTAGAGTGCAGCGGTGCAATCATAGCTCACTATAGCCTCAACCTCCTGGGCTCAAGCAGATCCTCCCACGTTGGCCTCCTGAGTAGCTGGGACTACAGGTGTGCACTACCATGCCCGGCTAATTGTTTAATTTTTTATAGAGACAGGGTCTCACAATGTTGCCCAGGCTGGTCTCGAACTCCTGGTCTCTAGTGATCCTCTCAGCCTCCCAAAGTGCTGGAATTACAGGCGTAAGCCACCACGCCCTGGCCATAATATTTATTTTTTTATTGCCATTTATAACTTGGCTTACACTGCTACTGGCTATTTACTAAAAATCAGAGCAAACTTTGCCTTATTATTATGTATTGCATATATATTTTTGAAAGGTCACTCTTGCAGTTTTACTAAAAAAAAAATAAATAAAAGTTTCAGTGAATTCCGGAAGTTTGGGAATTCTCGGTTTACGCTAGCCCTGTCCTGTGTTTCTGTTTGGCTCTGTCCTCAGGCCTTGCCACCATTTTCTCTCGGTGAAAGAACTTGGCTTCACATTCTGTTCAGTTTCATGAACCTGCCTGTCACTTTGAGGCAGCGTTTGGGATTCTGCTTCATTAGCCTTTGAACTCATGAACCAAGTTGAGAGGATTTGCTACTATAGACAATTATTTGATCTTCGAGATATTTTGAACAGTTCCCAAGTGCAACACCAGTGGTTGTCCAAAAGACACAGAGAAGTGATGTGAAATTTTAATTATGTAAAAAAAAAAAAAAAAAAAAAAAAGAAAGAAAGAAAAAAGCCCTGTGGCATGGTTGATGTCAGTGCTATGGAGTGAGCCTTTTAGTAGTGCGGTCAAGGACACTACTTTTTTTTTTTTTTTTTTTTGACACGGAATCTCGCTCTGTCACCCAGGCTGGAGTGCAATGGTGCCATCTTGACTCACTGCAACATCTGCCTCCCAGGTTCAAGCAATTCTTCTGCCTCAGCCTCCCAAGTAGCTGGGATTACAGGCGCCCGCCACCACACCTGGCTAATTTTGTATTTTTTAGTAGAGATGAGGTTTCATCATGTTGGCCAGGCTGGTCTTGAACTCCTGACCTTGGGTGATCCACCTGCCTTGGCCTCCCAAAGTGCTGAGATTACAGGTGTGAGCCACTGCGCCCGGCCTTTTTTTTTCTTCTTCTTCTTCTTTTTTTTTTTTGAGACAGAGTCTCACTCTATTGCCCAGGCTGGAGTGCGGTGGCCCGATCTCGGCTTACTGCAACCTCTGCCTCCCGGGTTCAAGCGATTCTCCTGCCTCAGCCTCCTGAGTAACTGGGATCACAGGCATGCGCCACCATGCCCAGATAATTTTGTATTTTTAGTAGAGATGGGGTTTCACCATGTTGCCCAGGCTGGCCTCGAACTCTTGACCTCAGATGATCCACCAGCCTCAGCCTCCCAAAGTGCTGGGATTACAGGCGTGAGCCACCTGCCCGGCCTAACATTTCAAAATGCTAAAAACAGGTTCTTGTAGTCTTTTCCTTGGGTCCAGCATCGTTTGTTGCTGACTATATCAAGCAGCTACCAAGATGGCGCAGTGAAGGTGATGCGCAGTGGAGACTGTTCCCCTCGCCGCTCCCTGGTTCCTGCAGAGAGTCCTGTTGGCAGCTCGTTGGAACAATGGTTTTCCCCTGGAGTTTGAGGAGCTTGTCTTGGGTGTGGTGCATCCCTACACCATGTGTACAGTTTCCAGACTGCTATGATTTTATCTCTCAGCAATGCGCCAAGAGGTTTTAGTGAAAATTTAAAAACCGCCAAATCGCCTATCAAACCGAGTTTGAAAAGAGACCTCTTGGGAAAGGACAAGCTAACTATTCTAAGTGGTCTACGATCCAAAGCATTTCCTGGGCTGAGTGTTTATCAAAGCTGAGCTTTACTTCCAAACTAAGCTTGGGAAGGATCTGGGAGTGTTTCCCAGCTGACTGGGGGCGGGGAGAAGAGGAGGATGCGAGTGTTAAAGAACAGAGAAAATATCACTCTCTTTTCTTTTACACAGTTATCTGCTGAAATCTGTCTATAGATATGGCTTGCAAACTAGGTGTTGTTTTGGAGGAGAGAGAGGATAGGTCTGCTAAGTGTTAATTTAGAAATTATATACAATATCTTAATTTTATTTTGGGAATGGAACATTGGGTAAGATTAGCTTTTAAATGGATCAGCTTTACTCTTCAAGGTTAGAAAAATGCATAGAAAATAGCATTATTTCCCTGTTAATTGTCATTAATCTCAACTCACACTATTTTTTTTTTTTTTTTTTTTTTGCTTTGACTCTTACCATCTCAGAATTCAAGGTCTAAATTGACATATTTGGGAAGAGCAGGGTGTTGGGGAAACAGAACTGGTAAGTAGATGGTTTTCCTCTCCCATCTGACTCAGTGTTAGAGAACTCTGTTGGAGACAGTGTTAATTTCAATATCTTGATGCCCGATTTTATCGTTACAGACATCCTGTTATACAGAATAGCTTATTTGCTCTCTTAATAGAAATCTTGTAAAGAAAATCCATCTTCCTTATTTCACTGTTTCTTTCCCTAAAAGTTTTTGTATACCACCCCTTTATCAAGAATTAAGATGTTGGGGAAAAAAAAAAAACAAATCTTTTTGGGCTAAATAATGCCAGCTTCACTTCCCTCAATGATGACACATTTATCTGTATTTTAAAGTTGTTTTTTTTTTTTTCTCCCTTTCCCACTACACTGCTCTGCATGTGGGTTCCCTAGCTGAGAAGCTGCCATTGATGGTGAAAGACTTTAATCTAAATTTAGATTCTCTTCAGAGGTTTCGTGGAATACTTCCTTAAATTAAGCCACAGACTGCAAAAGCTGCTGCTGAGTGGGGCTTCCAGGTTTGTTTTTTTTTTTTTTCAGCTCTAGAAATAAAGAAGACAGGGCAGGAAGGACTGGCTCTCACTCTCGGCTTCTTTGGGAGATTCTGCCATTGTAGACAGAATCAGTAGCAGCTTCTGTCATGAATTTAAAACTCAGGAGAGAGGATTTGGTGGTAATCTGATGGAAGTGGAAAACAATCACGACTCTGAGGGAGTGTGGGTGAAACAAGTTGCTTTGTTTAGGTTGTGTTGGAGACTGTAGGTAGTAATAGACAATGATAGGACATCTTTTTGTCTGATGCCTGTAAGTGTACCTGGAGACTTTGAAGCCATACTTGTTAGTTCATTCCTGCATTACTATAAAGAAATACCTGAGACTGAGTAATTTACAAAGAAAAGAGGTTTGATTGGCTCACGGTCCTGCAGGCTGTACACAAAGCATGGTGTTGGCATCTGCTTAGCTTCTGGGGAGGCCTCAGGAAGTTTCCAATCATAGCGGAAGACAGAGAGCAGGCATCACATGGTGAGGGAAGGGGTGAGGTGCCAGGCTCCTTAAACAACCAGATCTCATGGGAACTACCAGGGCAAGAACTGACTCATTACCATGGGGATGGCACCAACCCATTCATGAGGGGTCTGTGCCCATGACCCAATATCTCCCAGTAAGCCCCATCTCCAGCACTGGAGGTCACATTTCAGTATGAGATTTGGAGAGGACACATATCCAAACCGTATCACCATGAGTTAAACCAATACATCAAATTTTTAGGGACAGTTGGAAGATCTTCAGAGTCAAGACAAAAGAGTTGAAAATGGGGTGTTGGACTATAACCATGAGTATTTTATACAATCTCTCTTTCTCCTTGAATCATAGAAATGGTGTTTGAAAGCTCCTTTCAATATAGAGAACCCCCTTACCTGTCAGTGCCCAAAGGCCCCCAACTGGGGAGATCTGAAGTGAGAGGAGGAAGCTGCCCAGGTTTTCCTGTCCCTGGAGAGCCATGGGTCCTGAGGATTGGAGCTTATCATTGAGCAGGCTGTTGTCACATACACAGCCTTCCAGCTTCTATTATGATGCATTGTACTGTTTATATAATCTTGTATTTGGGAAATGCCTAATTATATTTTTTAAAATTACTCCAATATCTGTCACTGTTAGATAAACACTTCTAGAATCTCATTCCCAGTGTTTTCTTTCTCCTGGCATGGGTCAACAACCTTCCTGTGAGCATATTTTCATTATATAATGGCCCCTTTATTTACATATTTACTCTTTCTAAAAGGTTAATTTCTTTGTGGGGAGGGAAGGTGATATATACACAGTGTAATATTTAAACTGTACAAGATGGCTTATTTGGAAAGGAAATCTCTTCACGCCTGGCCTTTGCCTTCAAGTTCTCTTCCCCAGAGGCAATCCACTGGTAACAATTCCTTGTATATTTTAGCAAAGATACGCTAGATAAAAATACTTGTACATATATTCTTTCTCTACCTCCCCATCCCCCTTTAAGAAGAAGCACACTATACACTGTTCTTTACTTTGCTTTTTTCCTCAATATATCCTGGAGATCAGGAATTCAAGACCAGGCTGGGCAAAATAGCGAGACCCTGTCTCTAAAAAAAAAAAAAAAAAAAAAAAAAAAAAAAAAAAAAAAAATTGGCATGTTAGCTTCTCAGGAGGCTGAGATGGGACGATCGCTTGAGCCCAGAAGGTTGAGGCTGCAGTGAGCTGTCATTGCATCACGTACTGCAGCCTGGGTACAGGGCAAGACCCTGTCTAAAAATAACAATGCAGAAATAAATAGGAACTATCTTAGAGATCCTCCCATATCAGTATAATATAGAGCTGTCTTTAAAAAAAAGTTGAGGTAAAATTCTTGCAACATAAAATTTACGTGTATAATTAAGTGGCTCTTAGTACATTCCCAGTGTTGTACAACCATCACCACTATCTAACTCTAGAACATTTTCATCACCCCCAAAAGAAACCCAATACTCATTTAGCAGTCACTTTCTGTTCCCCCAACCCTAGGCTTTACAACTACTAATCTGCTTCTGTCCCTATGAATTTGCCTGTTCTACATGTTTCATGAAAATGAAATCATATGTATGTGGCCTTTTGTGTTGGTTTCTTTCACTTGGCATAACGTTTTCAAGGTTCAATCCTGTCGTAACTTGTATCAATACTTCATTCCTTTTTCTTGCTAAGTAATATTTGATTGCATGGATAGACCACATTCTTTTAATTGATTGACATTTGGATTGTTTCTGCTTCTTGGCTATTGGGAATCATGCTGCTATGAACATTTGTGGGCAAGTTTTTGTGTGAACATATGCATATGTTTTTATTCTTGGATATGTACCTAAGAATGGAAATGCTGGGTCATATGGAATTCTGTATTTAAATTTTGAGGGACTGCCAAACCGTTTTCCAGTCACTGCATCATTTTACCATCCCATCAGTGGTGTTCAAGGGTTTCAGTTTCTCCACATCCTAGTTTACACTTGTTATTTTCCATCATCGTTTTGTTTTTTGCTGTTTAGTTATTATTACAGGCATCCTAAAGGGTAGGAAGTAGTATCTTATTGTGGTTTTGATTTGCATTTCCCTAATGACTAATGAGGATGAGCGTATTTTCATGTGCTTATTGGCTACTTGTATATCTTCCTTAGAGAAATGTCCACTATTTATCCATTATTTGTATATCTTCCTTAGAGAAATGTCCAATAATTTTTGTATTTTTAGTAGAGACAGGTTTCAGCATGTTGGTCAGGCTGGTCTTGAACTCCTGACCTCAGGTGGTCCGCCTGCCTTGGCCTCCCAAAGTGCTGGGATTACAGGCGTGAGCCACCACGCTCAGCATATATATTCTTGATATTAGACTCATCAGATATATGATTTCCAAATATTTTCTCCCATTTTATGGGTTATCTTTTTACTTTCTTAACAGTGTTCTTTGCTGCATAAAAGTTTTAAATGATGGAGTTCTTTATTTTTAAATTTTGTTGTGGCCGGGTGCAGTGGCTCACGCCTGTAATCCCAGCACTTTGGGAGGCCGAGGTGGGTGGATCACCTGAGGTCAGGAGTTTGAGACCAGCCTGGCCAACATGGTGAAACCCCGTCTCTACTAAAAATACAAAAAAATTAGCCAAGTGTGGTGGTGGGCGCCTGTAATCCCAGCTACTCTGGAGGCTGAGACAGGAGAATCGCTTGAACCCAGGAGGCGGAGGTTGCAGTGAGCTGAGATCATGCTATCGTACTGAAGCCTGGGCGACAGAGTGAGACTCTGTCTCAAAAACAAAAACAAAACCAAAAAAAGCGTTGTTTGTGCTTTTGGTATCATATTGAAGAAATCATTACCTAATCCAAAGTCATAACTAATTTACCTCTATGTTTTATTCTAAGAGTTTTAGTATTTTAGCTCTTAAATTTAGATCTTTGTTCTATTCTGAATTAATCTTTATATATAGTGTGACATAGGGGGGTCCAGATTTATCCTTTTGCTAGTGGATATCCAGTTGTTCCTGCACCATTTGTTGAAAAGACTGTTGAAAAAGACTTTTCCCCCATTGAATGGTATTGGCACCCTCTTGAAAAAAAAAATTGACTGTAAATATATGGCTTTATTTCTGGACTCTCAATTGTATCCTGTTGATCTATAATGTCTCTCCTTATGCCAGTACCACACTGTTTTGATTACTATTGCTTTGTAGTAAGTTTTAAAATAGGAAGTGTGAGTCCCCCAGCTTTGTTCTTTTTCCAGATCGTTTTTGCTATTTGGGCTCCCCTGTAGTTTTATATGAATTTTAGGATGAGCATATCCATTTCTATAAAAAAGGCACTTGGGGCTTTGATAGAAATTGCTTTGAATCTGTAGGTTAATTTTAGGAATATTGTCATCTAATATTATGTCTTCATATTATTAAGTCTGTGAACACAGGATGTCTAAGTCTTCAGTTTCTTTCAATAATGTAATTTTCAGTGTATGAGTCTTGTATTTTTTTGGTTAAGTTTATTTCTAAGTATTTTATTCTCTTTGATGCTAATGTAGATGGAATTCTCTTCTGAATTTCATTTTTGGATTGTCATTGCTGGTATATTGAAATACAGCTGATTTTAGTATGTTGATCTTGTATTTTGCAGTTCTGCAGAGCTTATTCATTAGCACTAACAGCTTTTGTGTGGATTCTTTAGGGTTTTCTATATATAAGATTATGTCATTTTTCAATAGAGATAGTTTTACTTCTTCCATTCCAATCCAGATACCTTATTTGGCAATTGCAGTCTAGTCTTGTTCCTGTTATTAGTGGGGAAGCCATTTGGTCTTTCACCAGTAAATATGATGTTAAGCAGTGGGTTTTTCATAGATGTCCCTTATCTAGTTGAGGGAGTTTCTATTCCAAGGATGTTGATATTTTTATCATGAATGTTGGAATCTGTCAAAAAAAATGTTCTGCATCAATTTGGATGATATTGTGGTTTTCCCCCTTTATTCGATTAACATGGCATATTACATTGATTGATTTTTGTATGTTGAACCCTTGCATTCCTGGGATAAATCCCTTGATCATGGTGTATAATCCTTTTAATATGCTCTATGTTAAATTTGTGCATATTTCGTTGAGGATTATTTGCATCTGTACTCATAAAGGATATTGGTCTGTAACATCTTTGTCTGACTTTGGTATCTGGGTGATACTGGCCTCACAGAATGAGTTAGGAAATGGCTCCTCTTCTTTTATTTTTGGAAGAATTTATGAAGGGGTTTTGTTAATTTAAAAAAAAAAATGTTTATGGTAAAGCTCACCAGTGAAGCCATCTGGTCTTAGAGTTTTTCTTTTTGGAAGTTCTTTTGGTTATTGAATTAATCTGTTTGTTATAGGTCTATTCATTTTGCTCTTTCTTCTTGAGTCTTTAAAAAATTTTTAATTTTTGTGTTGAGTCAGTTTTTGTAGTATGCATATTTCTAAGAATTTGTCCATTTCATCTGGGTTACCTAATTTGTTGGCATACAATTATTCATAGTATTTTTTTTTAAGTTGAGTAGTAGTGTCCCTAGTTTCTCTTTCTCTCTCTTTCTTTCAAGACAGGGTCTCACTCTGTCAGTGGTATGATCTCAGCTCACTGCAGCTTCAGCCACCCAGGCTCAAGTGATCCCCGCACCTCAGCCTCCCAAGTAGCTGGGATTACAGGTGTGTGTCACCACACCCAGCTAATTTTTGTCTTTTTTGTAGAGACAGGGTTTCACTGTGTTGTCAGGCTAGTCTCAAAACTCCTGAGCTCAGGTGATCCACTCGCTTCAGCCTCGCAAAGTGCTGGGATTACAGACATGAGCCACTGCACTGGCCCGTGTCCCCACTTTCATTTTTTTATTTCTAGTGATTGAAATCTTCTCTCCTTTTTCCTTGGTCAGTCTATCTAAAGATTTGTTAGTTTTATTGATCTTTTCAAAGAACCAACTTTTGATTTTCTTAATTCTCTGTATTGCTGCTTTATTCTCTATTTCACTTATCTGTGCTCTAATCTTTAATATTTCCTTTCTTCTGCTTGCTTTGGGTTGAATTTGCTGTTCTTTTTCTAATTCCTTGAGATGGAAGTTTAGGTTATTGATTTCAGGTCTTCCTATTTCAATATATGCATTTATAGCTATGAATTTTGTTCTCTTCACTGCTTTTGTTATATGCCACACATTTTGATATGTTGTATTTTCATTCTCATTCTTCTCAAAGTATTTTCTAATTTCTCTTGTCATTTTTTTCTTGACCTATTGATTAACAGTGTATAAGTTCACATTTTTGTAAATTCCAAATTTTCTTCTGTTATTGATTTCTAATTTTATTCCAGTATGGATGCAGAAGATACTGTGTATTACTTCATTCTTTTAAAATTTATTAAGACTTGTTTTGTGGCCTAATATGTATCCTAAAGAATGTTCCACATGTGCTTGAGAAGAATACACTTTCTGCTACTGTTGGGTAAACTGTCCTGTATATGTCCGTTAGGTATAGTTGCTTTATAGTATTTTTTAAGTCTTCTGTTTTCTTGTTGATCTTCTGTTTAGTTGTTCTGTTGTTATTGAAAATGGAGTATTGCTGTCTCCAACAATTATTGTAGAGCTATTTCTCCCTCAATTTTGTTAGTTTTTTTCCTCATATATTTGGGGCTCTATTGTTAGGTTCATATATGCTTATAATTGTTGTATCTTCTTGATGGTTTGACTCTTTTATCATTATATAAGGTTTTTCTTTGTCCCTTATAACAATTTTTGTCTTAAAGTCTGTTTTATCCGATATTAATATAGCCACTGCAGTTGGTTACTGTTTGCATGGGTTATCCTTTTCTATCCTTCTATTTTCAACCTATTTGTGTAATTGGATCTAAAAGTAATCTCCTGTTTATGTTAAGTAAATATTTTCTAGTGTATTATTTTAATTCCCTTTAGTACAAATTTAAATAGTATTTTCTTAGTGGTTGCCCCGTGGTTTACAATTAACATCTTAATTTATAACAATCTAGTTTAACTTAATACCAACTTAGTTTCAATGATATATAAAAACTTTGCTCTTATATAGTTCTGTCCACCACTTTATCTTGTTATTGTCACAGATTATATCTTTATACATTATGTGCTCATCAGTGTGTATTTGTAATAATTTTTATGCAGCCATCTGTTAAATCATATTTTAAAAAGAAGAGTTACAAGCCAAAAATAACATTACTATTCCTTTTTTAAATTTGCCTATATATTTTCCTTTATTAGTGTTCTTTATTTCTCAGGTTACTGTCTAATGTTCTTTTTTTTTTTTTTTTTTTTTTTTTTTTAGACGGAGTCTCACTTTGTCACCCAGGCTGGAGTGCAGTGGCATGATCTCGGCTCACTGCAAGCTCCGCCTCCCGGGTTCACGCCATTCTCCTGCCTCAGCCTCCTAAGTAGCTGGGACCACAGGCCCCGCCACCACACCCAGCTACTGTTTTGTATTTTTAGTAGTGACAGGGTTTCACCGTGTTAGCCAGGATGATCTCGATCTCCTGACCTTGTGATCTGCCCGCCTTGGACTCCCAAAGTGCTGGGATTACAGGTGTGAGCCACCGCTCCCAGCCGTCTAATGTTCTTTTGTTTCAGCTTGAAAGACTCCCCTCAGCATTTCTTGTAGAGCAGGTTTACTATCTACAAACTTTCTTGGTTTTTAGCTTTGTAATGTCTTCATTTCTCCTTTGTATTTGAAGGATAGTTCTGGCACATATAGAATTTTTGGTTGACAATGCTTTTCTTTTAGTAATTTGAATATATAATTCCATTGCCTTTGGCTCTATGGTTTCTGATGCGATGTCAGATGTGACTTTTATTGAGGATGCCTTCTACATGATTAGTTGTTTCTCTCTTGCTGTTTTCAGGATTCTCTCTTTGTCTTTGTCATATAACAATTTGATTATAATGTGTTCCTGTGTGTATCCCTTTGAATTTATCTTACTTAAAAGTTTGTTTAGCTTCTTGAATGTGTAGATTCATGTTTTTCATCAAGTTTGGGACACTTGCAGTCATTATTTTTAAAAATAATTTTCCTGCTCCTTTCTCTTCTCTCATTCTGGGATTCCTATTATGCTTATGTTATGCCAGATGGTATTCCACAGACTTCTTAGACTCTCTTTATTTAAAAAAAATTTTTTTTTATTTCTGTTCATCAAGCCAGAAAACCTCAAGTTACCTATTCTCAGGTTTATCTATTCTCATGACTTCATTTTTTACCTGTTCAAATCTGCTGTTGAGCCTCTCGTGAATTTTTAATTTACATTATTGTACTTTTCAAACCCAGAATTTTTATTTGATTGCTTTTTTATAATTTTTGTCACTTTGTTGATATTCTGTATTTGTTGAGACACTGTTCTCATGGTTTCCATTAGTTCTTTAGACCTGGCTTTTGTTTTTGTTTTTAGCTCTTCAAGCATATTTAGGACCATTGATTTAAATAGTCTTTGTCTAGTAAGTCCAGTGACTAGGCTTCCTCAGGGGCAATTTCTGTTAATTTCTTTTTTCTGGGTATAGGCCATAGTTTTTTGTTTATGTCTTGTAATTTTTTTGTTCCAAACTGGATTTTTTGTATATTATAATGTGGTAACTTAGGAAATGAGATGCTCCCCCTCCCTGTGGATTGTTGCTGCTTGTTATAGCTATGCCTTGTTCATTTAGGACTTTTCTGAACTAATTTTGTGAAGTCTGTATCCTTTGTCATGTGTGGCCACAGAGGCCTCTCTTCCACTAGCTTAGTGGTCAGCTGATGAATCACTAGAGATTTATTTACACGTCTGGAATGACAACAACAACAACAGAAACCCCCCAGTCTTTGCAGATGGGCTGTGTGTATGTTGTGAGGCACGCCTTCAAGGTGCAGCCAGGCATTTTACAACTCTGTCTTAGTTTTTACTTCCTGTTTGCAAAGATCCTGAAAGTCAGCCAGAGGTAGGAGCTTAGGGCCCTCTTAGGTCTTTTCTGAGCATGCACCCAGTTGTGGCATGCATGTGACTTTCTTGATTCACAAAAATATGTAGGAGCTCTTCAAATGAAGCCCATATTCCCTAAAGTATCTCATTCCTTAGCCTTTCCTCCCAAGTGTTTACATTAGTCCATTGTTTGTCTCTTGCCCCAGGTAATAGCAATGAGTACATTAAATGTTTTCAACAAATGCATGCCCCTACACCCCACCTCTCCTCCCCTGTAGACCTCTACCACTCCCACACTTCTACCCTTGATATCTACCTTAGCCCTGGGAGAGTTCTGAGTTAGGCAAAAGACAGGCATATCCTTTGAGCCAGTTCTTCAGGGAGCCACTAGACAGGTCAAATCAGTCAACCACAATTCTTTGAGAATAAGATATGTTCTGCTCCCTGTGGTACTAGGTACCTGTACTGGAATGTTAGCTGTTGCCTTCAAGGCTGCTGCTGAACTGGGGAGTGGATGGGACCAGGGTAAATTAAAATTCCATGACTCTCTCTTAGCTGTTTATTTTGTATTAGGTGTTCCCTTGCTTGTAGTAAGCTTTTGATTATTTCCCAGTGTTCTGAAACAGTTGATTCTGGCAGTTTTTGCCAGTTATTCATTGTTTTTAATAGAGTGACAGACTTGGTGTTCTCTACTGTCTTAGTCCATTGTCTGGTGCCATAACAGAATACCATAGACTGGGTAATTTATAAAGAAAATAAATTTATTTAAAATTAATTTAAATTGAAATTTGCTAAATAGCTCTTCATAGAGATTATTTTAGTTTATATGCCTACCAGCAATGTCTGAGAGTGGCTGTTTCTCTATACCATCATCAACACTACTTAGTATCAAATTTCTTGATCTTCACAAATTGATGGATACATGCCATCTCTTTTTGGTTTATTGGTTTTTCTCTTATGATTTTGGATAAACATCTTTTTAGGTGTCATTCGTATTTGGTTTTCCACTGAACTGCCTTTTTGTATCATTGACCTTTATTCCATTATTCTTGGCCTTTAAAATTTATTTATTAGTTATTACCACTACCTCTTGACTAGGGTAATATATTGAACTGGTTCAAAAATCAAAGTGCTATAAAAAGGAGTACTCAGTAAGTCTTGCACCTGCAGTTGGTAGCTATTTTATTAGTTTCTTATTGATCCTTCCATGGTTCTCAACATGCAAATACAAGCAAATGCTAAAATACTTGTTAACTCCCTTTTTACACAAAAGGCGGCACCCTATGTCTACCACTTGTGTATTGTTTTTGTCATGTACTATTTTCCTGGGGACCGCTCTCATCCTTTTTCATGGCTGTGTATTTACCAGAATTTACTCAGTCAGTACTGTGTTGCTGGATCACTTCGGCTTTTTCCAGGCCTTTGTTCCTCAGTGATGTGCTAAGTAGCCCCATGCATGTCATTTCTTTACATGTGCCAGTTTGTCTATGGACGACATTGCCAGAGTAAGATTGCTGAGTTAAACGGCACATGCATTTAAAAAGATATGATAGATATGGCTGGACTTCCCTACGTAGGTGTTGTAACATTTTGCATTTGTTCCAGTCTGTTTCTGCATCATCTTTTCAATAGATTGTCAAACTTGGATTTTTGCCAGTCTGATAGGTGAGAGATGGCATCTTATTGTAGGTTTAATCTGCATCTCTCTTGAGTGAGGTTGAGGGTCCTTTCATATATTCACGGGCTGTTTATGTTTATTTCCTGTGAGCTAGCTCTTGATATCTAGTTCCCTGATTCTTCCCCAAGAAAAATTCCATAAATATTTTCACAGGATTGTGTTAAATTCCTAGATTAATTTGGAAAGAACTGATTTTATGTTGCATCTTTTTATCCAAGAACTTGTTATGTTTCTCCATTTGTTCAACCCTTCATATATAAAACTTTCTTCATATGGTTTTATTTCTAAAGTTTATTTCTAGGAATTTTATCTTTTTTCACTGTTGCTTTAAATGAGATCTTTACCACATCTGTGAACTAAGATTGCCTGTAGATACAAAGGTTGTTGTTTTCAGTATTCTAATTGTGTTCCCAGTTATCTTACTGAATTATTCTTATTCTTTATAATAGTTTTTCAGTATATTTTCCTGATAATCATATCAATGAACAATGTTTCAGGACCTCATTTTTTATTTCTAGCTCTTTTTCTTATTCTGTTGAGTCATTAGTGCATCCCAACACTCTTCTACAGTACAAAGGAGTCTGTGTACTATGTACTATGTGTTGCTGGTTTGAGGGATGTCCTTGTTTGCTCTTGGCTTTGATGGAAATGTGTCTTAATGTTTGTCCATGAAGCGAGATATTAGCTTTTGAATTGAAATATGTATATTTTATCATGTGGAGAAAACATTTATATCTTTTTCTTGTATTAAGTTTAAAAAAATCATACTTGGATGTCGAATTTTATCAAATGCTTTTTCGTTATCTTTGGTGACTCACTCAGAGTCCAGTCAGAAAAACAAACTACTCCAGGCATTTCAGATGGAAGAGATTGAATATGAGGATTGGGTTATATACGAGTTCAAAGGCTGACAAAATACAAAGGAAATGGGGTACTAGGATAGTGCAGACACTGTCACTTCCAGGGCTGGGGAAAAATAAGAGATGGTGTTACCACAGTTTTGGAGCTTGGTGCAGGGCTCCTGTGGGGCTGGTCTCCAGGCCTCCGAGAGAGGCACTGCAGAACTGCTGTACAGATGTTTGAGGGTGTGGGTGCAGCTCAGTGAGTGTTTGAACCCCTAGGGAGGGTTTGTGACCTGGTGGGTGCCAAGTCAACTGAGAGGGCTCCCATCTGGTCAGCGTTTGGGAGCCAGCCAGTGAGGGAGTGAACACAGTATAGCCTGAGGACAACCTGGGGCTAAGCCCTGCGGCTTGCCGGTGTCTGTGAGGGGGTGTGGCGAGGCTGGCACTAAGAGTGACAACGGAAGATGGGGGCTGGAACCACCATCTGCTGCTGCTGGTGGCATACTGACAGAAATAGGAAACTAGGAAGGAAGTCCCTTTTTCTCTCCTGTCATCTTCCATCCTCTCTCTAGGACTTCCTGTTGGCAGAAGTTAACAGGGAGTCAGTCAACAGGGGTCTGGAAAACCTAGGTAAGTTGGTGAAACTCTAGCCCCAGCGTTATAGAGAGAGTATAGCAGAGTAGGCTTGGAGAGGAAAGAACGTGGGTAAATAACTGCACATCAGGAATCATGCTATTCCCTTAACATGTCACTTCTGGGTGTACAGAATGACTTTCAACACGATGCATTAGCTTAATATCATATTAGGAAAACTCAACCTCTTCCAAATTTCCGGTCACGCCACAAATTTGTTACTCTTGTCAATACTGAATTCCATTCTGTTATGCTCAGAAGGTTACTAAGAGCCTTCTTACTAAACTTCTTCCTTGATTTAAAGTGTGCATATTACTTTAGGCTTGCAGCTGTGTGTCTAGTGATGGAATTGAAGAAATGGCTCTGGAAAATGCTCTGCTCATCTAATGGGCAATGCTCCTGTGTCCTTTTCTTTTTTTCTTTCTTTCTTTCTTTTTTTTTTTTTTTTTTTTTTTTGAGACAGAGTTTCTCTCTATTGCCCAGGCTGGAGTGCAGTGGTGCGATCTTGGCTCACTGCAACCTTCACCTCCTGGGTTCAAGCGATCCTCCTGCCTCAGCCTCCCCAGTAGCTAGGATTACAGGCATGCACCACCACGCTCGGTTAATTTTTTTGTATTTTTAGTAGAGACGGGGTTTCACCATATTTGCCAGGCTGGTCTTGAACCCCTGACCTTAGGTAATCTGCCCGCCTCGGCCTCCCAAAGTGCTGGGATTACAAGCGTGAGCCACCATGCCTGGCTGAGAATTGCTTGAACCCAGGTGGCGGAGGTTGCAGTGAGCCAAGATCGCGCCACTGCACTCCAGCCTGGGCGACAGAGCGAGACTCCGTATCAAAACAAAATTGCAAGTCTTTAGTGCAAGGGCGTAACAGGGAATGCCTGGTATGGACCAGTTGTTAAGGCTCTGCACAGCAACAATGGCCAAGTGTTCTTTATGTTGTGAGTAGGTTGTGAATTTCATTACAGTGTGATGAGGTTTGTTCTGTTCGTGGTTTTTGCATACTTTCAAGGGATTTTCTTAAACTTGTGAGTTCAGAGATGTCTGTTATAAATGAGATTTTAAGAAGAATGACTTTTGAAAGGGTTCTCACATAGGCAAATTAGGTCAGCAACTTCACTTTCCATGCTTTTCACACGTTTGGGATACTTGTCACCTAGTTTCTGGGTCAGGTGTGTATATATGCCAACAGGCTGGCTGTTTAGGTGAACAATAAGATGTCTCCATATGCTGGTGGTGTTACTAATGGTCAAAAGATCGATCACGTGTGAGGTTGCATTAAGAGCAACTTCTTTTCTCCGGGAATGCCACTTAATACCACCCTGGGACTGGCTCCGAGAAGCCTGGGAGGAGCTTAATATTTCTTGCTTCCTGTAACTGTATGCTGTTTAGTGCAGGGTAACCCTGCAAATAGGACAGAAAGATCGTTTGCAGTGAGAATGGCTGGAGGTTGACGCTCAACTTTCTCTGTGTTCAAGAATGGTTGTTTCCCATTTGTCAGTTGTGTTAGGTCCGAGCGATTTCTAGGAGCTCCTCATGAGTCTGGATCTTAAGGAATCAATGAAGCCCAATCAGAAATATCTTAATGTCAGTGTCTTTTTTGTTCGTTTGTTTTTGGTGACAATTACAAAAATTTTATTATCTTTTAAAATTTTTGTGGGTACATAGTAGGTGTATATATTTATGAGGTACATGAGATGTTTTGATACAGGCAGGCAATGTGAAATAAGCACATTGTGGAGAATGGAGTATCCATCCCCTGAAGCATTTATCCTTTGAGTTACAAATAATCCACTTATATTCTTTAAGTTATTTTGAAATATACAAAGTTTTCCAGAAAAGAATGCTTTCTATAAGAGGCTCCCCATGGTGAGGGTCCTTTGTAGTGGCAGAAGAATTAATGAGGGTAGATTTCAATTTCACACCCTTGCTACAGAGGTGATGGGAACTCTCTACGTCTGCTATGCAGGTGCTAAGGGCAGTGAGTCATCTTTGTTCAATCTTGTTCCTTCTGGTGACACATGAATGTACTTTTACCAAAAACATCACAGAATCTACGATGTGTTATTTCCATCTGGTTAATAATTATAACTACCTTTGGATTTCTTCCTACATCTTTCCACACTTACTTGGGGAAAATGCAAAAGGAATATTTCATCTTCACCGCAGTAGTGCCTGTGATTAATGCAGTCATGAGCTGCTAACGAAACAAGCAAAGAGCTGCTTAGCTTTGATTCAATCCTTAAATCACTTGGGAAAAACCAACTGAAGGGGGAAAAAAAGAGGTCGGAGAAGGCACTGGAATTCTCTTTTCTGTTTTTTCAAGAGACAAGGTCTCGCTATATTGCCCAGGCTGGATTTGAACTCCCAGGCTCAAGCGATCCTGCCTCTGCCTCCTGAGCGGTTGGGATTACAGGCATACACCACTGCTCCCGGCAACAATGGAATTGTTAAAGACAGAGGCTGGCCACCTGTCTGACTTGCTTGCAGTTAGCACCCACACTGCTTATGAAAGTACTAGCGAGTTTCAGGCCTTTTCCTTGTAGTTCATGTGACCTTGTGTTCCCAGTATTTACCAAATATTTTAAATAGTTTCCCAAAAAATTTCCTCCTTCATTTCACACAGTGTGCACATTCAGACCATAAAAGGACCTACTGGAATAAATGCTGAAATTTCACAAACCACAGTGTATCTTAATGATAGGTTTTTAGATATAGGTTTACAGGGGGGCTTATAGTAGTTTCATGATAGGGTGAATTTTTCTCAATCTTTGATATTTTCCAGTTTGCCTCCTTGGGGTTGCATTTTGGCAGAGAAGGCTTTAACACCCCAATGTTCTTAACTTCAGTAGTTGTTGATTGAACAACTACTTTTGGCAATAACCTTTTTCTGTACTATAGAGGATATCAAATAAAAAGGGAGAATTGACCAGATGTAGTCCCTGCTTTGTAGAATTTTACATTGGGAAGGGAAAGATGGAATGGTGAAGAGAATCACAGAAGTATGGAGAGAGGCAGATTGATTCCAGCTGGAGGGATTTGAGGAAGGTTTGTGTAGGATGTGGCATGTGAACTTGGCCTGGCATGATTGGTTGGAAATAGGCAAAGGGATGACGGATTGGGAGGGCATTTTAAGTAATGCAAATAGATTGAGCAAAGGCTTGGAAGTAGAATAGCACTTGGCAAAATGTGTTGGGAGAAGGGGAATGATAGTCACTCTGTGGACTGGAATTGTAGTCTTAGTGGGATAGGCGATATAGAGAGTCTTCATCCAACTGTGTGATAAATATCCTCTGGCCGTTTAGGCCCCTCTGTGACACACACAGCCAAAATTTAATATATGAGTAGAATGCAAAAATCTGTCATTATAAGAGAAAAATCAAGAAACAGTATATATGGTGGTAAAGAACATAGATTTGAAGCTAGATTGCCTGGGTTCAAATCTTTAATAGCTGTGTTATCTTGGGCAAAGCTACTCAGTCTCTCTGATGCCTCAGTTTTCTCACCTATAACATGGGATAAGACTAGTCCCTATGATAGATTAATTTCAAGAATTAGATTAGAAGATTAACATGAAAAGGGTTTACAACAGTACCTGGCATATAGTATAGAGTAGTGTGTAATTGTTAGTAATTAGTAGTAGTGGTTGTTGTTTTAGTGTTTGTGTTTGGGTATAATGTGTAATTGATTTTTTTTCCTTCGAGAAAGATTAGCCTTTCTGTAGCTTATGTATTCTATATAATTTTGCATTAGTGAAAGTATAGCATCTCAAGCTCGTAAGTGCATGAAGACTCTCACAGTGGAATTTTCGTTGTGATAAAAATGTCTTTCTTTCAGAGAGAATTTGCGCTTTGCATTGTAGCTGTCTAGTTTCACTGGCTGCTTCTTGGGATGTGGCAGATTGTGAAGGTTGGTTGTGTAGCTTATTCACGTGCATGTGCATGTGTACACCTGTGTGTGTATCACAGGTTCTTGTTGAGTCCATTTTGAAATTAATGGGATATATATAGAAGAGAATGATTATCTTTTCTATCAGAAGGGTGTTTTGGTTACAGGCAACAGAAACTGACTTTGGCTCATTTAGGCTTAAGAAAATTAATTGGAAGGCTGCTAGGAGCGCCTAGAAGAGCCAGTGGCTGGGCACCAAACTTGGGAAAAAGCAAGAAGCAAGGTAGCTTGGGTGACCAGGAAACCAGCATCCTGGTCATAGGCAAACAGCCTGGTCTGCGTGAAGCCCCTATTGCTGTCATTGCCACTGTAATGTGGGATCCCCAGCTTCCAATCATTCCTACTCTCCTCATATAACTGCTTGTTGTATAATAGCAGAAAATTGGAAGCAGTTTAAATGCCTAGCACTAGGGATCTTAATACATTATGGAACAGCCATGTATCGGAATAATTGCAGCCCTTAAACATTTTATGTGAGAATATCTAATGACATGGAAACCGTTCACACATTCTATTAAGTGACAGTGGCAGGTAGCAAAACCGTATGGGCAGGATAATTACATTAAAAATCCGATCAAGTAGGTATTACTACTATTCCTATTTTACAGATGATGCATAGAGATTTTGACTCTTGCCCAAGATCACGTGGGTTAGTAAGTGGAAGAGGGGGGTTTCAACCTGGGAGTGAGGCTCCAGAACCAGGCACTTAGCCATTTCACTGTCCTTTCCCTGATAAAGACAGAAAGGCTCTAGAGGAAAAAGTAGTAATAGCAGTTATAGCTGGGTAGTGAGATCATGGATACTTTTATTACTATTTATTTCTTCTGATTTCTATGAGCATATGTTACCTCTATAGTGACCAAAATGATTCTTAAGTTATTGTAAAAATATAACGTTTTAGAATACTTTTCTTCCAGTTGAAAAGTTATGTGTCCCGGCGGGGCACCATGGTTCATGCCCATAATCGCAGCACTTTGGGAGGCCGAGGCAGGCGGATCACTTGAGGTCAGGAGTTCTAGACCAGCCTGGCCAACATTGTGAAACCCCATCTCTACTAAAAATACAAAAATTACCCAGGCGTGGTGACGCACGCATGTAATCCCTTGGGAGGCTGAGGCACGAGAATTGCTTGAACCCGGGAGGCAGAGGCTGCAGTGAGCTGAGATCGCACCACTGCATTCTAGCCTGGGTGACAGACTGAGACTCCATCTCAAAAAAAAAAAAAAAAAAGTTGTGGCCCGGAGATATCCATCACAAATTGCTTTTCATATATGACAAGAAAATTTCAAAAATTGTCTCCATCAATATATGAATTTTCTCTTTGAAGTTTTGTGTCCTACTGTGTGTGTTTATTGTAGACAGGACAAGCAATTTCCATCATTGAAACCAGAAAACATCTTTGGAATTTTAAACTCAGTGTTGCTGTATTTTGGGGATTACATAAAAGCATTGATAAAATAAGTTGTGCTTTAAATGGAAGATTTAAATCTGTGAAGCTTTTTAAGATTGTGTTTGTCACGTCTTGGCACACATTTCTTGTTTGTAGAGTCTGGTTATGAAAAGACTCTGGTTTCCATATGTATATTTAAAATACTCTGAGTCATGGATTCAAATGAGTAATTGACATAATATGTCCATCAGATTCCTGCTTTGTCATACCGTCACATAAGGGGAGTACATTTATTTTAGTAATTGTAATAGTAAACACAGTTAATTAGCAAAATGGTATTCATTTTAAATACCTTTCCCCGGTGTCTTTTATAACTTTCCAGAAATTGCTTTATTGGAATGAAAATGTGTTTGATTTCACAGGAGGCTTAGGAAAAGGGCCACATGTGTATGAACACAGGCGTATGTATACAGTGCTGGGAGTGGTGTATACATAGGTGTTTAGAGATTAGAAGCTCCATGTCTCTATTTCTTCCTCCTTTTTGCTAAGTCTCAACTCAGAATCTGAAACCACATTGATTGTAAGATGTACAATTACATGTGCCACCAAAAAAGAAAAAAAATTGATTGTAACCGGGTGTGGTGGCTCATACGTGTAATCTCAGTACTTTGGGAGGCTGAGGTGGGTGGATCGCTTGACTCAGGAGTTTGAAACCAGCCTGGGCAACATAGTGAGAACCTATTTCCCCTAAAGATAGAAAAATAAGCCAGGCATGATGGCACGCACCTGTGGTCTCAGCTACTTGGGAGGCTGAGGTGGGAGGATCGCTTGAGCCCTGGAGACGCACTGCTGTACTCCAGCCTGGGTGACGGAGTGAGACTGTGTCTCAAAAACAAAAAAACAAAAAAACCAAAAAAATGCAGTTGTAAGATTTACAATTACGTGCACCACCAAAAGAGAAAAAATGCTATGAATCAAATAATGTTGATGCTTTCTAATTATCTATAACCTTTACTTATAACATTGAAAGAGCCACTTATTTAAGTATAGATTTTTTGCATGTGTTATTCTTGTATATACATAATTTAAAAGTATAAGAAAAATAGATTAAGGAATTCTTAACATTTCTTCACAGTCAGTGTCCATCTCTTCTGAATCATCCGTTTGACACAGAATCAACAATATTTGTATTTTCACATAATGAGTAATCAAAGTGTTGACAAGGCAGCTTTTCTGGAAGAGGGCTCTGTAAGTTTTTTTAAACAGCTATATTAAGATAGAATTCACATACCATATAATTTGCCCCTTTAAAGTGTAAATATCAGTGGTTTTGGGTATATTCAGTTATTCATTTTGTAAATTTGGCAAAATACACATTATAAAATTTGCCATTTTAACCATTTTAACTATTGAGTGGATAAATTCTCTTTCAAAACTCTTTAGAGACAGATGCGTAGGATATTAATATGTACAAAGAACAACAAAATATTGAAATAATTTCATCATAATATTAGGGAGATTTTAGAATGTATAAAAATATAAAAATTCCATGTTACTATGTATAGGATCCTATTTTACCTATCTTTTATATATAGTACAAATTTAAGTGGAATCAAAATGTGTAATCCTAGTATGCCCATATAAAAGGGTAGCCAATATACAATGCCTTGTCTTTGAAAATTTCAAATGTGCATCATAATATCACATTAAAAGTCTTTGAATGTGCCTAGACATGGAAATGCAAAATAAGAAAAATGAAATTATTCCCTTGTTTTGTATGTATCTTTTTTTTTTTTTTTGAGACGTGGTCGTGCTCTGTCGCCCAGGCTGGAGTGCAATGGCACAATCTCGGCTCACTGCAACCTCCGCCTCCCTGTTCAAATGATTCTCCTGCCTCAGCCTTCCCAATAGCTTACAGGCGCACACCACCACGCCTGGCTAATTTTTGTGTTTTCAGTAGAGATGGGGTTTCACTACAGTGGCCAGGCTGGTTTCCAACTCCTGACCTCAGGCGATCCGCCTGCCTCGGCCTCCCGAAGTGCTGGGATTACAGGCGTGAGCCACCATGCCCGGCCGTGTGTATCATTTTTTTCCCTTGAGGGTGAGATTAAAATGTCTAGACCTTTAGATGTGGAATTCCCACCTCCATTTACGAAAAGTGATTACACATTGGGCAATAAATTAAATCTATTTATTGTGTTTCAGTTTGAAATTTAATTGTGCATGTCTCTGGTAGGGTATTTTTTTGCTGTTTAAATCTCTGCTCCAAATATGAGCCAGGAACACTGTAGCTCAGTTTTAAAATTAGTAGAAACTGCATGTTACATGAATGGAACATTCTTTTTTGTTGTTGTTCTTTTTGAGACAGGGTCTTGTTCTATCACCCATGCTGGAGTGCAGTGGTGCAATCATAGCTCACTACAGCCTCGAGCTCCTGGGCTCAAGTGATCCTCCCACCTCAGCCTCCTGAGTAGCTGGGACTACAGGCACACACCACTGCACCCAGCTAATTTCTGTATTTTTTTGTAGAGATGGGATTTTGCCATGTTGCCCAGGCCGGGGATGGGACATTCCTTTCACTATTCCCTACCCCCCCATATTTCTTCAGAACTTAATAATAGTTTTGTTCCTTATCAAGAACCAAGTTCATTGGTAGCCTCCCAGAAAACTGGATTCAGTTCTAAAATGAAGAGATGGCTGGAAAACTTATCGAATGCATTTAAAAATTGGTCACCTTTTCCTCCATTTAAGAAAAGTCTCAAAATCACTTCATTATGTATAGTGTTCTTTTCTCCACCTTGCTTATCTCTGAAACACTCTTTCTCGGCTTTGGATTTAAAATTTGGTAAGAATTATTGTATCTCTCTTTGACTCTGAATATTCTTGTTGCTTTGTAAGATGTATATGTCTAAATTTCATCTCTTCACTTCACATCATGAAATCTTCCTTCTCTAGTCTTCTGTTTTAAGTCTCAGTTTGACTGTTGATAGAATGTTTCCAGTATTAACTTATAAGCTATGACTATGAGTTGATAACTGTTGTTTTAACAAAGATACAAAATTTATTCAAATAAATCTGCTTTAGTCTCCTGGGAAAGCTGGATATATATTTCTGTGATGTTGGGCTGAGAATTCTGAACTGCATTTTTATTTTTATTTTTTTATTTTTGTTTATTTTTCAAGATGGAGTTTTGCTCTGTTGCCCAGGCTGGAATGAAGTGGTGCGATCTTGGCTCGCTGCAACCTCTGTCCCCAGGTTAAAGCGATTCTCCTGCCTCAGCCTTCTGAGTAGCTGGGATTATAGGCGCCCGCCACCATGCCCAGCTAATTTTTGTATTTTTAATAGAGACGGGGTTTCACCATGTTGGCCAGGCTGGCCTCTAATTCCTGACCTCAGGAAATCCACACTCCTCGGCCTCCCGAAGTACTAGGATTACAGGCGTGAGCCATTGGGCAGGGCCGGAATGGCGTTTTTAAATTGAAATTAACTGCTGGATGCGTTCTTACTTTCTTACTAGGTAGAGTACAACATCTTTCCTTTTGCTTAGTTTATATTGTTAAAAGTATATATTTGGCATTCTGGGGTCAGAGCATTTTGCTTTGCAGCTTTTTTTTTTTTTTTTTTAACTTTTCCCACTAAAGGTTTTAAGATTACTGTAAATGTGATAAGATGAACACACACAAAAAACCTGTGAGAACCAGGATTCTCCGGGGATTTGACTGTATATTTGGAATGCTGTGAAAGGCACTGGTGGCTGTCCTAGTTCGTTTAGAGTTGCTGTATCAGAATACCTGAAACTGGATAGTTTATAAAGTAAAGAGGTTTATTTAGCACATGATTCTGGGGGTTGGAAAGTTCAGGACTGAGCATTTGCATCTGGGGAGGGCCTTAGACTGTTTTAACTCATGTTGGAAAACAGAAGTGGAAATGATGTGTGCAAAGAAACCACATGGCCAGAGAGAGAAACCAAGGAAGCCAGACTCTTCTGAACAACCCACCCTCTTGGGAATGAATCCATTCCGTGAGAGTGAGAACTCACTCCCGTGGGAAGGCATTAATCTATTCATGAGAGCTCCACCCCCATGACCCAGACACCTCCCAGTAGGCCCATAGGCCCCACCTCCCACCGCTGCCACAGTGGGGATCAAATTTTAACATGAGTTTTGGTGGGGACAGACCAAACCACAGCAGTGGTCTTGCCAGCGTGTACATGATAATGGCATTTCCCCCCCTATCCTGGGAAAGGAATTACTGCACGGACCTTAGAAAGCAGATAAACCACTCTGTAAGAAATTAGGTATTTTCTTCTTAGAATCAATTCAGTTCAGTGTTACTGTTCTCTTTTATGTGTTAGACCCTGTGTTAGATACTGTGGAGTGACAGCAAAGCAATGTAAAACCTCCCTCGACTATTGAAACAGCCACCAAAGAGGTCAACTTCCTGCCTCCTGCCTCTCTCCATTCCTTCTCATTTTCTACTCCCGTGCCAGAGTTTATAGCTTTCCAAAAAAAAAAAAAAAAAAAGTAGTAGTGTTTGGCTCCTCATTGCCTCCAGGGCAAAGTCCAAATTCCTTAACATTGCATAGAAGACCTTTTCTCATCGGGCTCTAGTCTCCTCTTGTTCCTGAACCAAACCTTCCATAGAAACACATTTCCCTGAATGCATTCTGCCTCTCAAACATGTCTTTACACATGTTCTTTCTATAGAATGATCTACTCCCTAGTTACTCCTTCTTGTCTTCCCATCACAGTGTCTTCATAACGCTATTCACATTATTTATTTCCTTGTCTTTGCTGCTGCCAAAGATGAAAGGAGGGATCTCAATCATTTCCATTCCAGGGCCTGGCACAAAGCGCTTATTAAATGTTGTTTTCAGTGAATGATGCAGAGTAACCTCCTTAAAGGATCTTATAATTTAATGAGGAGGGAAGATGATCAGAGGGCCGAAAGTCACTAACATGTGTCTGAATGGAAATAGTGTATTATTCAGCTAAATTCTGCAGTTTCCCTTGACCAGACATAGAACAAATATAAATCTGTCCAGTTTTAGTTGCCCCATAGCTTAGTGTTTGGTGACATTTCTCAGTGCACTGTGGTGCTATTTTGTATGCTGCTGTTCTTTGTCAATGAAGCTCCAAGCAGAGGGCTTGTGAATACGGAGCTAAGGTTTGTTGCAATGGGGAAGAAATATGAGTCAATTAGTGATGAAAATGAGAAAATGCACTGTTCGATATCATAGGCATGATCTTGTCAAATTGAAAAAAGTTCTCTTTACACTGTGAGACCATTCTGTCTTTTGTTATTATATGCATACTTCTCTCTCTTTGATTAGAGTCATTTTTTTTCCCTCCCAGCCAGTTAACATGTTCATAAACAGAGGTCCTTCTAACTCAGTTACCTTTTGTAATGCCCATAGGAAAATGCTCATTTTGGGGTTAAAATCTTATCGTCTCCCCTGCTTCCATCTCAGTTTCTTTACCTTACCAGAAAATTAGGTAATTATCTGTTAGATTTAAAATGTGAGGATCAGATTTAACTCCTGAAATAAGGAGAAGGGTGTAGATGATTTTGTTTATTCTTATAGCAAATTTAGCTTTATTGTAGAATTACTTTATAATAATTTACTAATTGGGATTTTTTTCTCCGTTTTATGTGTTTTCAATAAAAGCAGTTCTTGATGTTGACAGTGAAAATTTTGCTGGTGGCTAACTTGGGTTTTGTCTGTTGAAAAAGATCTTCATTTTTCTCTTGATTCTTAAAAGCTATTTTTGCTGGGTAGAGAATTCTAGGTTAGCAGTTATTTTCTTGAAGATATTTCTGTCTTCAAATCTTCACTGTGGCATTTCAGAAGTTGGTCACTCGTACTTGGAAAGTAATCTTTCCTTTTTCTGTGGCTGCATTCAATATTTTTATCTTTGTATTTCACTTTCTGCAGTTTCACTGTGAAGTAACCAGGTGTGTATTTCTTTTCATTTATCCTGTTTGGGCTTTTTGAAGTGCATTACTGTCTTCGAAGCCATTCATTACTGTCTTTGTTTTGTGTTGCTATAACACAATACCACAGGCTGGGTAACTTATAAATAAAAGAAGTTTATTTCTTACAGTTCTCGAGGCTGGGTAGTCCAATATCAGGGTGCTAGCATCTGGCAAGGGCCTTCTTGTGGCGTCATTCCATAGTGAAAGATGGAAGGGCAAGAGAACATGTGTGAGAGAGAGAGCAAGAGATTGAACTCACAGCCTCGAGCCCTTTTTTAATGTCATCAATCCATTCATGCGAGTAGAGCCTTCATGACCTAAATATCTCCCATGAGGTCCACCTCCCAGCACAGTTGCATTGAAGATGAAGTTTCCAACATTTACTCCTTGGGGTGCACATTCAAGCCACTGCAATCACTGTTGAAAATTCGGAGCCGTGACCTCTTTCACTGTTGTTTTTGCCTCATTCCCTCTCTCTCCCCTCTTTTTGGTACTCAGTGAAGCTCAAGTTAGAGTTTATGATTGCAATGGTTCATTCTGCTTTCCTTTTAAAATTTCTTAAGGTAGAAGCTTAGATGCCTGATTTGCAACTTTTTTCTTTTCTAATAAAAACATTTAATCTTATAAATTTCATTCTAAGTTTAGCTGAATCTCACAAACTTTTTTTTTTTTCTTTCAGTTCAAAATATTCTCTAATTTCCTTTGAGACCTTCCCTGTCACCCATGGATTATTTAGAAGTGTGATGTCTACTATCCAAGTGTTTGAAGATTTTCCTGTTATTTTTTCACATTGCTTTCTAGTTTAATTCCATTATGGTCAGGAACATACATCGTATGACTCTAGTCCCTTTCAGTTTGCTACGATTTCTATTATAAATGTTCCATTTTGTACTTGAAAAGAATATGTACACTGTTGTGGTTGAATGGAGTATTCTATAAATGTCAGTTTGATCCCGTTAGTTAATGGTGTTCAGTTCTTCTATATATATCCTTGCTGACTCTGTCTACTAGCTCTGTCAATTGCTGATTAGAGTTTTTACGTCTCCAGCTGTAATTTTAGATTTGCCTCTTTCAATTCTGTCAGTTTTTGCTTTATGTATTTTGATGCTCTATTGTTAGGTACAAACACATATAGGATTGTTATATCTTCTTGGTGAATTGACCCTTTTATTATTATGTACTGTCTTTCTTTATCTCCCACACTTTTCTTTCTCTGAAGTTGAATATTAATATAGCCATTCAGGCTTTCTTATGATTAGTGTTTGCATGGCATATCTTTTCCTCCCATGTGAGTTGCAATTTCGCTGGTTCTTTATATGCTGAGTAATTTTGGATTTTATCCTTGACATTTTGGTTATTATGTTCTGAGACTCTGTGTCTTGTGTAAATACTGTGGAGAATATTGACGCATTTGTTTAGCAGGCATTGACCTAGTTGAGCTCAGGGCATGTGTTCTGTTCTAACTAGCCTTTTGCGGGTTGTGGTTTCAATGTCACTTGTTTTCAAAACCTTTGCAGTGCTATTTGTTACCTGTCTGTATTTTACCAGGTGGCCACCTGGAGCCTGGTTGGTGGTTTACCCCATGATTTAGGCGTCCTGGTCATTTGTAGGTGAAAGTTGTTCACAGTAGACCAAGGTTTGAGATTTTCTTGGTCACTCAGCTGAGGTGAAGCTGGGCTGCTGTCTGAACTTGTACCCTCAAGGTGCTGCCCCTTTGAAGGTTAGCCCACACTGATAGGTAATGCCCCAGGACCCCATTCTTGGAAGTTAAAGGACTCCAGCCCTCATCCTCCAGACTCTAAAAGGACTCCTTTCAGCAAATGTGACCCTAGGGCCAAAAAAGCAGCTGGACATCTGGGTTTTCTCCAGGCTCAGGCACTGATCTCAGGCTTCTAGACTTCAGAACTGTGAGACGATACATTTCTGTTGTTTAAGCCACTGAGCAGATGGTACTTTGTTATGGCAGCCCTAGCAAACTAATGCTAAGTGCGCAATTCTCATCTCCCCCAGGCCCCCGTGGCTAAGTTGAGATCTTTAAGAAAACATATTCTTTTAGGTCCTTAAATTTAACTTCGAGTACCTAGTCCATTGCCTGTGCATAGGAAGTAGGCACTTGATAAATACTCACTGGTGTTTCTGCTGTGATGGAAAATTTATGTCCCTGAAAAACCATACATTCTGCACAACAATACACTAAAAATAATAAGTGTCTTGTGGGAAAAGTAAGATTATAGCTGGTCTCTCAAAATCATTGCAACTTGGTAACTACTAGCAAAAACCATAATTGCTACCTTAAGAGATTATCTGGACCACCCAAGCAGGCATCTCAGTGTGGCTGGATGTTGCTAAAATGGATACTAAAATATACAAAAAAACAGTCCGCCTGCGGTGGCTCACGCCTGTAATCCCAGCACTTTAGGAGGCTGAGGTGGGTGGATCACCTGAGGTCAGCAGTTCAAGACCAGCCTGGCCAACATGGTGAAACCCCGTCTCTACTAAAAATACAAAAATTAGCCGGACATGGTGGCGCATGCCTGTAATCCCAGCTACTCGGGAGGCTGAGGCAAGAGAATCTCTTGAACCTGGGAGGCGGAGGTTGCAGTGAGCCGAGATCGCGCCATTGCACTCTAGCCTGGGTGACAGAGTGAGACTCCATCTCAAAAGTAAAATAAAATAAAATAAAATAAAATAAACAAAAACAGCAACATGGAAACCTGGCAATGCTTGAATTGGTACATGGGCGGTGGATGTTGAGACAGTGCACACAGAAGTGGAACTCTGAGCCCTGGGCCTCCTGTGATAGTGGCCATTGATGGAGCCAGTGCAGGTAGCCAAACTGAGGGAGCCTCTGGCTGGCTGTGGGTGCGCTGTCTGGGGAGTGGGACCCAGCTGTAGGCTGTTTGACAGCGTGGCATAAAATAATTTTTTGCATGAAACTTTTAGTCATGAAACTGCAAAACTGCTTGGGACTTGGGTGCCATTTCTAAAGGGCTCTGACAATTTGGCAATGATTTAATGTCATTATAGGGTGGTTGCTTTGTTCTTAAAATACAGCTTCTTGCTAAGGCCAAGTTAGGTGACAGTTTTTTTTTTTTTCCTTTTCTTGCCTAAGATTTTCATTTCACTCCCTCCACTTTTTTGCTTAGGAAACTCTCAAATGAATCAGTGTGACTTCCATGCTATAAGATGTCACTGCTACTTACCAATCAAACATGAGCTCATCTGTGTTACAGAAGCAGAACAGAACAGATGGTATTTGAATTAAGTTGAATTCCCTTTTGTACTGCTTATATTCATTTGTTAGTCTCCTGGGCTTATGATAAATTCAAGTGACTTCAGATGTATTGAGTTAGCCAGAGCTGTATATTTAAAATTACCTGTGGAGTTATTTAAAATTACCTGTGGAGTTATTTAAAATTTAAGTTGATATATATTGCCCTAAACTTGTTCAAAATTTGAATTAATTCATTGAAACATTCAAAAATTGAGTGTTTTCAATTAATAGAGACATTCTCTTTGTGATATAGAAAGCTATTCGTTGTTCTTGTTGACTTTTCTTTCTTACAGAAGAGGTTGTTTATAAATTTTTAGTGTGATCCTAATTGTATTTCTAATATTTTTGGTTTGGTTCCCTAAAATAGTTAAGGTCACTTTTAGGTAACAATTAGCGGACTTTAATTTTGACCATATATAGTTACACACACATCACGCACACACACAAATACAGTTTCAAATAATTTCTTTTAATTGATTTCAGTCTTGTTAATCTTGTGCGTAAATTTCAACTGAGCTATTAATGACACCTACGACTGACTTTCATTATTTGTTAGTTTTGAAAATTCAAATTAATATATTACAACATAGAAAGTCTATCAAATCTTGAACATTTAGATTGTAAAGCTTTTTGTTTTAGCAAATTTACTTATGATCAATTTATAATTGAAGAATTGGCTTCTAATCCCATATATAGTTTTTTAAAATTGAAATTATATATATATAGAAAAGTGCATATATAGAGTGCCATACTTTGTCATAGGTTAAGTTTTCTAAATAAGGAAAGTGTCTTAAAGAGAAACTCTTTATACAAGGAGGAAAGTAGTCATAAACTATTCTTAGTTTGGCATAAAATGATTTTTTTTTTTTGCATGGAAATTATAGGCGTAAAACTGCAAAAATTGCTTAGGACTTGGGTGCCATTTCTATAGGACTCTGGCAATTTGGCAATAATGTAATGTCATTATAGAGTGGTTGCTTTGTTGCATTTTATTGACTTTTTAGTGATAAATTCCAGGAGAATCTTTATTTTCCAGGATAAAACTCAATGTGGCGTTAATCCTTTCCATTTTCTCACCTCCTTTGTGTAGCTAGAGCTGAAAGCAAAGTAGGAGAGTGGCTTTGAAAAGGAAGGAAAATAAATTTGACAATGATCAAAAACGCCAGGCTGAAGGCAGCTTTTAATGTGATTAACCAGTTTGTAATTCATTTTTGGGAAACATTTCCAGAATATAACAATTTCAGAGAACACGAAACCTTCTTATAATTCTGGAAGTGGGAAGGAGAGAGGAACAGTGTGTGTTTTTGTGTGTGGCTTGCATTCTCTCCTCCGTTTTTGGAGCAGCGTGAGATTATTGCAATGCTACATTTCCTCCCTCTGCGCCCTCCTACCCCATCAATGTCTCATGGGTGGTGTGATATAGGCTATGGGAGTGAAGACCACTGGTGTTAGTCTGTGTATAGTTCCTGGGGTGTGGCGAGTACCAGCTCTGACAGCGGAAGAGAACTATACTGTTGATTCCCATTATTCTCAGTAGGTGTGTTCTATAAAATTGCTGCGAACACCAAATTAGCGAATCCTGAACCATCGTTCCCAGAGGAATAGGGGGTTAGGGTCCTGTGATCCTCAAGTTGCAACATTGTCTTCGACTGATTAATATGTAACCTTGTTTTATGTGTGCTTCTGTTTAAAGATACCTTACTCACTATATATCGTGGATTCATTAACATTGAACTCACAACGAACAGCACTGCCACTCGTGCCTGAACAAAATTTCCCTA
Source organism: Homo sapiens (assembly GCF_000001405.40). Lineage (NCBI taxonomy): Eukaryota > Metazoa > Chordata > Mammalia > Primates > Hominidae > Homo > Homo sapiens. Next base: position 99,092,701 of record NC_000007.14, on the reverse strand, counting down.
ATCCATGCATTTTCTTTGCAAGGCACACTGGATAGCACTTCACCACTTTGCTTGGGGACCATTCTAAACAGCACAGTCACCAACACAAAGCACAGACATGTGAAAAACATGGCACTAAATAGACCATGAAAAGACCATTTGTTGACAGTACGAGGCTGAAACGAGAAGGCGCGTTGTTGCCTGGTTTGACCTCAGCTGGGAACATGCACGTTCGATGACTCAATTTTTTTGTTGTCGTTGTTGCTCTGCAAACATCTGTGAATGACCAGGGAGGTGCCACGAGTATTGATTTTTGGGGTTACAAATACATTTTAGCAAGTAGGTGAATTCACAAATACAGAATCCAGGAATAATGAGAATCAGCCATACTCGAAAGACTAGAATTGGAGTCTGTCTCAGTTTCCATATTTATAAAATGGGTATAAATATGACACACACTGGAAGTTTGTGAATATCAATATGGAAAGGTTAAATGAGTAAAGCTTTCATTGTATTGCCAGACCTTTGAGTCCTCGATAGGTGATAGTGGTGTTAGTAGTAATTATTAAGACAAGTTAAAAATAATAGCAGCTATCTTTATTTGATACCTATATCATTGCTCGCAATAACCCTGAAAAGTAGGAAGTATTATCTGTATGGCACAGATGAGAACATTAAGGACCAGAGAGGTTGAGTAATTTGGCCCATCCATCACCCATCTGGGAAATAGCCAAACCGGACTTTGAACCCAGGATTTGATGACTTCAAAATCCATATCTTTTGGTCTGGTGCAGTGAATAAAGATTATGTCTGGCTTCAGGTCCCAGATGATGAAGTTGGGATTGATATTAGGCTGGTGCAAAAGTAATTGCACCTAATGCATCCAGGTGAGGGCAGAAAGTAGTTAGGGCAAGAGGAAAGCCATGTGGGGAAGGTTAGACTTGCTGCCCAGAGCTGGAGACATTAGGGCAGAGTAATCCAACTGACTAATCTTGGGATGAAAAGACGTTTAAAAAAAAATTATAAGACTAGGGTAGAAGCCAGAGGGGGCTAGAACGAGAATAAAGCTTTAGCTAGGAACCATCTGGAAAGAGGGTCTGGGCAAGGAACATTTTGTTTGTGAGGGAGGTGGTGAATTAGAGGCTCCTTGGTTTCAGATACTCCCGTCCACCATCTTTCTAGCTGTCCACACCTTCCCTTTTCCCCTCTTAACTGTTGTGTAGAGATTATTCTGAGCTAAGGCAGAGCAGTCTTGTGAATGCCCAGACCCTGAGAGAGACATGTAAGTTTCCTATCATTTTTCTACTTGTTATTCTGCACATATTTGTTGGTAGACTACAACGTAGCAATTTCAGAGGAATGCTTCATGGTGTTCTTGTGGAGTGATTATTTCTTACATCTGGTTCAAGTTTCATGGGTATGCATTGCATGAATTTTACCAAATTGTGTGTGTGTGTTTCAGATCCGCATAAATAAATCAGTAGTCAAAAGTAAGGGTAGTGTTTTTGGGAATATATTTTTCTTACTTTTGTGGGTCCCCAAGAAGTCAGTCCACTGATTTTATGTATATATGCACTCACTACTACTGTACATCTGGAGTAGAGGCTGGCAAGCTTCTGAAATGCTCAGATAGTAAATATTTTATGCTTTGCAGGCCATGTGGCCTCTATTACAACTACTCAACTCTGCTGTTGTTGTAGCCATGGATACTGAGTAAACTGATTAGTGTGGCTGTGTTCCAATAAAACTTTATTTACAAACACAGGCAGTAGCTTGCCAACCCCCTAACTAGAGCGTAGCTGTCACTTTGAGACCTGAGTAACTTCTCTGTAGGATTACACCCTTGCAAGAATTCTGCCCGCAGCATTTCCGAGTTTGCATTATAACCTTGTGGGCAGGGCAGTGAAAGTACTGTTATATAGGAAAGTTACCGTCTCCTAGGAATTTTGTTTTAAGAAAAAGATTCTAATACTAAAGTATGACATTTGTTGAATATTTTTTATTGGCAGTAGGAAAGGAAAATTGAAATTACATACAGGAACTCCAAAAGCTTGCTCGTGCTCATTTTTCTTCTATTACAGATTGAACATTTAATGATAAATGTGGGTGGGGGGATTTAATATTTCAGAACAGAAGGCAGAGATTAATTTTATTTTGCCCCCTAAAATGTAATACATTTTCTCTCTCTTCTTGCCCCCTGCCCTGCCCTTTCCCACTCCTCCTCTCTGTCCCTTTGCTGGGATAGGGAAATTGACTGTAAGGGGATTATGGGTCTATGTGGGAGGGAGAGATAAGAGGGTCTCAGCAAAATGCCACCTTCCAACCCTGCTATCGCTGTAAGCAGTAGGGAAAGGAAGGGGTAGGTTTATAGCTCCCAACCCATGATCAACTAGTTCTACTTCCTTGATTGTTTGATCATGGTCAATCTGTAGAGGATCCATTTCTGAAGAGCTTTGTTTAAAACGGCCCCTTCTCTAAACACCTTAGAGTTTTGCACCCAGTGCCCCGGATCACCCGCTGGAGGCCACAGAGGACAAACGCTAGTTGCAGTGTTTGTGAGCTGCCTTTGCTGAACAGTAGTGCGCGTGGGAAGCATCAGCAATTATCCACCTGTTTCTCACCATCCCTTTCCAAACTGACTTTTACTCATTCATGGCCATGGAGATATATTTGCCAGTCTTTGTCAATTCATCAGTTTTTTTCCAGGAAGTCCTTTTCTTTTAAATGCTATCATATGAAGGCTGCCCTTGCTTTAAGCATTTTTGATTGTTCTTATTAAAATGAAGAATAACCCCTTCCTTCTCTCCTACCCCACACTCCTTGGAGGTTTAAGTGAGCAGAAAATGGTAGTACGATAAAAGATCCATGTAGGTGGGTTTGCAGAAAAGTTAATCCAAGATAAGTAACAGATTGAAAATGTAGGCTTCTGACTATGCTAGTGCAAACCGAGTTAAATGGATCGATTAGAGTTTACTTTCCAATATGATTTTGATGAATGGTGTAACATTGTGAAAGGCTTTTTGAAGACAAAACCACTAACCCGTTGTATTGTTTTGTTTTGTTTTGTTTTGTTTTGTTTTAAGAGACAGGGTCTCGCTCTGTTGCCCAGGCTGGAGGGCAATGGTATGATCATGGCTGACTGCAGCCTGGAACTCCTGGGCTCAAGTGATTCTCCCACCTCAGCCTCCTGAGTAGCTGGGATTACAGGCACACACCACCACACCCAGCTAATTTTTGTATTTTTTTTGTAGAGATGAGGTTTCACCATGTTTCCCAGGCTGATCTCGAACTCCTGGGCCCAAGCGATCCTCCTGCCTCGGCCTCCCAAAGTGCTGGGATTACAGGTGTGAGCCACTGTATTTTAAAATACAGTTTTTAAAATAAAAAAACTGTATTTTAAGGATTCAATTTGAATTTGTGTTTAGATCCATGCTAAGGCATGCATGCAATTGACACACGGACCCTGGGATATGCGGTGTCCTGTCTGACTGATTGATTGATTTCTTTCTTTTTTTTTTTTTTGACAGAGTCTCACTAGGTCACCAGGCTGGAGTGCAGTGGCACGATCTTGGCTCACTGCAACCTCCGCCTCCCAGGTTCAAGCGATTCTCCTGCCTCAGCCTCCTGAGTAGCTGGGATTACAGGCGCACGCCACCACGCCTAGCTAATTTTTGTATTTTTGGTAGAAATGGGGTTTCACCATGTTTGCCAGGATGGTCTCAATCTCTTGACCTTGTGATCTGCCCGCCTCAGCCTCCCATAGTGCTAGGATTACAGGCGTGAGCCAGCGCACCCAGCCTTTTTTTGTGTGTGTGTTTTTAGTAGAGATAGGGTTTCACCATGTTGGCCAGGCTGATCTCAAACTCCTGACCTCAGGTGATCCACCCACCTCAGCCTCCCAAAGTGCTGGGATTACAGGCATGAGCCTGATTTACAGGCACTGATTTCTGACAATACATCCTTACTATATATCCAAAACTTACCTGCCCTTTGAAACCCAGCCTGTCTCACCTCTACAAAAACAAACAAACTACCTTCCTAACCATTCCTACGATACTATTCTATTTCTGTGAATTCTTAAAATCTGCTTGAACAGCCCATTTTGACATTTGATTCTCTGTGTCAGTGTTTATTGTCTTAGATTTACCCCCTGCATGCAGAAGTGACTGCATAGTCACTACTTTTAGTGAGTTTGAAATCTGTTTGGAGAGCTATGTAAGTACCAATGGAAAAAAAAAAAGAAGTAGGTAACTTTACAGGACAGTAAAGGACAGATTGAAGAAGGGGGACGGGGGACTTGAACTAGGCCTGGAAGCGCAGGGGTAAAGGAGGTGGAGCATGTTGGTTGCCAGGGGACCCTGAGCAAAGGAGCACTTAAAAAAATGCATGAGGGGAAAGGTCATCAGTGACGTCAGTAGTTCGATCCAAGGGGAGTTTGTACTCTTTTTAATTTTTTTTTTTTTTTGAGACAGAGTCTTGCTCTGTTGCCCAGGCTGCAGTGCAGTGGCACGATCTCGGCTCACTGCAGCCTCCACCTAAGAAGTTCAAGTGATTCTCCTGCCTCAGCCTCCCGAGTAGCTGGGATTACAGGCGCCTGCCACCATGCTTGGCTAATTTTTTGTATTTTTAGTTGAGATGGGGTTTTGCTATGTTGGCCAGGCTGGTCTCGAACTCCTGACCTCAGGTGATCCACCTGCCTCGGCCTCCCAAAGTGCTGGGATTACAGATGTGAGCCACTGCTCCCGGCCAAATACTTTTTTTTTTTAAAGAAATTTTCATTTAGTAAATAATGCTGAGCTCAGAGGTTTATGTGTAGGAGAGTTATACAATGAAAATGTTTTATTCATTTATCCAACAAATAATTATTTCATGATTAAAAGGAATTAGAGAAAAGAGATGCCAGAGCCTATTGTACTCATCCAGACATGAGATAAGAGTTGCCTGGACTTGAGCAGTGGCAGCGGGGCTGGAAAGAATGGACCTAAAAGATAGCACAAAAGATGGATTGATAGCGTCGGAGGAGTCATTTAATGTGCGCGGCAGAAGCGATCAGCCTTGCACTATCGTTGCTTTTCTTGCTGATGCATTTTTGTCTATCTAGCTAAACTCTAAACTCTTATGCCCAGACACTACCTTTTATACTCCTTTTACAATAGGTGCCATTGTCGTTTTATTCTTGTTTAAATAATTTATTTAAAATGTATTGTTCCGCAGAGCATGGCATTTTAAACACCGACTTAACATCCTCTAGTAAGATAATGCTAAGACTTATAAGAAGCAAATGCCACTTCTGTAAGTCTTCAAATCACTCTTGTGTTTAATTTTTTTTGTTTGTTTTAAGACAGGGTCTTTCTCTGTTGCTCAGGCTGGAGAGCAGTGGTGCACTCATAGCTTATTGAAGCTTTGACCTCCTGGGCTCAAGCAGTCCTCCCACCTCAGCCTCCCAAGTAGCTGGGACCATAGGCATATGGCACCATGACTGGCTAATTTTTTTAAAATTAAAATTTTTTTTTTTTGTAGAGATGGGGTCTTGCTATGTTGCCCAGGCTGGTCTCAAACTCCTGAGCTCAAGTGATTCTTCCCCCTTGACCTCCCAAAGTTTTGGGATTATAGGCATGAGCCACTGCACCCAGTACATTTAATTTTTTTTGAGATGAAATTGAAATACCATAAACTTAACCCTTTAAAGTGCATAATTTAGTATTTTCCGTATATCCACAGAATTGTACACCATCACCCTCTAATTTCAGAATAGTTTCATCACCCGAAAAAGAAACCCCACATATTTCAGCAGTCACTCCCTATTCCGCTTATTCTGAGTCCCTGGCAACCACTAATCTACTTTCTTTATATATAGATTTGTCTATTCTGGACATTTCCGATAAATGACATTGTGCATATGTGGTCCTTTGTATGTGACTTCTTTAATTTAGCACATTATGTTCTAGGTGCACTTACGTTGGAGTATGGATTAATACTTCATTCTTTTCATGGCTGAATAATATTCCATTGTGTGGATTTGCTGCGGTTTGTTTATCCATTCATCAGATGATGGACGTTTGGGTTGTTTCTGCATTTTTGCTATTCTGAACAATGCTGCTATGAGCATTCACATGTAAGATTTTGTGTGACCATATGTTGTCACTTTTCTTTGGTATTTTACATAGGGGTAGAATTGCTGGATTTTATGGTAACTCCACGTTCAACATTTTGAACAACTGCCAACTTGTTTTCCAAAGTGGTGGCACCATTTTACATTGCCACCATCAATGTAGGAGTGTTCCAGTTTCTCCATATCCTTGCCCCTCTGTATTTTTTTTTTTTTTTAACTATCTTAGGTGGGAAGTGGTATTTCTTTCTTTCTTTTTTTTTCCTTTTTGAGAGAGTCTCACTCTGTTGCCCAGACTGGAGTGCAATGGTGTGATCTTGGCTCAATGAAACTTCCGTCTCCCAGGTTCAAGTGATTCTCCCACCTCAGCCTCCCGAATAGCTGGGATTACAGGTGTGTGTCACCATGCCTGGCTAATTTTTGTATTTTTAGTAGAGACGGAGTTTCACCATGTTGGCCAGGCTGGTCTCGAACTGCTAACCTCAGGTGATCCACCCACCTCGGCCTCTCAAAATGCTGGGAATACAGGTGTGAACCACCACGCCTGGCCGTGGAAAGTGATATTTCATACTAGTCTTGATTTGCATCTGCCTGATGGCTAATGATGTTGACCATCTTTTATGAGCTTTATTGACCATTTGTTTATCTTCTTTGGAGAAATGTCTGGTCAGATCCTTTGCCTATATTTTAATTGGCTTATTTTGTCTTTTTATTGCTGATTTGTAAGAATTGTAAGTGAAAGAAGTCAATCTGAAAAGGATATATACTATATGATTCCAACTATGTGACATTCTGGAAAAGGCAAAACTGTAGAGACAGTTAAAAGATTGGAAGTTGCCAAGGGGACGGGGAGAATAACGGGTAGAGTACAGAGGATTTTTTAGGGCAGCGAAACTATTCCGTGTGATACTATAAGGGTGGCTACATGTCATTCTACATTTGTCAAAACCTATAGAATGTACTGCACCACGAGTGAACCCTAATGTAAACTATAGACTCTGTATGATAATGATGTGTTCACATAGGTTCATTGAGTATGATAAATGCAGCGCTCTGGTATAAGATATTGATAATGGGTGTATTAGTCTGTTCTTGCACTGCTCTAAAGAAATACCTGAGACTGGGTAATTTATAAAGAAAAGAGGTTTAATTGGCTCATGGTTCCACAGGCTGTACAGGAAGCATGACGGCTTCTGAGGAGGTCCCTCCCAGGAGACTTTCTTTTTCTTTTCTTTTCTTTTCTTTTTTTTTTTTTTTTTTGAGATGGAGTTTCACTCTTGTCACCCAGGCTGGAGTGCAATGGCTTGATCTCGACTCACTGCACTCTCCACCTCCTGGGTTCAAGCGATTCTCCTGCCCTAGCCTCCTGAGTAGCTGGGATTACAGGCACCCACCACCATGCCCAGCTAATTTTTTTGTATTTTTAGTAGAGACGGGGTTTAGCCATGTTGGCCAGGCTGGTCTCGAACTCCTGACCTCAGGTGATCCACCCACCTCGGCCTCCCAAAGTGCTGGGATTATAGGTGTGAGCCACCGTGCCCGGCCACCAGGAAACTTTCAACCATGGTGGAAGGTGAAGGGGAAGCAGGCACGTCTTACATGGCCAGAGCAGGAGGAAGAGAGAGAACGAGGAGGATGCTAGTTGCTACACACTTTGAAACAACCAGATCTTCTGAGAACTCACTATACAGTACCAAGGAGGGTGGTGTTAAATCATTCATGAGAACCCCACCCCCATGATCGAATCACCTCTCACCAGGCCTACTTCCAACACTGGGGATTACAATTTGACATGAGATTTGCGGGGGGACCCATACCCAAACCATATCAGTAAGGGTAGCTGTGCATTTGGTCGGGGAGGGAGTATAGAGGATTTCTGGATACCTTTTGCTCGATTTTGTTGTACTAAAGCTGCTCTAAGAAATAAAGTCGGCTGGGTGCGGTGGCTCACACCTGTAATTCCAGCACTTTGGGAGGCCGAGGTGGGTGGATCATGAGGCCAAGAGATTGAGACTATCCTGGCCATATATTCACGGGCTATTGATGTTTATTTTCTGTGAGCTAGTTCTTGATATCTAGTTCCCTGATTCTTCCCCAAGAAAAATTCCGTAAATATTTTAACAGAATTGCATTAAATTTCTAGATTAATTTGGAAAGAACTGATGTTTATGTTGCATCTTTTTATCCAAGAACTTGTTAGGTTTTTCCATTTGTTCAACCCTCGGGCGGATCACGAGGTCAAGAGTCGGAGGTTGCAGTGAGCTGAGATCGCGCCACTGCACTCCAGCCTGGTGACACAGCAGGACTCCATCTCAAAAATAAATAAATATCAATTAATAAATAAAAAGTCTACTTAAAGAAATAATTCAAGGTAATATAGATTTATGTGTCAAAGGCAGGAAGTACTTAAGCAGTGTAGAGAAAGGAGAATCATTGTTGGCTCTAGACATTGGAGAGGAGATAGGATTTGAGCAGTAACCTGAAGAATGACTAGGATTTCAGAAGTCACTGGACAGTGAGTGGTTCAATGTGTGCAGTCTTGGACAAGTAATCTGTTAGACTGATAGTTTCTTCACACAGTTTGTGGAGGAAATACAGGAGATAATGTAGGGGAAGTGCTTAACACAGAGTCAGGCATACAATATCAAGTGGCGCTCATCAGCAAATATCGATCAAGTGCCTACTATGTGCTGTGCACTCCTGTGGAGCCCACATTCTAGCTGAAATATTGGCTGGATGTTATCGAAAGGGGGCAGCCAACATGCAACACAAAGAAAGACCCAAAAGTAAACATTTCCATGTCCTGGTCTGTGAACCATTAAACAAACCATATTTGAATGATAAGGTTGCCAAAGTAGATCAAGAGAAACTGCATTTTGGGGGGGTTTGAAATCCAAAGAATGCAGTTTGTAGGCAGTCGAGATCCTTGAAAAATCAAGATGGATTTTAATAATGTATTAAGAATAAATTGGATTTGAATCAACACAGGAAACAGGGATTTTACTTAGAGACTACTTCAGTAATTTTGAAATCATTGCCCAAGATTGTAGTTGGTTTGTTTATAATGGGTAGGTTATTTATTTGTGAATCCCAAATGTACTCCATCAACATTCCATTGAATAATTTACAAAAGCAAACAGCAGGGGTTTATGTTTTCTCTTCTCCTAGTTTAATATTGTGGCAGTCATATCATACTTTGTTTTAGACTAATTTAACAGGAGTTAATGTTTCCAAGTAAATCATTATTATCTAAACAGTGTCTTTTTGACATTGGCCTGAGGATGTGGAACTTTTTTCATACGGAGGTAAATGGAACAGTACAAAATGCTAAGAGTTTGTTTTATCTAGTTAACAAGGTTCTCTCTTTCATTTGGTAACATTTTTATTGAGATAACTCACATACTATAAAAGTCACCATTTTAAATGTACCATTCTGTGGTTTTTAGTGTAGTCAGAGTTGTGCAACCGTCACCACAATCAATTATAGAACATTTTCTTTACTCCCAAAAGAAACCATGTATCCCTTAGCTGTTATGCCCAGGTCCCCTTATTTCCTGTCCCCGCCCCACCATCCTATGCAAACCCTAATCTACTGAAAATAAAAAAATTTTAAAAATCTATTTTAAAATAGTATAAAAAAGCATTAATAGGAGTAAATTCAATGAAAGAAGTATAAGACCTGTACACTAAAAACTCTAAAATATCGTGGAAAGAAATGAAAGAGGACCTAACTAAATGGAAAGACAGCCATGTTCATGGATTGAAGGACTTGCTCTTGTCAAGATGGGAGTCCTCCCTAACCAGATCTGCAGATGCAGCACTGTACCTATTAACATCCCAGAAGGTGTTTTCTTGTTGTTTTTTGTTTTGCAGAATTTGACAAGCTGATTAAAATTTATCTGGAAATGCAAGAGATCTAGAATAGCTCAAACAGTCCTGAAAAAACAACAACAAAGTTGGAGACTAGCACTTCTCAATTTCAAAACTTACTACAAAGCTAAAGTAATTACGACAGAATGGTACTGACAGTAGCGTAGATATAGAGGTCAATAGAATAGACTTCGGAATCCAGAAATAAGTCCTCATATTTATGGTCAGTTGATTTTCAACAGTGATGACAAGATAATTTGACAGGGGAAATAATAGTCTTTTCAACAAATGGTCCTGGAACAAGTGGATATACACATGTAAAAGAATGAAATTGAGCTCCTACCTCAAGAACTCCTAGGAGAAAACAGGAATAAATCTTCAATACTTTGGTCTAGACATGGAATCTTAGATATGACAAACAAAGCACAGGCAACAAAAGGAAAACAGATTAATTGGATTTCATCAAAATTCAAAGCTTCTGTGCTTCAAAGGACTCTTGAAGAAAAAGAAAACTCACAGCATGGGAGAAAATGTTTGCAAATTATGTTTGAAAAGGGTCTTGTCTCTAAAATATATAAAGAACCCTTACAACTCCACAATGAAAAACAAATAACTCAGTTTAATACATGGGTAAAGGATCTGAACAGACATTTCTCCAAAGAAGGCTACCAACATGGCCAATAAGCCCATGAAAAGATGCTCAGCATCAAAGTCTCAGAGACATGCCAATCAAAACCGTGGTGAGATACCCCGTAGACTCACTAGATGGCTAAAATTAAAAAATGCGATCAGGCCAGGTGTGGTGGCTCATGCCTGTAATCCCAGCACTTTGGGAGGCCAAGGCAGGTGGATCACCTGAGGTTAGGAGTTCGAGACCAGCCTGGCCAACACGGCAAAACCCCATCTCTACTAAAAATACAAAAATTAGCTGGGCGTGGTGGCAGGCGCCTGTAATCCCAGCTACTCGGGAGGCTGAGGCAGGAGAATAGCTTGAACCTGGGAGGCAGAGATCGCAGTGAGCCTAGATTGCACCACTGCACTCCAGCCTGGGTGACAGAGCAAGACTGTCTCCAAAAAGAACAAAAACAGAAGTGAGATCATAATAAGCGGTGGCTAGAATGTGGTGAAATTGGAACTTTTATGTATTGCTGTTGGGAATGTAAAATTGTGCAGCTACTTTGGAAAACACTTTGACAGTTCCCCAGAATGTTGGACATAGAGTTCCTGTCTGATGTGGCAGTTCTATCTCTAGGCAGAATCCTCAAGAGAATTAAGTATATGTCTACACAAACCCTTGTTACATGAATGTTTATTAGTGACATCCCCGCTTCAGCCTCCCAAGGAGCTGAAACTAACAGATGTGTGTCACCATGCCCAGCTAACTTAAAACAGTATTTTTGGTAAAGATGGAATCTTGCTATGTTGCCTGGGCTGGTCTCAAACTCTTGGCTTCAAGCGATATTCCTGCCTCGGTCTCCCAGACTGCTGCGATTATAGACATGAACCACTGTACCTGACCCAAGATTTATTTTTAATTAAGAAGCAATGTATACATGCATTCTCTTTGTGGAAAGACAAAAATGCTAGGCTAAAGGCCTCCTCGTCCACCTCTTCCAAGCCTGGGATCCTCCCTGCGCCATCCTTCTCCACTCCCGGACCCCTGCCCCAGGTAACTATGATTTAATTTCTGCCCATGTTCATTGTGAGTTGGGGGTCAGGGGGAGCTGTTTTCCACCCAGTCATTCAGATATCAAGGCCGATAGGAGTTCGGTGGCTTCGGGCTTCACTGAGGCTTGGAGATCTCTTACCTGCTCCTCTGTATTGTGGTCCGGAAGTGACACACAGCACTTTTGCTAGAGAGACTCCAGTCATGTGATCCCTTGCAGGGAGCTGGGAAGTGCAGACTTCTGTTTTCCTGGAAGGACAGGAAAAGGAGATGTTGGCAGCACTGGAGGAATCTACCATCGCCTGTAATTTTGCTTGCTTTTGTTGTAGTTTCCTGGTTTCAGTGTCGGTCTCATCAACTCAGTTGGGATGGCTTCTCTTATTATTATTTTGTTAGAAGGTGGGAACAGTTTTTATAAGGTGGGAATTATCTGTACCTTGAAATCTTGATAGAGTTTTCCTGTAAAACTAGGTAGGTTTAGCCGGGCGTGGTGGCTCACGCCTGTAATCCCAGCAGTTTGGGAGGCCGAGGTGGGCTGATCACCTGAGGTTGGGAGTTCAAGACCAGCCTGACCAACATGGAGAAACCCCATCTCTACTAAAAATACAAAGTTAGCCGGGTGTAGTGGTGCATGCTTGTAATCCCAGCTACTCAGGAGGCTGAGGCAGGGGAATCACTTGAACCTGGGAGGCAGAGGTTGCAGTGAGCCGGGATCGCGCCGCTGCACTCCAGCCTCCGCAACAAGAGCGAAACTCCGTCTCAAAAACAAAACAAAACAAAACAAAAAACTTATCTAGGTTTAGTGCTTTGTTTCTTTGGGTAAATTTTTGATTACTGTTTCAACTTACAGCCATTGGTCAGGGTTTCACTACTCTTTGGCCAAATTTGGGCAATTTATACGTTCTTAGAAAATGTTTCATTCTAGCTATTGGTTTAAAGTTGGGCCTCTGTGGTGCACTGTTATGATTTATAAAATTGTTCCTTGTGGTTTTATTTTCTCCTTTTGTCTTTATTTGGGGTATCTGTGCCTTTTTTCTTTTTCTTGAGCTTACTTAAAAAGGTTTGTTCTTTTTTTTTTTTTCTTAACTAATCTTTTAAAAGAACCGGCTTCTGGTTTGACTGACAGTTGTTTCCCCTTTCATTAACCTGCACTATTATCTTTATTAATTCCTTCTTTCTGCTTTATTTATTCATCCTTGAGTTGAAAGTGTAGGTTATTCATTTTCAGTCTTTCTGGGTTTCTAGTGAATGAATAAGTCTGCATTTTAATATACAGTATTTTTTATTTTCATTTGATTGAAACAGTTTCTCATTTCTACTTTGACTTTCTCTTTAATCCAAGAGTTATTTAAAACTGTTTAAAAATTTCCAGATGTGTGGATTTATTTAGGATGTATATTTAGTGCGGATTTTTTTTTGGGGTTACATTTAGTGAATGAATGCAGACTGTTTATCAATTTGGGAGATTTGTTAAAGTCTCTTTTGTAGCTTAGTATGTAGTTAGCTTTTCTAAATTCCATGTGTGTTTGAAACGAGTATGTAGTCTCTGTTTTACGAGGAAACACTTTTATTGAGTTTCTTTCTTTCTTTCATGAGGTGACTTCTTGTAAATGTTGAATGGTTCTTGGTTCTGTGTTCATTCTTGCAGCTGGGATTTCCTGCTTCTCCTTCGAGCTGTGGGGAGGAGCTGGGGAGGAGCTGCAGGAGGGACTCTTATGCTGTGTACCGGACACGCTGTGTTCTTCAGTCACCTGCCAGCCTGCGCAGAACATGGCCCTGTGTCCCAGAGCCAGGCTTCCATACTCTGTCTTGCAGATGGAGAACGAGCCTGGTCATTACCTCCACTGGGGGGTGGGCATGGCCAAGCAATGAGGATTCCAGGCGCAGCTGCTGTGGCCACACGCCCTGCCCGAGGCATCACTCTAGTGGCCTCCTCTGGGCCTCAGCTTCCCGGCTTCCCACCTGGGCATCCCCCAAGGGTTGGTCCCACCTCCTGTAGTGGCAGTTGCCTGAGGGTGGCTGTGTCATCTGTCAATAGCGAAGATTTCCCTCTGCTCCTTTGCTTTCCATCTTTTAGGGCAGTGATCCCCAGCCTTTTTGGCACCAGGGACCAGTTTCATGGAAGACAATTTTTCCGTGGACAGGGGTGGGGGAGATGGTTTTGGGATGATTCAAGCGCATTCCATTTATAGTGCACTTTATTTCTATTATTATTACATTGCAATATATAATAATTCTACAACTCACCATGCAGAGTCAGTGGGAGCCCTGAACTTGTTTTCCTGCAACTAGACAGTCCCATGTGGGGGTGATGGGAGACAGTGACAGATCATCAGGCATTAGATTCTCATAAAAGGGTGCAACCTAGACCCCTCGCATGCGCAGTTCACAACAGGGTTCATGCTCCTATGAGAATCAAATGCTGCCCGGCTGATGTGACAGGAGGCGGAGCTAAGGCAGTAATGCCAGTTGATCAGGAGCGGCTGTAAACACAGATGAAGCTTCGCTTGCTTGCTGGCTGCTCACCTCCTGCTGTGCAGCCTGGGGGATGGGGAGGAGGGTGCAGGGGAGGGGGGGTTGAGGACCCCTGTTTTAAGGATTCCTTTTGTGAGTAGAGCTGTGTATATGTTTATCTTAAATATCTATTCTGTCATTACTATTGGTATAGCAAAGAAGAGGCAGTCCACAGCATGTGTTCAGTCTGTCAGTCTCAAACCTAATTATCTGTCAATTTTATTCAAGTTGGAAGTGTGAAATTAAGCTCTCAATTCGGTGCCACTTTTTTTTTTTTTTTTTCGCCCAGGCTGGAGTGCACTGGTATGATCTCAGCTCAACGCAACCTCTGCCTCCCAGGTTCAAGTGATTCTCCTGCCTCAGCCTCCCGTGTAGCTGGGATTACAGGCACCCACTACCACGCCTGGCTAATTTTTTTGTATTTCTAGTAGAGACGGGGTTTCACCATATTTGGCCAGGCTGGTCTTGAACTCCTGACCTCAGGTGATCCACCTGCCTCGGCCTCCCAAAGTGCTGGGATTATAGGAGTGAGTGACTGTGCCCGGCACTGGTGCCACTATTTTTTTTTTAAATAAAGACATGAAAAGCCACAAGATTTCAGATAACGAAGCAAATAACCGAGTAATAGAATGAGCCCTTTCAGGATTCTGTAAAAGCTGTTTTATTTGTGAATTAATTTTTGAAAAATTTTACCCTGAGTCTTCAAAACTTTGTATTTTTCTGTGGTTACTGACATTAGTGACATTTCTTTTTGATTTGTCCCTGTCTTCTGTAACATATTTATATTATACATCAACCTGGAAAAATTTCATATTCAGCCCTTTAGAGTTGCCTGATGGTGGAAATCACAAATGACATATTAATAATCTGAACAAAGAATAGAAAGTGAACCAGACATAGCACCAGTGCCTGTGCTTAGAAGTGGATTAAGAGGCCAGGCGCAGTGGCTCACACCTGTAATCCCAGCACTTTGGGAGGCTGAGGCAGGTGGATCATGAGGTCAAGAGATCAAGAACATCCTGGCCAACATGTTGAAACCCCATCTCTACTAAAAATACAAAAAGTTAGCCGGGTGTGGTGGTGGGCACCTGTAGTCCCAGCTACTCGAGAGGCTGAGGCAGGAGAATAACTTGAACCCGGGAGGCAGAGGTTGCACTGAGCTGAGATTGCGCCACTGTACTCCAGCCTGGCAACAGAGCGAGACTCCATCTCAAAAAAAAAATAAAAAAAAATAAAAAAAATAAAAAAAAAGAAGTGGATTAAGAATCCTAGCTACTGTCAGTTTAATCCTTTTTTAAAGTCACTAATATTTTAATATAAAAAGTAAGCTTTTACTTTTCCTCATAAATGTTTTTCATATCATCATTCTTTGCAGAAAATTTAAAGATTACAACCAGGTGAAAAGAAGAGAAATAAATTATACCATAATTTATTATTAAAGAAAGATAATTATACTGTATTAGTTGACATCATTCCAGACTCTTAAATACACATTTATCCACATACACACAATTTTACCAAAAAGAGTTTACCTCGTCACTGTTCTGTAACCTTTTTTGTTTTTTTTTTTATTATAGACATTATTTTTTAGAACAATTTTGGACTTATGGAATTATTGCCAAGGTAGGACAGACAGTTCCCATGTTACCCCTTCCGCCCCCACACGCGCACACACGTGCACACACATGCAGGCACACGCACACACATGCACGTGCACACACATACACATGGGCACACGTGCACACATGCACACTTGCACACATGCGCACACACACATGTACATACGCATACACACGTCCAGATTCCCCAATTAACAGCATCTAACATGACTGCAGTACATTTGTTGCAATTAATGAAGCAATTTTAATACACTGTTACTAACTCAAGTCCATGCTTTCACTGTCTTATTTTTTACCTACTGACATGTTCTGTTTCAGGATCCCATCCAGGATATGACATCACATTTAGTTGTCATATTTCCTTAGGTTGCTCTTGGCTGTGACAGTTTCTTAGACTTTCCTTGCTTTTGATGATCTTGACAGCTTTGAGAAGCACTGGTCAGGTATTTGTAGAATGTTCCTCCACTGGAAGTGTTTGATGTTTGTGTCATGATTAGATTGGGATTATGCATTTTAGAGAGGAAGACCACAGAAGTGAAGTACCATTCTCATCGGGTCCTGTCAAAATTTCATGCTCTTAATATCAGCGTGACTTGTCACTGTTGATGTTGACCTTGATCACCTGGCTGAGATGGTGTTCGTCAGGTTTCTCCACTGTAAAGTTACTTTTTTTTCCTCTCTTTCCATACTGGACTCTTTGGAAGGAAGTCACTACACACAGCTCACACTTAAGGAGTAGGGGCTGGGTGTGGGGGCCCACGCCTGTAATCCCAGCACTTCGGTAGGCTGTGGCTGGAGGATCGCTTGAGCCCAGGATTTGAGACCAGGCTGGGCAACATTGCGAGACCCCATCGCTATAAAAAATAAAAAATTAGCCAGGATAAGGTAATGACCTGCAGGACACATGAAGAAGGTGACTGGGGAACTGGCCATGCTCTATTTCCTGACCTGGGTGCTAATTATATACGTGTGTTCAGTTTGTGAGAATTCAGTGAGCTGTACACTCAGATATTTATAAATCAATCATAAACATCAATAGACAGAATAGAAAGTCCAAATATAGACCCATGTCAACTGATGTTCTTCAAAGGTGCCAAGACAATTCGATGATGGGGAAAAAAAGATAGCCTTGTCTAGACTGGAAAATAGGAAATCCAGCCAGAATGAATGGGATATCCTTATGAAAAAAGAATAATAATAAGTCTCAACCCTTACCTCACATCATACACAAAAATTGACCTGTGTGTGATACTCTGAGCTGTTGTTACACATGACACTGATGACACCTAATGTGTGGGTTTTTTTTTTTTTTCCCCACATCAATCCCAATTCTGATGCTAACTGGCTATTCTACAGTTCGATTCAATCCCAACGCTTAATTCCCCAGAATTAGCAAAGACCCCACAGGTTAAGGGCTCAGTCCCACAAGACTACTCCTACCTTATCCATGAGTTGCAAATCAAAGGTTGTCACCTATATTTCTGACTAATAAATAAATCGGGGGTTCCCTTTGCAGGTTCAGTAATTTGCTAGAGGCCTGTAATCCTGTAATCCCAGCACTTTGGGAGGCTGAAGCAGGCAGATCACTTGAGGCCAGGAGTTCAAGCCCAGCCTGAGCAACAGACTGAGATTCCAGCTGTACAAAAAATTAAACAAAATGAGCCAGGCTTGGTGGCGCATGCCTGTAGTCCCAGCTACTTGGGGAGGCTGAGGTGGGAGGATCGCTTGAACCTGGGAGGTTGAGGCTGCAGTGAGCTGTGATTGTGCCACTGCACTCCAGCCTGGGTGACAGAGTGTAGACCCTGTCTCAAAATAATAATAATTTGCTAGAATGTCTCCAGGAGTCAGGAAAACACTACTTACTACTGCTACTTCCACCTCCTTGCTAGCACTTAGTATTGTCAGTCTTTTTAATTTTAGCAATTCTAGTAGGTATGTGGTGGTACCTTACTGTGGTTTTCATGTGCATTGTGCATTGTACCAATGATTATTGATACTGAGCATGTTTTTCTGTGCTTATTGGCCATGTGATGTCTTTTTTGGTAAGGTGTCTATTTAAAAGTTAATTTTAAAAATTTTTATAGAGATAGGGTCTCACTGTTTTGCCCAGGCTGATCTTGAACACCTGGACACAAGTCATCCTCCCACCTTGGCTTCCCAGTGTTGGGATTACAGTTGTGAGCTGCTGTGCTCAGCCAAATATCAATTTTTTAATTGGATTGGGTTTTTTTTTTAAATTGAGTTGTAGAGTTCTTTATTCTAGATGCAGGTCTTTTGTTGGTCATATGGGTTGTTAATATTTTCTCCCAGTCTGTCTCTTGCCCTTTCATTTTCCTAATGGTATCTAGTTTTTACGTTATTGTATTTAATTTTTATGTTTCTGCTCCGTTTGAGGCCAATTTTTGTGTATGATGTGAGGTAAGGGTTGAGACTTATTATTATTCTTTTTTCATAATGATATCCCATTCATTCTGGCTGGATTTCTTATTTTCCAGTCTAGACAAGGCTATCTTTTTTCCCCCATCATCGAATTGTCTTGGCATCTTTGAAGAACATCAGTTGACATGGGTCTATATTTGGACTTTCTATTCTGTCTATTGATGTTTATGATTGATTTATAAATATCTGAGTGTACAGCTCACTGAATTCTCACAAACTGAACACATGTATATAATTAGCATCCAGGTCAGGACATAGAGCATGGCCAGTTCCCCAGTCACCTTCTTCATGCGTCCTTCAGGTCATTACCTTATCCTGCTAAAGGATAATCACTAGCCTAACTTTAACAGCATATATTAGTTCTGTCTGCTTTTGTACTTTATATAAGTGGCATTGTATGAAATGTATTGTCTTGTGGCTTTCATTGAATATTATGTTTGTGAGATTCATTCATAAATGTGTGTGTTGTTAGGATCTGCCATTCTCATTGCTGTATAGTATTCCATTTTGTGATGACCACAACTTTTTTATTGTTTGTATTGTTGATGGACATCTCAATGGTTCTCAGTTCCAAAACTGAGTACAATCAAACAGTACAATCAATAAAAGAACTATTAGGAACTGTGCTACTATTATTTATTATCCTTTTACTACATGGTGAGCATGTATCTGTGCATTTGCATTGAGGACATACCTAAGGGTGAAATTGCTGGGTCATGACCAATTTTTTTTTTTTTTTTGAGATGGAATCTCACTCTGTCACCCAGGCTGGAGTGCAGTGGCATGATTTTGGCTCAGTGCAACCTCAGCCCCCTGGGTTCAAGCGATTGTCCTGCCTTAGCCTCCCAAGTAGCTGGGATTATAGGTGCATGCCACCATACCCAGCTAATTCTTTATATTTTTGGTAGAGACGGGGTTTCACCATGTTGGCCAGGCTGGTCTCGAACTCCTGACCTCATGTGATCCACCTGCCTTGGCCTCCCAAAGTGCTGGGATTACAGGCGTGAGCCACTGTGTCTGGTTGATTTTTTTTTTTTTTAAGTTTTAAATGATCTTATGAATCTATTGTTAGCTACATCGACTGGAAACGTTTAATGTTGTGACAAATTTTTTCTTTTTTTTTTTTTTGAGATGGAGTCTCACTCGTTGCCCAGGCTGGAGTGCAGTTGCGTGATCTGGACTCACTGCAACCCACGCCTCCCAGGTTCAAGCAATTCTCCTGCCTCAGTCTCCCGAGTAGCTGGGATTACAGGTGCCCAACACCAGGCCCAGCTAACTTTTTTTGTATTTTTAGTAGAGACGGGGTTTTACCATTTTGGCCAGGCTGGTCTCGAGCTCCTGACCTTGTGATCCACCCGCCTCGGCCTCCCAGACTGCTGGGATTACAGGCATGAGCCACCAAAATGTTTTCATTCTAATGCTCAGTTGTCTTGATGAAGTAGCGTGAGTCAGTGAATGCTGTGGTTTTCATTGAGGAGATGGATCAGTTCTTATCTCCGTCACTAACTTTGCCAGGTCACCTCGAGCTGTTGCTTAATCTCTCTGAGCTTCTATTTTCCTTCTATGCTCAATCAAGTTGAGCATAATTATTTTACCCTGATTTATACTGTGATGTGAATAATGATTAGCCAAATAATTATAATGGCTTTTATGATAAAACCAGGCAAAATAATACCGTTAAATACTTCAGTGTTATGGAAGTAGCACTATAAAATGATAAATAGGAAAGAAATTATAAGGCACTTTGTTTTAGAAGATTGTGTGTATTTCCTGGGGTTTTCATAGCCACGTGTGGGGTTTTTGCAGTGTATTACCTTGCTAAACTTCATCCTCACCTTCGGATTTTCTTTTCTTTTCTTTTTTTGACATAGAATTTTGCTCTGTCTCCAGGCTGGAGTCCAATGGCAGAATCTTGGCTCACTGCAGCCTTCGTCCCCCAGGTTCAAGTGATTCTTCTGCCTCAACCTCCCCAGTAGCTGGGATTATAGGCTTGCGCCACCACGCCTGGCTAATTTTGTATTTTTAGTAGTGGTAGGGTTTCACTGCGTTGGTCAGGCTGGTCTCAAACTCCTGACCTCAGGTGATCCACCTGCCTTGGCCTCCCAAAGTGCTGGTGAGCCACCACGCCTGGCCGCCTTTGGATTTTCTGTTGATCTTTCTATGTGTCAAATTAATACTGCCTCGGTTGGAAATGTTGACTCACACCTGGAATTCCAGCACTCCGGGAGGCTGAGGCAGAAGGATTGCTGAGACCAAGAGTTTGAGACCAGCCTGGGCAACATAGCAAAATCCTATCTCTATAAAATAATAATACTGCCTCATTTGGTAGAACACAGAGAGAGAAAATACTGACATTGCTTTCTCTTGCTATTACTTATGATTACTTTTTTTTTTCCTTTCTTCTTCTTATTTATTTATTCTTTTAAAGAGACGGCATCTCACTCTGTTGCCCAGGCTGGAGTGCGGTGGTGCAGTCATAGCTTACCGCAGCCTTGAACTCTTGGGTTCAAGCAGTTCTCCTCCCTCAGCCTCCTGAGTAGCTGGTGCTGAGTAGTGCAAACCACTGAACTGGCTAATTTCTATTTTTTTTTTTTTAAGATACAGTGTCTTGTTACGTTGCTCAGGGGTGGTCTCCAACTCCTGGGCTCAAGGAATCTTCCTGCCTCAGCCTCCCAAAGTGCTGGGATTACAGGCATGAGCCGCTGAGTCTGGCCTTGCCCTTGTTCCGCTGTAAAACATTCCACTGGGTTTATTTAAGACAGAAACATTATCTGGAGATAGAAATTGTCCTATATAGATAGACTTTAATGAGACACTTTTCTTACCTTCCAAAGCAAAGGTGTTAGCCTATAATACTTAAGAAAAAACCAAACGAAAGAAAACAATAGCTTTGGCAATTGCTTCCTGTGTGCGACCTGTCTTCTTTCTCCATCCAGGAAGAGCTCCTACTTCAGGGGCTGCAGATTCTGTGAGGGTGTTGGGAAAAATAACATTTTAATGTTAAAAAATAGAGAGTGATCCCCAGTTACCGGTTTTCTTGGAATGTGATGGTGTAACAAATCCTTGAAGATCATTCCTTAAGATGTAAAAATGACGGTTCCTTCATGAGAGCTTTGTTCAAATAAAAAGTTCCGTGTCCCGTTTTTGGCCGGGCGCGGTGGCTCACGCCTGTAATCCCAGCACTTTGTGAGGCCGAGGCGGGTGGATCACCTGAGGTCAGGAGTTCGAGACCAGCCTGGCCAACATGGCGAAACCTCGTCTCTACTAAAAATACAAAAATTAGCCGGGCATGGTGGCACATGCCTGTAATCCCAGCTACTAGGGGGGCTGAGGCAGGAGGATCGCTTGAACCTGGGAGGTGGAGTTTGCAACGAGCTGAGATCGTGCCACTGCACTCCAGCCTGGGCAACAGAGCAAGACTCCATCTCAAAAAAAAAAAAAAAAGTTCCAAATGCCCTCTGGACTTTAGTACTTGTTTTTTGACATGTACTTTATTACTTTATTTCTCCCTCATTATAATAATACTTCTGCTTTGAACCTGCAGAATATATATATATATTTTATTTCCAAAGAATCAGATCTTCCAGGCAGTAGTGTGCAAAGCTTCCAGGCTCTCGACTCCTTGTGAACATGGCATAGGAGTCAGACACATCACATTGTGGCGCTTGCAAAACAGTTGTTTTCATACATTCATTCAAGCAGGCAGTTATCCATTGATTTCAACAAACATTGATCAAGCGCTAATTTCTGCCAGGCCCTGTGCTTCCGTGCTAGGAATGTAATGGTTGAGAAGGCAGCGTCTGCCTTCTTGATGCTTACATTCTAGTGGGTTAACTACACAGTTAAAAAAAAAAAAGTCATTACCTAATACCATTTAACAAATATGTTTAAAGTCAACTGCATGTGCCAGGCACTGTTTCAGCCTCTGGGGAGACAGTGGTTAAGAATAAAAGACACAGTACTTGCTTCAGTGGAGCTAGGCATTAAGAAGAATGCAAATAAAGAAAGGGTTTAATTTCAGGCTCTGCAAAGAGCTATGATGATGCCGCATTAATGTAGAGTGGGATGGGGGTGCAGCAGAGATGCCTTCACCCATGAATTAGGAAAAAAATCCATCTGTCTGTGTGTCCATGTCCCTCATCCTATGAGAATAAGAAGAGAATAGTGTTTCTAGAAGAGCTTTCTGGACTAGAAAGGATCACACAGATAGTATTAATGTTTGGTGCTGGCAGGGAACCCGTGGGGACAGGCAGCAGGTGGCACATCCCCACCTCGTCCTTGGGGCTCAGTTGTGTCTCACAGAAGAGACAGTTTTTGCCACAACAGCTCTGCCTAACCCTGCCACGTTTGGGGTATGATCTGAATTCTGTCACACTTCTGATGGCAAATAGTTCACATGATTTTGTCATTTATTTTTAATTTAGTGCAATTGTAGAAGATGAACTGTAACATCCATATTTTAAGCAAACAGGTGTTTTGAAAACTTACCTCAGGACTGTCACTTTACCAGAGATCTGTTCCCACCTCCAAAGCCAATAGGCATGGCCGGTGGGTGCTAAAGTGTGTTTTGTTAACTTAGACAGTTTTCCCCGCAGGAAGAAATCATTTGATCATTTAATGGTGTCTGAATAGTGGAAACATGTGTGAGTCTTGTGTATGCATAAACTTACTGAGCAAGATTGGAAAGAAGTGTTTGTTTCAGTTGCAGATAATGGAATGGAGTTCAGTTCTCCTGTATGGGCTTAACATTTTTGGCATTTGAATCTGTTGATATAACTGAAATGTGACTTTTTTTCCTTCAATGCAAATTTGAAGATATCCTAAATTTGTATCAGAATTGACAGATCAGTGGCTCTGGTACAGTGGCCTTGGAAGTGGCACAGCACTTGGGGAGGCTGAGGCGGGAGGATTGCTTAAGCTCAGTTTGATACCAGCCTGGGCAACATAGTAAGACCTTGTCCCTACAAGAAATTGAAAAATTAGTCAGGGGTGGTGGTGCATGCCCTGTAGTCCCAGGTACTCAGGAGGCTGTGGTGGGAGCATCACTGGAGCCCAGGAGTTCGAGACTGCAGTGAGCTGTGTTCGTGCCACTGCATTCTAGCCTGGGTGACAGAGCGAAACGCTGGCCCAGAAAATGAATGAATGAATGGATGGATGGATGGTTCCTCCCTCAGAGGGGCCTAACTTAGCTGGGGAACAAAGCCACCTGTATGGGAAGTAATTGAATACTAAACTATATGATTCTTAAATAGGATTAAAAAGAGGGAGCTGATCACTGATGGTTAGAGTTGTAATTCCCAGAGCAGTCGAAACATTTATGTACATGTGGGGATCAGTATAATATTGCCCAGTTTTTATTTTGCTAAGTCACTGCTCTGTCACCGTTTTTTGTTACCTCTTTCATTAAAGAAAGAACATTTTAACATGAAAAAAGCAGGAAAGACATAACATCACAACAAAGAACAGCCACTTAAAATTAGTTTCGTTTTATGAAAACCCCGCTTACATTGTCCTTATTTTTTTGGTTTTGGCACTAGTGAAAATGTCATCACAGACTGACGTTTGGGAAACACTGGCTTGAGTGAGGCTTCACTGACAAAATGCCTGGCCTGGACCCTGAATGTAGGTTAGGGCCCAGCAAGGAGAGAGGGATTGTCTGATGGGTTAAGAAGCAAGAATAAACTCTGGGAGGTAGCTGGGGTGGGTAAAAGGGGCTAATCCAAGCTATACCATGAGGAATAATGGGGAATAAATGTGTTGTTAGGGAATGGGAAATCTTAATACCCAGGGAGAAACTCAGGATTCACAGTAAAATACAGAGTCATTAGAGATTTTTGTTGTTGTTGTTTGTTGTTGTTGATGTTTTTGCATAAGAACATGAAAATGGCATTCAAAAGATTGATCTGGGCCAGGCACAGTGGCTTAGTCCTGTAATCTCAGCACTTGGGGAGGCTGAGGCAGGAGGATCACTTGAGGCCAGGTGTTTGGAGCAGCCTGGGCAACATAGTGAGACCTTGTTTCTACAGAGATTTTTTAAAAATAGGAAAATTAGCTGAGCATAGTGGTGCATGCCTATAGTCCCAGCTACTCAGGAGGCCGAGGTGGGAGGATCACTTGAGCCCAAGAGTCTGAGGCTGCAGTCAGCCATGATTGTGCCCCTGCACTCTAGACTGGGCAGAGAGTGAGATCTTACCTCTACAGATACAAAAAAGATTGATGTAGTGGCTAAATGTCTTGTGGACCAGGGAGGCTTCCATCAGGGAGGGCACAGTTGTGCATAGGTGATGCCAAGAAGAAGAGAGTGGGTATAAAAATACAGAACAGACAAATTCAAGAGACATTCAGAAGAAGATAGTGATAGGACTTGGAGACACAGAAATATAAGAAGAAGAGAGGAATAACATTGCAGTGAAAGTTTCTAGCCACAGGCTAGAGAAATATTAGAAGTATTGACACAAATTAGAAACTTTCTCAAGATTGAATAAAGTACTAAGTTTTTGCTGTAGTTCATTGTTGGAGTGGGTGAAACCACAAGTAGTATTTTTTTGGTGGGGGGGATAGTCTCGTTCTGTCGCCCAGGCTGGAGTGCAGTGGCGTGATCTTGGCTCACTGCAACCTCCACCTCCCAGATTCAAGCAATTTTCCTGGCTCAGTCTGCCGACTAGCTAGGATTACAGGTACCCGCCACCACGCCTGGCTAAATTTTTTGTATTTTTAGTAGAGACAGGATTTCACCATGCTGGCCAGCCTGGTCTGGAACTCCTGGCCTCATGTGATCCACCCGCCTCGGCCTCCCAAAGTGCTGGGATTACAGGCGTGAGCCACTGCGCCCGACCTCAAGTACTATTTTTGTAACCCTATCTTTTGCCAGGTAAAAGAAGCTTGTTTTACTAACTGAATGTACCTCATGTTAGCAAAACACTTCCTTTCCATGTATTCAAATGCTTCGTGAACATTATGTAATTTGCTTTGGCCATATTCCCAACATTAGGAAAACTACGGGATGTGATTAGGAAATTATGGCATGTAAGAGGCATGATCTGGCTAAGGTAGAGGGGTGCTTCAGGGTTGGAACTGAAGAAAACATGCATTGGTCCACACTGAAAAATAAACTCAGTGTTCTGGAAATGTGTCTTTTGTTAATTGCTGTATCCCCAGAACCTCACTGTATTGGTACATAAATGTATTTTTTAAAAAATACTAGATCTAAGCCTGGGCATGGTGGCTCACACCTGTAATCCCAGCACTTTGGGAGGCCGAGGCGGGTGGACCATGAGGTCAAAAGTTCAAGACCAGCCTGACCAATATGGTGAAACCCCGTCTCTACTAAAAATAAAAAAATTAGCCGGGCATGGTGGTGTGTGTGCCTGTAATCCCAGCTACTCAGGAAGCTGAGGCAGGAGAATCACTTGAACCCAGGAGGTGGAGGTTGCAGTGAGCCGAGATCATGCCACTGCACTCCAGTCTGGGTGACAGAGCGAGACTCTGTCTCAAAAAAAAAAAAAAAGAAAAAAAAATCCAAATACAATGAGATTTTATGCTGTCTAATGAATTACCTTTTATCCATATATCTCTAGAGTGGACCAAATTCCATGTCCTGATCACAAAGCTATTTTAGTAGGAGAAATCATATACCATTAACTTAACCACATTCAGAATGACCTGAAATGATCCTTACAGGGAATTGAAGCAAATTTCTTCTTTTCTTTTTTTTTTTTTTTCTTTTTGAGACAGAGTCTCACTGTGTCACCCAGGCTGGAGTGCAGTGGTGTGGTCATAGCTCACTGCAGTCTCGACCTCCCCAGGCTCAGGTGAGCCTCCCATCTCTGCCTTCCAAGTAGCTGGGACTACAGTCGCCTACCACCTTGCCTGGCTAATTTTTGTATTTTTTGTAGAGATGGGATCTTGCCATGTTGCCCAGGCTGGTCTCGAACTCCTGAGCTCAAGCGATCCCACCTGCCTCAGTCTCCCAAAGTACTGGGATTACAGGCATGAGCCATTGTGTCTGGCCAAAGCAAAATTTTCTTTGTGCTAACACTGCTGAGACCTTTCCGCACTTTATGATATAACCAAATTCCACTGGAATGAGCCTTAAACTCAAACATTGTATGAGCAAAGATTAATATTTGTGAGACATGTGACCAGGATTATTCTATTCAGAAGCAATCTAGCACCAGCACCTCCAAAAACCAGGGCCCAGAATTGGTGGCTAATATTTGAGACTGCACAGGGAGGTTGGGAGGGATCGGAGGCTCATAAGGCTAGAGTTCTGCAAGGGGAAGCCACTGGAGAATTTTAAAAGGAAGACAGACATGAGATGTAAGTCTTGAAACGGTCAGTTCATCAGAGCTTGTGTTGGGAGCTTGGACAAGGGTGGAGATGCTAAGAAGGTAACGTATTTGAGATTCAGAGGAAAAAGGGAGAACATGTAGTCTTCTCGCTTGTGCCTTTTTTTTTTTTTGAGACGGAATCTCACTGTGTCATCAGGCTGGAGTACAGTGGCGCGATCTCAGTTCACTGCAACCTCCGCCTCCTGGGTTCAAGCGATTCTCCTGCCTCAACCTCCCAAGTAGCTGCGACTACAGGCACGCACCTCCACACCCAGCTAATTTTTGTATTTTTAGTAGAGACGGGGTTTCACCATGTTGGCCAGGATGGTCTCGATCTCTTGACCTCGTGATCCTCCCACCTCGGCCTCCCAAAGTGCTGGGATTACAGGCGTAAGCCACCGCGCCCAGCCTCGCTTGTGCCTTTGATGGGGGCTGGTAAGGTCTCTGAACTGATGGATCCTGGGAGAGGACTAGGTTTCTAGTCAGACTGGGAAGAACTTCAGTTTTGGACACTTGGAATTTTATATGAGAGCTGTTGAGATATTCCAAGCTTTGGAAAAGAAAAGGAAAACTGAAGCAAACAGAACATTATAGGCCAATGTGAAGAGAGCCCAAATAGATGGGTGATTTCAAATTAATGTGAGAAAACTAATAGCTCGTCTATATCCAAATAACAATGAGAAAATGCAACAAAAGGAAGGATTCCATTCACAATAGTAACAAAAAATACCCGAAGAATCCACCCAAAGAGAAATGTGCAAGACTTTTATGAAATACTTTAAAATCTCAGCTGGATGCAGCAGCTCACGTCTGTAATCCCAGCATTTTGGGAGGCCGAGGCTGGTGGATTGCTTGAACCCAGGAGTTTCAGACCCGCCTGGGCAACATACTGAGACCCCGTTTCTACAAAAAAATTATCCAAGTGTGCTGGTGTTTATCTGCGGTCCCAGTTCCTTGGGAGGCTGTGGTGGGAGGCTCACCTGAGCCTGGGAAGCTCAAGGCTGCAGTGAGCTGTGATCGCACCACTGCACTCCAGCCTGGGCGACAGAGACTCTGTCTCAAAAAAGAAAAAAAAAAAACCCAACTCACTTAAAGGCATCAAAAAACTTAATAAAGGGATAAATATGCTACATTCAAGATACTCTATTGTAAATAGGTAAAAATTTTCCTCATTTACTT
This sequence comes from Homo sapiens, assembly GCF_000001405.40. NCBI lineage: Eukaryota > Metazoa > Chordata > Mammalia > Primates > Hominidae > Homo > Homo sapiens. The sequence continues at coordinate 99,064,996 of NC_000007.14, read as the reverse complement.
ATGAAGTCATTTTTTAAAAACTTGCTCAAAATGATTCTAAATGTTAATGGGAAAAATAAGCACATGAGACTAGCCAGGCAAATGCTAGACAAACAGTAATGATGAGGTTTTGGGGCTGTGGATTTTCTATTTTACACATTTCCATATTTTCAAGTATGTATTTTGTAATTAGAGTAACAAGAAATGAAACATCAGCAGGAGGTGTAATTAATAGTGATCTATCCACTAAAAAGACTGAGGTGGAAAGGAAGTATATAAAGATTACATTACTCTGAAGAAGAAATATTACTATTGACTATACAGAAATATTATCAAGGAATACTGATTATCAAGGAATATTACAAACAAGTGTATGCCAACAATTTGATAACATGGGTGAAATCAACAAACATCTACAAAGACACAAACTACTAAGGCTGAAGAAGAAATGCAAAAATCTGAATAGACTTATGAAAAGTGAGGAGATCAACAAACTTCTGGAAATTCACAAACTACCAGGGCTGATTGAAGAAGAAATGGAAAAATCTGACTAGGTCTATAAAAAGTAAAGAGATTGGATTAGTAATTTAAAACACTTCTCACAAAGAAAATGAAAAGCCCAGGCCTAGAGGCCATCACTGGTGAACTCTACCCAACATTAAAGAAGAATTAATACAAATTCTTCCAAAACAAAACAAAAAGACGAGGAGGAGGAGGGAATATTTCCCAGCTCATTTTATGAGGCCAGTATCACTCTGATACCAAAACTAGATAGCCTATGAAGGAAAGGAAAATACAAACCAATATCCCTTATGAATATAGATGTGAAATTCCTCAACAAAATACTAGCAAACTGAATATAGCGACATATTAAAAGGACTGTGTACCGTGACCAAGTTGAGTTTATCTCACAATGCAGGGTTGGTTTAACAACTTAAAATCAATTAATGTCACGCACCGTATCAATAGACAAAGGCCAAACACCAAAACAGCATCTCAACACATGTAGAAAAAGCATTTGACAAAATCTAACACCACTTCGTGATGTCAAGTAATCCGTCCGCCTCGGCCTCCCAAAGTGTGCTGGGTGGCGTGTGCCTGTAATCCTAGCTACTAGGGAGGTTGAGGCAAGAGGATTGCTTGATCCCAGGAGTTCGAGGCTGCAGTGAGCTATGATCATGCCACTGCACTCCAGCCTGGGCAACAGAGCAAGACCCTGTCTCTGAAAAAAAAAAAAAAGTATATTGATAAACCCATCTTAATGTGTTTAAGATTGTTAGTTTAAACTGGGTATGGCCTTTCTTTTTGGGATGATAAAAATGTTCTAAAATTGATTGTAATGATAGTTGTCCCACCCATGAGTATACTAAAAACCACTGTATTGCACACTTTAAATGGATGAATTGTGTGGTATATAAATCGTATCTTGGTTGGGCATGGTGGCCTATCCCTATAATCCCAGCACTTTGTGGGGCGAAGTTGGGAGGATTGCTTGAGGCCAGGAGCTTGGGACCAGCCTGGGCAACATAGTGAGAGCCTGTCTCTTTAAAAAAAGAAGTTAGTTGGGTGTGGTGGTGTGTGCCTGTAGTCCCAGCAACTCGAGAGGCTGAGGCTGGAGGATCCCTAGAGCCCAAGGGTTTGAGGCTACAGTGAGCTATGATTGTGCCACTGTACTCCAGCCTGGGGTGACGGAGTGAGACCCTGTCTCTTTTTATATATATATATATATATATATATATATATATATATATATATATATATATATATATATATATAAATAAATCTTATATATATATATATATCTTGACTATATAAATATATATATCTTGATAAAGCTATAGCTTATCACTTACGACATTATTCACTTAGTTTTATAAAACGAAGTGAAACTTGGCAGAACAATATCTATTATGTGAGCACATTTTTGTAAAATACAAGTGCTTAATAAAACATAATATTCTTAAAATTGAGGACAATTTGTGAAGCAGTACAAAAGACAAAAGCACCTCAGTGTCTCCCTGACACAGTCACTTGCGTTGTGTAGCAAGCAGGTCTGGTGACAAACTCTCTTAACAGTAATTGATACTACCTCATTACTCATTAATAAAATAATAAGAACCTTAATTGCATTCTTTCTATACATCAACACTGTGCTTAGTTCTTTTTTTTGGAGACAGAGTCTCGCTCTGTCACCCAGGCTGGAGTGCAGTGGTGAGATCTTGGCTCACTGCAACCTCTGCCTCCCGGGTTTAAGTGATTCTCCTGCCTCAGCTTCTGGAGTAGCTGGGATTAGAGGCATGCGCTACCACACACAGCTAATTTTTGTATTTTAGTAGAGATGGAGTTTCTCCATGTTGGCCAGGCTGGTCTTGAACTCCTGACCTCAGGTGATCTGCCCACCTCAGCCTCCCAAAGTACTGGGATTACAGGCGTGAGCCACCATGCCCAGCCTGTGCTAAGTTCTTAACGTGCATTTTATCATTTTTTGTTCACACTACCCTGATGATGGCCCCATATTTTTTTTTACCACCTTCCCCTTGCTTACTATTTTCCAACATATCAAAGTTTACATTTACAAAATTGTATTACTTATCAGAATAAAAAATTGCATAGCTTCTTCTGTCATTAGCGGTACCTGTAAGGATAAATACTTCAGGTCTTTATTTGAGTTGGTTTTTATGTGATCATATGCAGTATAAGAGAATATCGGTAGGCTGGGTGCAGTGGCCCTATCTCTACAAAAATAAGAACATTTAGCCAGGCATGGTGGCGTGTGCCTATAATCCTAGCTACTGGGAGGGCTGAGGCAAGAGGATTGCTTGAATCACCCAGGAGTTCGAGGCTGCAATGAGCTATGATCATGCCCCTGCACTCCAGCCTGGGCAAGAGAGCAAGACCTTATCTCTTAAAAAAAAAAAAAGTATATTGATCAACCCATCTGAATGTGTTTAAGATTTTTAGTTTAAAGCATTTTGTATTTGTTATAGCTGATCTTCAGTTTGAGGAGAAAACACTTTTTAGATGGTTGTCCATTTTTTGTTTCATATGATACTAGATTTGAAAGTCAAATCTTCGGCAAAGCTAATTTTTAGAGTCTTTTTGTTCGGGTGTAAATATAGATTAGCTATTATGGAAATCTCGTCTTTAATGCTAACCTGAGTAATTTTTCTTTGTTTTTAGTGTTATGTGCCAAGAACCTTGCAAAGAAAGACTTCTTCAGTAAGTAAACACTTATTTTTTTCCCTCTTATAATGTTATGCATGTATTTCTGAAATTTTAAACTTTAAAAAAAGATTGGGTATATTCTCTTCAAAGTTTTGCCCTTTACTTAATAGAAATCCATGGTTCTCCAAGCTTTATTTCCCGGTTGACTACAACATGGGTAGTTCCTTAGCTGAAATATACAGAACTTATAAATCATACCGCAAAACCTGTCTTTCGTTTCCTATTCTGGTCACACCCAATTTTTTCTGCCTCTCTACCTATTAGAATATTGCTTTCTGCTGGATGATGTATTCTCAGCTCTAATACAAATGAAATACTTTTGTATAAAACAGCTGGATTTGCATACAATTGTTAATCAGATTTTATAAATTAAATCACATTTACAACACCCTATAATTAAAGGAATTGCAAAAATAAGAGACTCCTTTTCTAAAGGAAGGAATCACTCCTTAAGAAAGTCATGCAGTATCTGGTCAGTGCCTGCAGCATTAAATTCTTCACACACTTTCTGATCCTCACAAGACATCTTTCAGTTCTTAAGTGGTATTATTCATGCTTTCAAGATGAAGAAACTTAGGCTCAAAGGCTTTCTCCAGGTAGCCAGGAAGCTCCAGCATGGTGGCTCGTGTCCATCTCTATCTCTGACAACTGTCCACTTTGCCACCTGTCTGATCTAATAAACCTCTCTGATTCATTCTCTAGCATTTAGGGACTTACCGAATTAAGGCCTGGTGAATACTTGCTTCCATAGATAAGATAGGCAAAGATCAGTAAACAAATTTCGGGGCATTATTAATTTTTAGAAAGTCTAAATACAATTACTTTCAGACACTTTTCCCTCCACTTAATTAGCCCCACTTTAATAGAAATTTGAATGTAAGCCTTTTTTTTTTTCAGTCACTTTCTTTTCTACCCTCTAAAAATCTGAGTATGGAGGCATACTAGGCTCTCTTAGAAAGCTCAATAGACATAACTTATTTTGCTGATTGAAATTATCCTGAAATTAGAGAACACGAATTGTGTGTTCTGTGTCACATGGATGGATGTGAGGTCTCATCTAGGTGTGGGTCTCCTCTCTCCTCTAGGGCTCCCTGACCCTTTTGCAAAGATTGTCGTGGATGGGTCTGGGCAGTGCCACTCAACCGACACTGTGAAAAACACATTGGACCCAAAGTGGAACCAGCACTATGATCTGTGAGTTGAATGTTCTGTAAGCCCCATGCGGAGCGGCAGGAAAGCAGGTGTCTACCTTTTACGAGAAACATCCAAGAGAAAAAAAAAAAAAGGATGACTTTTTATTGATAACAAAAGCGGATGGCCAAATGAATGTCTACATTGCCTAATTTTAGAATTCATGTACTTGGAAGTTCTTGCATTTTGTTACTTTCTTTTTTCTTTTTTTTTTTTTTTTTTTGAGACGGAGTCTCACTCTGTCACCCAGGCTGGAGTGCGGTGGCGTGATCTCAGCTCACTGCAACCTCCGCCTCCCGGGTACAAGTGATTCTCCTACCTCAGCCTCCCAAGTAGCTGGGATTATGGACATATGCCACCATGCCCAGCTAATTTTTGTATTTTTTAGTAGAGATGGGGTTTCACCATGTTGGCCAGGCTGGTCTTGAACTCCTGACCTCAAGTGATCTGCCCACCTTAGCCTCCCAAAGTGTTGGGATTACAGGCGTGAGCCACTGCGCCCGACTGCATTTGGCATGTTCATAGATTTTTATGGTTTGGTTTTGTACATGTGATCCTCAAACTTTTCAATCTCCTGGCCATTTTAGCAGAAAAAAAGGCCATAGTTTGTGAACTCCACATGCTACTGTTTTTCAGCAAAACCCTAAACCTAGTTGTAGTTTCTACCTAAAAAATGCATTTTTTTTTTTTTTGAGATGGAGTCTTGCTTTGTCGCCCAGGCTAGAGTGTGCAGTGGCGCGATCTCGGCTCACTGTGACCTCCACCTCCTGGATTCAAGTGATTCTCCTGCCTCAGCCTCCCAAGTAGCTGGAATTACAGGCATCCGCCAGCATGCCCAACTAATTTTTGTATTTTTAGTTGAGACGGGGTTTCACCATCTTGGCCAGGCTGGTCTCGAACTCCTGACCTCATGATCCACCCGCCTCAGCCTCCCAAAGTTCTGGGATTACAGGCGTGAGCCACTGTACCAGGCCTAAAAAATTCATTATTATGACTGTATGTTTCTGTTGACTTTGAAAATTTTTGCTTTTTAGTACATATATATTTTCTGCAAGAGAAAATATAGTTTTATATGATCAAAGCCATCAATTTCTTATAGTCATTCAAAAACTGGATTGTACTTTGAAGACCACTATTTTATTTTATTTTATTTTATTTTATTTTATTTTATTTTATTTTATTTTATTTTATTTTATTTTTTTTTGAGATGGAGTCTTGCTCTGTCGCCCAGGCTGGAGTGCAGTGGCGGGATCTCGGCTCACTGCAAGCTCCGCCTCCCGGGTTCACGCCATTCTCCTGCCTCAGCCTCCCAAGTAGCTAGGACTACAGGCGCCCGCCACTACGCCCGGCTATTTTTTGTAGTTTTAGTAGAGACGGGGTTTCACCGTTTTAGCCGGGATGGTCTCGATCTCCTGACCTCGTGATCCGCCCGCCTCGGCCTCCCAAAGTGCTGGGATTACAGGCGTGAGCCACCGCGCCCGGCCTATTTTATTTTTAAATTAAATTAAATTTTTTTTTCAAACAGAGTCTCGCTCTGTTGCCCAGGCTGGAGCGCAGTGGCGCAATCTTGGCTCACCGCAACCTCCTCCTGCTGGGTTCAAGCGATTCTCGATCTTCAGCCTCCCGAGTAGCTGGGATTACAGGTACCCGCCACCATGCCTGGCTAATTTTTATATTTTTAGTAGAGATGGGTTTCACCATGTTGGCCAGGCTGGTCTTGACCTTCTGACCTCAGGTGATCCACCTTGGCCTCCTGAAGTGCTGGGATTATAGGCGTGAGCCACTGCACCTGGCTGTGAAGACCACTATTTTATATGCACCCATGTTTTCATGTTCCTACTAAGATATTTTCATCAAAGTAATCCTGAAAGATTATTGTCTTTTAGTTAATACAAATTATACTGTATTTGGGTGGGATTTTTAAGAATTATATTCTAAGATTCAGTTTCAGTGACACTGAGGCTGTGTAAGTGGGTTGAGTTCCTCTCTCCGTTGACTTGCAGTGACAGTAAATGGAGGTTTAATGTCTTAGTGTCCTCTTGTGTACTTTGAATAGATCCGTAGGTTTGTAAGTAGTCCCTTGTCGCAAACCAGTATTCTGTATCAAACCTAATTGGTGAGAATTTATGAATCATGTTACTGTCCTATGCGACTATTAAAATATAGTAAATTTGCTGGGTGCAGTGGCTCACACCTGTAATCTAAGCACTTTGGGAGGCCGAGGCAGGAAGATCACCTGAGGTCAGGAGGTTGAGACCAGCCTGGCCAACATGGTGAAACCCCGTCTCTACTAAAAATACAAAAATTAGCCAGGTGTGGTGGCAGGTGCCTGTAATCTCAGCTGCTGGGGAGGCTGAGGCAGGAGAATTCCTTGAACCCAGGAGACAGGTTGCAGTGAGCTAACACTGCGCCATTGCACTCCGGCCTGGGCGACAAGAGCAAAATTCCGTCTCAAAAAAATAAAAAAATAAATAAAAATAAATAAAATATAGTAAGTCTGTTATAAGATTATTATCATCGTGTGGTTATCTACATTTGCCCCTTCCATAAGGAGCAAGGTAGTTCTTCTTCCCAGCTTGTTGAAATTAATGGATACGTATTTATTAAATGCCTGTTACATGTGTAATACAGAGGCAACATTATTTTATAAGGTTTCTTAAAGAGAAAATCTCAATGAGATATCATAATTCAGAAATACAATTAAAAGCTGGGCATAGTAGCTCATGCCTGTAATCCCAGCACTTTGGGAGGCCAAGGCAGGTGGATCACCTGAGGTTAGGAGTTCAAGACCAACCTGGCCACATGGCGAAACCCCATCTCTACTAAAAATACAAAAATTAGCCAGGCATGGTGATGCACGCCTGTAGTCCCAGCTACTCGGGAGGCTGAGGCAGGAGAATCACTTGAACTTGGGAGTTGCAGTGAGCTGAGATCACACAACTGCACTCCAGCCTGGGGGCAACAGAGCAGGATTCTATCTCAAAAAAAAAAAAAAACAAAACAAAAAAAACCAAACACAATTAAAAATGAGTTTTGCACTTTCTTTCCAGATATGTTGGGAAAACGGATTCGATAACCATTAGCGTGTGGAACCATAAGAAAATTCACAAGAAACAGGGAGCTGGCTTCCTGGGCTGTGTGCGGCTGCTCTCCAATGCCATCAGCAGATTAAAAGATACCGGATGTAAGAACCAAACACTTTCCTGCCTCTTAATGCAACCAAAGAAAGCTTAGGAGGCATCGTTTTTTGTTTTGATCGCTGAATACTGAATTCCTGCCTTCCTCCCTAGTTCACGTTCCTTGGGTTAAGTTTTGAATTGTTTGTTTACAGACCAGCGTTTGGATCTATGCAAACTAAACCCCTCAGATACTGATGCAGTTCGTGGCCAGATAGTGGGTAAGAACTTTCTTGTCTGTGTAAAGAGATGCTTTTCCAGAACTTACATTCAACCCTTCATCGCCGAGAACTCACATACAGGCACTGACGATGCTGACGGGCCTCAGAGGACAGACCACGTACGGGGCCTTCTCTTCAGTACTAGGAAGTTTTGTCTTGTGTAGTTTTTATTATTTTATCTAATTCCCTTCTCCTGGCTTTTTTTTTTTTTTGGTTTTTTTTTTTTTGAGATGGAGTGCAGTGGTGAGATCTCAGCTCACCTCAACCTCCGCCTCCCAGGTTCCAGCGATTCTCCTGCCTCAGCCTCCCGAGTACTTGGGACCACAGGTGTGTGCCACCACGCCTGGCTAATTTTTGTATTTTTAGTAGAGGCGGAGTTTCACCATGTTGGCCAGGCTGGTCTCGATTTCCTGACCTCGAGTGATCTGCCCGCCTTGGCCTCCCAAAGTGCTGGGCTTACAGGCGTGAGCCACCATGCCCGGCCCCCTTCTCTTGGCTTTTAAAGTTGAGTAAAAATGACTCGGGTACAGAAAGATTTAGGGTTAGAATTTTAAATGTAATTTTAATCATCACATTTATGGACAATACATTTTTGACCGTATTATCCAAGGGTAGATAATAAGAATGGTGGCCACACATACAGGAGTTGGGAAATAGTTTCTTCTGGAAGCCCCATCATATATGTAAAAAGCATAGAGTTGTGAAGAATTCCATGTAATATGATTTGTACAGTCAGGGGACTGCATTATTTAGAATGAAAAATTAAAGTGTGCTAATGTTACAAAGTGTTGGCTAGAGGCAGTCTGTTGGAAGTGATTTAGCTGTTAAATAACTCATCCTATTATCCACCCACTTGTATTAGTGTTTTAGGGTAACTCAGATATTGACTTGGAAGCACTGCTGCATGGAATAAAAAAAAAAAGGTCTCTCTGCAGCACACTGGAGTGATTCTCACTCCAAATCTTTTAGGTATTGTCCTGTGTAGACCTGACCCAAGATAAATGAATAGTGCAGACATACACCCTGAAATCTACCATCATGAAAAAGTTCTCACCGAATGCTTTCCTGCGTGTAATTTCTTTTTTCTTTGTGGCGGGATGTGCCAGGGAGAAAAATGAGTAACTGAAAACAACTTTATAAAAGTCTTGTTCATAGTAAAGATAGAGAATAAATATTTAGATTCACTTAGACTTTGCAGATACTGAAAGTACTCTCTGTGTCTTTATTCATTTTTTTTTTGACACGGAGTCTTGCTCTGTCGCCCAGGCTGGAGTGCAGTGGCATGATCTTAGCTCACTGCAACCTCCGCCTCCCGCGTTTAAGCGATTCTCCTGCCTCAGCCTCCTGAGTAGCTGGAGTTACAGCTGCTTGCCACCACGCCTGGGTAATTTTTTGTATTTGTAGTGGAGACGGGGTTTTGCCATGTTGGCCAGACTGGTCTGGAACTCCCAGCCTCAGGTGATCCGCCCGCCTTAGCCTCCCAGAGTGCTGGTATTACAGGTGTGAGCCACTGTGCCCGGCCTCTCTGTGTCTTTATTAAACTTAAGTCAGAATGTTCTTAAGAAATAAAAACTGGGCTCAGTGGCACATGCCTGTAGTCTAGCTACTCTGAGGCTGAGGTGGGAGGATTGCTCAAGCCCAGGAGTTTGAGGCCAGCCTGGGCAACACAGTGAGACTTAATCCCCCCCAAAAAAACTTCTTATTTTTATTATTTTTTTTAATTTTTAATTTTTTTTGGAGACAGAGTCTCACTCTGTCACCCCTGCTGCAGTTCAGTGGCGCGATCTTAGCTCACTGTAACCTCCGCCTCCTGGGTTCAAGCAATTCTCCTGCCTCAGCCTCCCAAGTAGCTGGGACTACAAGTGTGTGCCACCATGCCTGGCTCATTTTTGTATTTTTAGTAGAGATGGGGTTTTGCCATGTTGCCCAGGCTGGTCTCAAACTCCTGAGCTCAGGCGATCCTCCCTTCTTGGCCTCCCAAAGTGCTGGGATTACAGGCATGAGCCACCGTGCCTGGCCCAAAAAAAGTCTTCTTAAAAAATAAATCTTCTTGAAAATAACTTAGAGGGACTGAATATTACATTGTTATTTTTATGGAGACCAGGAGAAACATAGCACCCTTTTCTTCACCACATTTACAAGGAATATTCCAAGTAGCATGCAGCTACTGGAGTAAAATGCTTCGTATTGGAAAGCATAGGAATATATGTGTGTATGCATACACATATGCCTCGTTTTTTATGATATTGTACATAAATTCTAAATTAGCAATGACTCACTGTATTATAATTATGTAAACCCCGCTGGGTTTTAACACAAGTCGTTCTTTTCTCTTTTAGTCAGTTTACAGACACGAGACAGAATAGGAACCGGCGGCTCGGTGGTGGACTGCAGAGGACTGTTAGAAAATGAAGGGTACGTATAACCACAGCAAGAGGCGGGCTGAGTTCTCTGCTGCCTTAACCTCTCGGCCTATAGGAAAGCGCCCTTCCCTCCTTAAGTCACTCTGCAGAATGCTTGAGATGCATAAAGGATGTTGGGATAAAACTGTGAACCAGTTTACTTGGCTATAAAGGAAGCTGTAAATACAACTGGAGTTGGCTGGGCGTGGTGGCTCACGCTTATAATCCCAGCAGTTTGGGAGGCCGAGGCAGGTGGATCACGAGGTCAGGAGATTGAGACCATCCTGGCTAATACGGTGAAACCCCATCTCTACTAAATATGCAAAAAATTAGCCAGGCGTGGTGGTGGGCGCCTGTAGTCCCAGCTACTGGGGAGACTGAGGCAGGAGAATTGCTTGAACCCGGGAGGAGGGGGTTGCAGTGAGCCAAGATCATGCCACTGCACTCCAGCCTGGGTGACAGAGCAAGACTCTGTCTCAAAAACAAACAAACAAACAACTGGGGTTGTGCCTGACTCAAAATCCAGTGAAAGAGGCTCCCACGGGCCAAAGATGGGTGAGTTTGAGCATCAATAAGAATTATAACTGCCTGTAATCCCAGCACTTTGGGAGGCCAAGGTGGCCAGAGACTTTGGTCTCGAGTTTGAGACCAGCCAGGGCAACATAGCGAGACTTTGTCTCTACCAAAAAATAAAAAATAACAAATTAGCTGGGCATGGTGGCACGCACCTATAATCCCAGCTGCTAGGGAAGCTGAGGTGGGAGGATTGCTTTGAGTCCAGGAGTTTGAAGTTGCAGTGAACCCTGATCACACCACTGCGCTCCACCTTGGGCGACACAGCAAGACCCTGGCTCAAAGAAAAGAAAAGAATTATAACTGCCATGAATTTGGAACATATCAGATATATTAAAAATCTTTGGGTTCATAATGACGGGGGGAGGAACTCAACACACTAAAAAAATACAACAAACTGCCGAACCGTCATTGGTCACTGTCACAATTTTGCAGTCCCCCATGAATTAATGGACCTGGCCAACAAGCAGTAATTGCTAACAACATCACAAAAGAGAGATGATCCAACATTAACACACCTCTTGGAAATACAGGGAACCAGGAATGTGTCTCACGGCCCCAAGGGAATATAATCAACAAACATCCAGAATGGGGCCTTCTGTAGGACAGACAACCCAGGGTCTTCAACAAATAGACTGCAAGAAAAGCAAAGACAGGAGGGAAGGAGAACCTGTCAACAATTCATATTCAAACAAACTTGAGACATAGCTACACATGCAAGGTGTGGACTTTGGATCCTGATTTATGAGACAATTGGAGAAATCTGAACACCGGTATTTGATTTTTTTAAAAAATTAATGAACATTTTTTAGTCATGATAATGGAAATATTTAAGGATGAAGTCATAAAATGTTGGGGTTGGTGGGGAGGGATTGGAAGAGTGGACATTGGATGATGGTTAGCTGGGAGGGGTGGACACAGGGGGTTCATTGTACTGGTCTCTCATTTTTTATACATATTTGAAATTTTTCAATCTAAGATTTTAAAAGAGTATTTGCTTCTAAGGGACAGTAGCCTATTAAGGTGAATTGTCTTCAAAATTGCTCAGGGGGTGAAGATTGATGTTTAAAAAGTATCTAAAGGCATTTTGGCATTTTATGTAACCAGGAGTTTCATTATAGAGTAAAATAACAAGGAAAATGGAGTATTTGGATATGATTTTATTTTATTTTAAAGATGGAGTCTCGCTCTGTCACCCAGGCTGGAGTACAATGGCACAATCTTGGCTCACTGCAACCTCTGCCTCCTGGGTTCAAGCAATTCTCAGCCTCCCGAGTAGCTGGGACCACAGGCGTGTGCCACCACACCCAGCTAATTTTTGTATTTTTAGTAGAGATGCGGTTTCATCATGTTGGCCAGGCTGGTCTTGAACTCCTGACCTCAAGTGATCTGCCCACTTCGGCGTCCCAAAGTTGGGATTACAGGCGTGAGCCACCGCATCTGGCCTGGATTTGATTTTAAATCAAGAAAAATGAGATCTCATTTCACAAACTCCTCATAGTCTAAGGCTGGTTTCTTCTAATCATTTCAGTCTACCCTATGGTGAAATTGTACAGTTGGCCTTGGGGACACTCCGGCCACCTGTTCCTCTTAGAAGAGTCTGTCTTTCTGTTTGAGTGGCACATGGTGAATTTTACAAAACTAGGCCCTTGGAACACTGGACGTTGTTAAAGGAAAGCAAATCAATTTATGTGACGGTGTCCCCTAGGACACTAGCCCTAAGGCGCTGGTCTTGTGACTCCTCCATGGTGACACCATGCCTGCCTGCTCTCGTCCCTTTCAGAACGGTGTATGAAGACTCCGGGCCTGGGAGGCCGCTCAGCTGCTTCATGGAGGAACCAGCCCCTTACACAGATAGCACCGGTGCTGCTGCTGGAGGAGGGAATTGCAGGTTCGTGGAGTCCCCAAGTCAAGATCAAAGACTTCAGGCACAGCGGCTTCGAAACCCTGATGTGCGAGGTTCACTACAGACGCCCCAGAACCGACCACACGGCCACCAGTCCCCGGAACTGCCCGAAGGCTACGGTGAGAGAATGTATCCTGCTGTGGCCAATGCCATCTGCCCTGTTTCCATGAGTTGACTTTTTTTTTTTTTTTGAGACAAGGTCTTGCTGTCACCCATGCTGGAGTGCAGTGGCATGATCATGGCTCACGGCAGCCTTGACCTCCCTAGCTCAAGCGATCCTCGCGAGTAGCTGGGCTTATAGGCATACACCATCATGCCTGGCTAATTTTTGTATTTTTTGTAGAGAATGGGTCTCGCCATGTTGCCCAGGCTGGTCTCAAACTCCTGGGCTCAAGTGATCCACCTGCCTCAGCCGCCCAAGTGCTGGGATTACAGGTGTGAGCCACTGCATCTGGCCTTTAACCCTTTTTGAGTAGCCTGTGCCATAAGTGCGGATGTTTGCGTGGCTATGCCATTTGATAATTGTGGCAGTGTAAAGACAACTGGAAGACAATGGTCCTAAATCTAGCTAATCATGAATTTTCAGCAATTGCTCCAAATCTCCCAGTTTAGAAATCAAGTGAAAATCTTAGGCAAACGAACACCAAAGCAAACCAAGGTAACATGTAGGCTAGATGAGGGTGTCTGTAGTGCTCTGGAAAGGAGAGCATGGGGCGAGATGGAGAAGAGGGGATTATTCGGCCACCTCAGAGAGAAGAACTGGGATAAGAGGGGAGTGTTATCTAGATTTAGATAATACCAGACGTGAGGGCATCGAGGGTTGGTTACAAACTCTCCCTGGAATTGAACTTGTCTCATTTGGATCTCTAATTTCTTGTGTAGAACAAAGAACAACAGTCCAGGGCCAAGTTTACTTTTTGCATACACAGACTGGAGTTAGCACGTGGCACGACCCCAGGATACCAAGGTAAGCCTCCTGAAATGGACACCCCCCAGCTGTCTTTCCAGCAGTTGACTTGAAAAGCCAATACCTTCCAGATGTGTTGCTCTTGTTTTAAACTAAAAATAGTGATGAATGAGATGATATTGATGTCTGGGATTTCCTTCAGATAAGCTGGGGTGGGGGGAGTAGACAGGGGTACATTTGAAACGTGAGTCATTGTTGACCTTTGAAACAAGGTTGACCATGATCATTGTTGAAGTTGGTTACACAGCAATTCCTTATGATCACTAACTTTTTTATATGCTTAAAATTTTCCATCATAAGTCAAGGAAATATAAAGACTCTGTTACCCTTTCTCTCTTCTACTTTACTGTCCCCATTGCCTCAGTCCCTCGGGGACCATTCCTGGGGGAGATGCAGCTTTTCTATACGAATTCCTTCTACAAGGCCATACATCTGAGCCCAGGTTAGAGAGACCCCCCCCCCACCCCATAACAGAGTTAAGTTTCTTTTTTTCTTTTGCTTTTTATTTCCTTTTAGAATAGCATTACTACCTAATATGATTTTTGGTAATATTTAGTTCCTTTTTATTCATGATTTGTTTCATCTGAGAATAAACTTCCTGTCTGATTTTCCAAGACTATGTTTAATGTATGACTCAGTACCTATAATGAGACTGGAAATATATTACCTGCAAATGAATGAGGTGTCTCTTTTGTACCCCCTGTTAGAAATGACAGGCTTTTGTGTTAATTAGAAACACATCTTGGTCAGTAAAGCTGTGCTCCCTTCTGACTGTAGATTGTGTTGAAATTATTAATCAGGAGAATAATTAATCATTCTTAGAGTGGAAAATACTTGTTGAGCAAAAAGCCCATTTGAAAATGAGAATGCCTCGTCCTGCTGCAACTGTTTAGAATTGCGAGTTTCTGAACGCATGTTCCTGTACCTCCCTTAGCCCTGAAAAGCTTGGTGCTGTCTGGGAACTTTCCAATGAAGAAACCCTTCTGGCCGGGAACATTTAATGACACTTGTGAATTCAGATAGTTTTCTGACAGCACTAAGATACTTCCTACTATTAGGGCCTTCTTTCATATAAGAAATGATATGCCGTGGGGAGCCCCTGTTCCTTATCATGGTTATAAGCTCTGAAACTGCCTATTTTTTTTTTTGGAGATGGAATTTCACTCTTGTTGCCCAGGCTGGAGTGCAATGGCGTGATCTCGGCTCACTGCAACCTCCGCCTCCCAGGTTCAAGCAATTCTCCTGTCTCAGCCTCCCAAGTAGCTGAGATTACAGGCACCCACCACCACACCCAACTAATTTTTGTATTATTAGTAGAGACAGGGTTTCATCATGTTGGCCAGGCTGGTCTCGAATTCCTGACCTCAGGTGATTCACTTGCCTCCCAGAGTGCTGGGATTACAGGCGTGAGCTACCGCGCCCAGCCTGAAAGTTTGGTTTTAAATCTCTCGGATGTTGCTGCTGTTTGCAGCAGAGAGGCCTGGACTGAGTAGAGGTTTGGCGTAAGTAGCACCACGAAGGTCCATCTTAGCAGAGCTGGGACACAGACACCTTGATAAGGAACCTCTGTGGCTTCTGTTGCTGACTTTTGGTCTCATTCCTCCATACTCAGTTGGACAAACCTCTCTGTATCTTCCATTTTGGTAGAGACCTTAACAGTGTGAACTGTGATGAACTTGGACCACTGCCGCCAGGCTGGGAAGTCAGAAGTACAGTTTCTGGGAGGATATATTTTGTAGATCATAATAACCGAACAACCCAGTTTACAGACCCAAGGTTACACCACATCATGAAGTAAGACTTTAAAAATATTTTTTGCTGACCTCTTTCATTGGTAATCGAATGCTTTCTTGGACTGGTATTTTTGTGAATTTATTGACTGTCTTGCTGGTTGGATAATAAGCATGGTCAAAATGATGTTAAATATCTGGCGGATAATTGCATATTTTAAACTCTTAAATTAGCTGTGAAGAGCACTGAAGCCCTATGTTGTTGCTACCCTTTTCTTACTTGCAGCCTACATAAAATTTACCGAGATGGCAGTATTAGGCGGCTGCACGAAGGAAGTTTCCGCACGCAGCGCTCTCATGAGACACGTGGCCCTTAGGTTGAGAAGTAGAGATACGTGCTATCCCCCTAGTGCCTGCACGGTGGGGAACTGGATACCTTGGAACTGGGAATTATCTTGGATCCCATATTTAGTGTTCCAGGCCTGTCGTGTTCTCAGAGCCAAACATTCCACATAGCTCTTTTTTTTTTTTTTTTTGAGACAGAGTCCAGCTCTGTCACCCAGGCTGGAGTGCAGTGGCACAATCTCTGCTCACTGCACCCTCCACCTCCTGGGTTCAAGTGATTCTCCTGCCTCAGCCTCCTGAGTAGCTGGGATTACAGGCGCCCGCCACCATGCCCAGCTAATTATTGTATTTTTAGTAGAGATGGGATTTTGCCATGTTGGCCAGGCTGGTCCCAAATTCCTGACTGCGGGTGATCCGCCTGCCTTGGCCTCCCGAAGTGCTGGGATTATAGGCATGAGCCACTGCGCCTGCCCCCGACATAGCTCTTTTAACCGACAGCTCTGTGTCTCAGTGGCAAAACTTGAACAGGACAAATGCCACTTTGTCACCGTACTAATCCTACTCCTTTTACTGAAATTTTGCTCTCAATGAGCAGGTGTAGAAATCTCTTGGCGGTAAAAATGAGGGATGGTTTTCATTAGATTTCACTCGAGCGGTCTGCTGTTGTGCCTATCATGAGATTTCATTTGAGTTCTCCACTGTTACCTCCTTTAAAATTTTTTCCCATCATCTCCATTTCATTCTAACTGCCAAGGTGCATCTGATGATGCTTTGGTTCATCTCATGGGTGCGTAATAGATGCATAATAAATGACAGCCATTTCCATTTTTATTTGTGGTGGTAATGTGTGAGATAAGTGTTTGCTTGGAATTGTGGTACCTCCTTTTTTTTGAGAGAGAGAGTCTGGCTCTGTCACCCAGGCTGGAGGGCAGTGGCGCAATCTCAGCTCACTGCAACCTCTGCCTCCCGGGTTCAAGCGATTTCCCTGTCTCAGCCTCCTGAGTAGCTGGGATTATAAGTGCCCACCACCACACCTGGCTAATTTTTTGTATTTTTAGTAGAGACCGGGTTTCACCATGTTGTCCAGGCTGGTCTCGAACTCCTGACCTCAGGTGATCCACCCACCTCAGCCTCCCAAAGTGCTGGGATTACAGGCTTGAGCCACCACGCCCGGCCTGGGGTACCTCCTTTATGGTACTGTAGACATACATTTAGGCTAATGTGGCCATCAGCAAGTTTGACACAGCTAGCTAGGTACCTGGTTACGTCATCAGGGAAACAAATTCTCCCTGAAGTTGTGTGCAGCTAGCTCTCTCCTCTGACCCTGTCGCGTACGTGGGTGCTTGCAGCTCCCCTGGCCGGGGCTTCGGAGTGACTTTCTGCATCTCTTCTTCTCAAGTCACCAGTGCCAACTCAAGGAGCCCAGCCAGCCGCTGCCACTGCCCAGTGAGGGCTCTCTGGAGGACGAGGAGCTTCCTGCCCAGAGATACGAAAGAGATCTAGTCCAGAAGCTGAAAGTCCTCAGACACGAACTGTCGCTTCAGCAGCCCCAAGCTGGTCATTGCCGCATCGAAGTGTCCAGAGAAGAAATCTTTGAGGTAGAGAGTTCAGGGCCACTGCCCAGACCCTGTTCAGAAACAAATAAGGCAATTCAGACAAAGGAATCTCAAATGCGATTGTTTTCAAGGGCTGCTTTAAATGAACTGCTTTGTGGGTGATGTCTGCGTTTCAGGGAACCCTTCTTTCTGTTTGGTATTTGAGGTATTGATTTTATTACTAAGGGAAGTGCAGAGTTTGTCAGGACCACAGCCTGTCTAGAGGGAGGGAATGGTATTCATTTCCTCTTATGGTAAAAATGGAAAAACTAAATAGTTTCACCTCTAGGTGAAAACCTAGAGGTGTATACAGAAACTAGCACTAAAAAATAGTGGGAACCGCCTTGTCTACATGATGTGGGTTAAATATTCCTGCAATCTGCAATCTGCGCTTTCCCCAGAGCCAGGTAGTCTCCCTCCTCTCTTCTTGTATGAGATGTCATCTGAGGGCTCTCCTTCTCAGGGCAGCTCAGGGGCTGGGGGCCATCCTGCTTCTCCTGTGGAAATTGGCGAGGAGCAGGTGGCTCTTGGGACAGGCTCTGTCCCTTACACAGCTTCCTGCAGGAGCAGGTCCCTAAACAGACCAGGCCCTTTTCCCAAGAAAGCTGACCATACAGGAAAATCTCCATGGCATTTGGGCCATTTCCTGCCCTCCTTTGTGGAGACACTGTCAGAAATGATCAAAGGAGACTGAGCACAGATTCTCCCTGGGTGACAGCACTAAGGGAGCACTGGGGGGCCGAGGGAGCTGAGCGCCTTCCCCACCGCGAGGGCTGGGCCTGAGTGTTGGATGGGCAGCTTGGCCACAGCGCCCAGCCCTGCCTGCTGCATGTATGCCCTTGTTGCAGGGCTAGAAAAGCGCTGAAGTACTGACTTCACTACCAGCTCGTTTCCTCTTTCCCTCTTGGGTTGCCAGAGTTTATTTGTTTGGGTTTTTTTTTTTTTTTTTTTTTTTGAGACGGAGTCTTGCACTGTTGCCCAGGCTGGAGTGCAGCGGCATGATCTCGGCTCACTGCAACCTCTGACTCCCAGGTTCAAGCGATTCTCCTGTCTCAGCCTCCCGTGTAGCTGGGATTACAGGCGCCCGCCACCAGGCCCAGCTAATTTTTTGTATTTTTAGTAGAGATGGGGGGGTTTCACCATGTTGGCCAGGCTGGTCTTGAACTTCTGACCTCAAGTGATCCGCTCACTTTGGCCTCCCAAAGTACTGGGATTACAGGCGGAGCCACCGCGCCCGGCTGGGTTGCTGGAGTTTGAATTGCGTTAAATTTAAAGCACGAAAAATTTCTTAAGTGCCTCGTTACTGAATCTACATCTATAAACACGTAGCGGCTTCTGCTTCAAGTGCTGAGTGTGAGGGAATAGCAGGCTGATCACATGTGTTCTGTGCTGTGCTTAAGCCACCTTATGTCTTACTTAAAATCTTTTTGCCTTTTGACTCAGTGGGAAATCAAATGTGATTTTTCACTTTAGATATAAAGAGAGGCTCAGAACTCTCTTAGCATTCAGACTTTCTAATGTCTTGATTTTGGTTGCGATGCACAAGTTGTTTATAGTGTGCATTGAAATTAATTTATACAGAGAAGAATCAACCCTAGTGAGTTTTGTCCTTAAGTCCTTGGTGATTCACTGAAAACAGACACGTGTTTCCCTGAAGGTTAGTGTTTCCTGGCATCGTGTTTGTTTTGTTGTTGTCTCAGAGGGAGAAACTGAGAAAAAAGATGATGGAATATACTAGATGCCGAAGAAACATTCTGATGAGGAGCCAGATAAAACTTGAATTGGAATGGATGCGTGTTCTTAACCGGGCTCCATTATCAATGACCTTTCATAACTTTAAGAATAAGAATGTTCTTCTCTCTGAAACTGTGATGTTGCTCTTCAGGAGTCTTACCGCCAGATAATGAAGATGCGACCGAAAGACTTGAAAAAACGGCTGATGGTGAAATTCCGTGGGGAAGAAGGTTTGGATTACGGTGGTGTGGCCAGGTGAGCTGCTTGTTCATTCACCTTCTCTGCTGTGTGGATCTCAGTCTTTTCAAGAGAAGTCATTTGCCCTTCTCCAGTGCTCATCACCAAGCACTCCTGGGCAGGGCTGATGTCTCCTTGGAGCAGTCGGGCCATCATGCACTGGCTTCAGCCACCCTGCGGAGAATAGGAATTCCTCCGAGCATGCTCGTGCCAGCCTCTTGCCATAACCTACCAGAATATCCGTGATTGTCACCACTAATTGACTTCTTGTAAAGCTAGAATTAAACTTTTAAATTCACTCCCTTCTTTTGAAACATGAGGAGCATGCTCCTGAAATTTAACACAGGAGGCAGCCTTGCTCTCCTCTGTAGAGGATTTGCTGCAGGGAGCAGGGCAGGGATTGCATTTGTGCATGTAAATTGCATTTGTGTCAAAGGAATTTTGTAAAATGTTAAAATTTTGGTCAAAATAATTCAAGAAAATGATATTAAAAAACAGAATAGAATGATGAAAAACTGCTATTTCATGTCCTGCTTCTTTTCAGCTTCAAGACAATTTTTTTTTTTTGGTCTTTTTTGAGACGGGGTCTTGCTCTGTTGCCCAGGCTGGAGTGCAGTGGCACAATCATAGCTCACTGCAGCCTCAACCTCCTGGGCTCAAGCGATCCTCCTACCTCAGCCTCCCAAGTAGCTGGAACTACAGGTGTGTGCCACCAGGCCTGGCTAATTTTTAAAAAGTTTTTTGTAGAGATGAGGTCTTACTATGTTGCCCAGGCTGGTCTCAAACTCCTGGGCTCAAGCCACTCTCCCATCTTGGCCTCCCAAAGTGCTGAGATTGCAGGTGTGAACCGCTGTGCTTGGCTAAGACAACTGCTTCTTAACTCTTTTAGCTCTTTTCTTTGAATAGGTATCTTGTTATTTCCGGATTTAATGATTTATGGGCATATACATAAGATAGACTGACTCTAGTTACTCTCATGTTCAATTTAGTAATATGGATCTTTTTAGTTCTTCCATCATTTGTAACTTTATGTCCTGTGCTTTCACCTTTATTTTTTTGATGTATCAACTAGAGACATGATCTCTGGACCTCTCATTTGCATAAGAACAGGATATTCATACTTACAACTTTCTCTTCAGCATTCCTTCTGCCTCTTAAATTCTGTCATCTGTAATATTACTTTTATGTTGTCAAGGTTAAGATTTACATTCTCTTCTGTAACCAAAATTTGGTCAGTCTCCTATGCTTGTCTACCAATTATTTGTAAAGGGATGAAAGTTTATACGGTTTACATTATTATGAATGAAAATATTGTCCATTAAGGGTTTAAATAGTATTCTAGAATTTAACTTTTTGGAACAAATTCTAATTTTTCCAAGAATTTCTTCTTCCCTTTTTTTTCTGGAGACAGCATCTCACTCTATGGCCCAGGCTGGAGTCCACTGGCTGGATCTCGGCTCACTGCTACCTCCACCTCCCAGGTTCAAGTGATTCTCATGCCTCAGCCCCCTGAGTAGCTGGGATTACAGGTGCGAGTCACCATGTCCAGCTAATTTTTATATTTTTAGTAGAGATGGGGTTTCACCATGGTGGCCAGGTGGGTGTTGAACTACTGACCTCAGGTGATCCTCCCGCCTTGGCTTCCCTCCCCAGTAGCTTTCACTGTCTCTACTGCCCCTTGAACTTCAAGTCCTCCAGGATGGTTACACATCATACCTTCTGACAGCCCCCGTGTCTCCTGCAAGGCCTCTGTGCAGCCTGATGGCGATTCTCTTGCTCCTCTGTGCCGTGGTTGTCCTGAGACTTCACTGCTTCCCTGGGTGAGGTCCATTGTCCTGGGCGTCCCATAGCTTCCCCTTTCTTGGCGTCCTCCCTTGTCATGCTGTGACCACCGCATGGTTGTGTGGTGTGATGTTTCTCTTTCTCATCTGCATCTTCCAAGAGAGTCAAACTACATGCAGTCAGGAACTTGTCTTGTTCACAGCTGATCCCCGGTTCCTAGAACAGCACCTAACACACAGCGGAACACTTGTCTCTGTAAATATGTGCCAAATGAATGAATTTTACTTTTTGTTAATTTCTTCGCACATTTTCTTTCTTTGGTCATTCTGAAATGCCTGTTACTCAGCTGTCGGACTCCCTGGTTTGGTCTGGTAGGAGTTACATTCCTTCTGCGTTTTCCGTAGTCATCCAGTCTTCTGCGTGGAGATGGGTCGTTGTGAATTTCCCTTGACTGACATGATGCTGTAGTGGAAAGAGTTGGGAATCTCTGCTCTGCCACCTCCAGTTTGGTCTTGTAGTGTTATTTCACCACTGGAGTCTTCCTCCTAATGGGATGATACTTAGAGAACGGTGGAGAGATTTCAGTTGCATGTGTATTACACATGTGCAGGTGTGTGTTCATTATCCGATCTGTGGGAGTTAGGCTACACTTATCTCCCCAGTATTTAGTCCTGAAGTCCTTTCTGTAGCCTCTCTTTTTGGCCTGTTTAGTTATTGCTTCCCTTACCACTTCCAGAACAGAACTGATTGTATCTTTACGCTGTCCATGGCTCGGTCGGAATGTTTGCTTGTATTTTAATCACTTCCTGTCTAGACAACTGGAGGTCTTTGTCTTTTTCAAAAAAGGTTCTTCCTAAATTGAAACTCCAAAACTTGGGATGAATTCAAATTCAGCAATGTTGCCTTTGTAGTAAAAAGAGACTTTATAGGATTCGGAGTCTCATCTCTTCTGGCAGTTCCTTTCTGTTCTTTTGAGTACAATGAAGAACTGTTTTTGTTTGATATTTTTTGTGTATTCTCACGATTTTCTTGGACAGATTATCTGCATTTGTGTCTGTCCTTCCCTATTCGCTCTCATTTCTGTTTGAAAAAGTAAGAAATTCCAGAATAAAATTTGGAGCTGCTATCTTAATGCGATCCGTTGAAAAGGAGTTTTGAGCAGAATGAATAGAAGACTCTTCGTAGATCTGCCACAGGTGTTTGTCTAAGGGCTGGGCTTAATGCAACCTGAGTGTAGCCACTGAACCATACAATTTCTATTTAAAGTGCCTTTTTTTTGGCTTGACTGTTTTTAACTTTGGGGTTTTTAAAATAATAAAATGATGCAAACATTAAAGAAATTCAGAAAATAACAACTTAGGCTGAGCGTGGTGGCTCACGCCTGTAATCCTGGCACTTTGGGAGGCCGAGATGGGTGGATCATTTGAGGTCAGGAGTTCGAGGCCACCCTGGCCAACATGGTGAAACCCTGTCTCTACTAAAAAATCCAGAAAATAGCCGGGCCTGGTGGCGCATGCCTGTAGTGCCAGCTACTCGGGAGGCAGGAAAATCACTTGGACCAGGAAGGCAGAGGTTGCAGTGAGCCAAGATCATGCCACTGCACTCCAGCCTGGGCGACAGAGTGAGACTCCATCTCAGGGAAAAAAAAAAAATGTAGAAATTTTAGCGCGTCTCAAATGCATTTTTGTTGTTTGCTCCCAGGGAGTGGCTTTACTTGCTGTGCCATGAAATGCTGAATCCTTATTACGGGCTCTTCCAGTATTCTACGGACAATATTTACATGTTGCAAATAAATCCGGATTCTTCAATCAACCCCGTAAGTATGAATGAACAAAGAGGTAGGGAATTGAGTTGGAGAAGTTTTGAGATGGATTTTCAGTTTCATTCTCAGTCCTTGGTCTATTTGTTGTAGACTTAATCAAAGACAGTGGTAAGCAAAACATGGAGAGGTAAAGTGAAAACTGAATTAAGATGGATGATTCCAATCCTGTATTTTCAGAGATCGTGATCACTGGGTGTGCTGTGTTGAAGGAGATGAAGGGTGAAACTGAGCTGTTCATACACTCACACTTTGTGATCATTTGAGGGAACTCTGGTGTGATGATCGTATGTGTTAATGGTGTCATTCTAAGGAGTAGGTTCCGAAGTCCAGCCTCCTCCCGGTCAAAACTGGAATCTTTCCAGAACTAGCTTTTTAAGCCACAAATGCTGCCACCCTTAGCGTGCTGGTTTTAGAGATGAAGAAGTCAGTGCAGTGTTTGCACGCCCAGCTCAAGGGTGGGCAGCCGGCCAGCAGGGGACTCCTCCTGTGGCACCACGGCCTTCACCAGCGTCCTGCACAGGCCACTGAGGCGAAGTCGGGACAGGCTCCGCTTGTGCATTCAAATGTGGAAGAACCTTTTACCAACATGGAAGCAGAGTTTTGATTCATTTTTTGAGGTGAACATAATTCAAACCTGAAAGTAGAGACGTGTGGTTCCTGAGTTAAGACCAGAACGGCTCTGGTTCTAGAATGGTTCTTTTCTTTTTTTTGAGAGAGAGTCTCGCTGTGTCCCCCAGGCTGGAGTGCAGTGGCATGATCTCTGCTCACTGCAACCTCTGCCTCCCAGGTTCAAGCGATTCTCCTGCCTCAGCCTCCCGAGTAGCTGGGATCACAGACCCCTGCCACCAGGCCCAGCTAGTTTTTGTATTTTTAGTAGAGATGGGGTTTTGCCATGTTGGCCAGGCTGGTCTCGAACTCCTGACCTCAGGTGATCTGCCTGCCTCAGCCTCCCAAAGTGTTGAGATTACAGGCGTGAGCAACCATGCCCGGCCTAGGATTGTTATTTGATTTGGCTTACTCATACATATTTTCCTGTGGTCTTTTTCTCCCCCTTAGCATTTCTTCCCTCCCTCCCTCTCTTTCCCTCTCTTCCTTTCGTTCTGGATCGAGGGAGTGGTGGTGGAGGAGGAAGGGAACTTGCCCTTTTCTTTCCTGTGCAGTGGGAGGAAGCACAGGGCTGGCTTCCTGGGTGCGCGTCCAGCATGGTGCCGAGGCCCTGCAGTGTCAAGGCCCTGGGCTTGGTTCGATTCTCTGTTGTCACGAAGGTGAAATTCTCAGTCATTGCTGAACACGGGGCTCCTCTGCCAGTTATATGGCCCTTCTGAGGAGGTGTTGGCCCTGAGAGCATACAAAACGCTGTCCAGCGAATCTAGGCAAATTTCTGCTACACAAGCAGCCTTCTTTCACTTGTTCAGGAGCGGGGCCTGTGAGTCCCTGAGTCAGTAGGTCTGGTTGCCTCTGGGACACTTTTCCCAAGAAGCTTGGGGACAGCACGAGATTCCCACATTGGCCGGCACCATGCTGACAAATTCGTGTTCTCTGGTGCCCCCTACAGGACCACTTGTCTTATTTCCACTTTGTGGGGCGGATCATGGGGCTGGCTGTGTTCCATGGACACTACATCAACGGGGGCTTCACAGTGCCCTTCTACAAGCAGCTGCTGGGGAAGCCCATCCAGCTCTCAGATCTGGAATCTGTGGACCCAGAGCTGCATAAGAGCTTGGTGTGGATCCTGTAAGTATTGACTGACGGCCGGTCACCTGGCTTAGGGCCCACCACCACGTCTATCGTATGTATGCGCGTGCGCGCGCGCGCGCGTGTGTGTGTATTTTGGGGATGTGTGTGAAGCCATTGTATTATAACCTGAAACAAAAAAAGGGGATTTTTTGGAAGGCGGAGGCGGGCAGATCAATTCAGTCCAGGAGTTCGACACCAGCCTGGGCAACACAGTGAGACCCCGTTACTGCAAAAAAATACAAAAAAACCCACCAGATCTAGCAAAAAGTACTCAGTTGACTTATTTTCCTCATGATGTTGGGCAGGTTTCTCTTCATGGACTAGTTTCTTTTGTTTCCTTGAATGAAGAAGGCGCGATCACAGACGTTAACAGGCCACTCCCCAGGCCCGTTGTGGGGTGTGTGTGAGACACTCAGGGCATCTCCAGTTAACCTACACAGGGGCCAAGCAAGTATCAAAACAAAATTAACATTTAGTTACCTCTGCTTTAGAATTATTCTAAACACTCTGTTAAGAGCAGCAGGCAGTGACAAGATGAACCGTGACTATCACGGGTCCTTGCAGATTTCACGGGGACAAAACATCAGGCTCTGACAGATGGAGGGAATGTGGGTGAGTCGGAGTCGGGGCTCCTGGTTGTGTCCCATGTGTCACATGTTCCAACTTGAACAGGGGACTCTGGGGATCAGGTAGAAAATCTTCCACTCAGCTGGGTGCGGTGGCTCATGCCTATTATCCCAGCACTTTGTGGGGCCGAGGTGGGTGGATCACTTGCTCTTTTCACTTGAGGTCAAAGGTTGGAGTTTGAGACCAACCTGGCCAACATGGTGAAATCCCGTCCCTACTAAAATTAAAAAAATTTTAAAAAGCCAGGTGTGGCACATGCCTGTAATCCCAGCTACTCAGGAGGCTGAGGCAGGAAAATTGCTTCAACCCAGGAGGCAGAGGTTGCAGTGAGCTGAGACCACACCACTGCACTCCAGCCTGGATGACAGAGTGAGTCTCTGTCTCAAAAAAAAAGAAAGAAAAAGAAAATCTTCCACTCTGCCTAGGCTCAAGAACGATGGCAGATTCAAGAGCTAGTTTTCACTTTCGAGTACTTTTGTGTTTGAACTGATGCCTTTGGGAAGGCTGCCTCTAAGGGAGGAACAGTATTTTTTTTTTTTTTTTTTTTTTTTTTTGAGACAGAGTCTTGCTCTGTCACCCAGGCTCGAGTGCAGTGGCTCAATTATCGGCTCAACGCAACCTCCACCTCCCAGGTTCAAGCAATTCTCCTGCCTCAGCTTCCTGAGTAGCTGGGACTACAGGCGCCTGCCACCACACCTGGCTAATTTTTTGTGTTTTTAGTAGAGATGGGGTTTCACCATGTTGGCCAGGCTGGTCTCAATCTCCTGACCTCGTAATCCACCCGCCTCGGTATCCCAAAGTGCTGGGATTACAGGTGTAAGCCGCTGTACCTGGCCAGGCACAGTATTTTCTTGGCATGGCTTCATCTCCAGGTCAATTTCCCTTTGACCCTGGTACCTCTTCACGTTCCTGCCTTTTGACTCCCACACTGCTTACAAAGCAGCTGGGTTGTGGGTCCCCTGAAATCACAGGATGGTACAGCAACCTGCTGCCCGCCTTCTATGACTGTGGAAGCCAGGAGCCGGGACATCTGGAAACAGAGCTGTGGTCTCAGGGTCCTCCAGCACCTGTTGCTGTGCCACCCCCACGCAGGTTCTGTGTCTGCCCGAGGCTGTCCTGTCTTGCAGCCCCGGGTTTGGCAGTCGTAAATGTTTTCTGTCTACCCAATGGCCCCGCGTGGTGGCAGAGTTCTAACCTACATCCTTCTGTCTTATTTCAACAGAGAGAACGACATCACGCCTGTACTGGACCACACCTTCTGCGTGGAACACAACGCCTTCGGGCGGATCCTGCAGCATGAACTGAAACCCAATGGCAGAAATGTGCCAGTCACAGAGGAGAATAAGAAAGAATACGTCCGGTAATGCCACCTGTCGGGGACGGCCAGGTGCCTGGGGCGCGGCTGAGCCTGCATTTAGTTGCTGTAGCTCCTTCGCTGTGTGAGGCCTGCATGTCCCTGATGGCTGGTGCTTATGATCAGATCACATGAACAGAGGCGACTTTCAGAAACCGACAGCTCAGCAGCAGCGTCAGGGATCTGCTTGGAGGGGCCCTGATGGGGCCAGGCCTGGCCTGAGGGACAGAGCCCATGTGGGGAAGGACTTTTCAGTGACCACCTAATTCTGGGTGCAAAGGTGGGGGGCAAAGGAGAGAGCAGCAGCTTGGAGGGTCTCTCGTGCTCAGTCCGAGGAAGCCACCCTCTCAGTTTTTTTCCACCCCTAACTTGAGGCAGATCTGTGTTCAGGCCTAGGCACTTGCGGCCTAGGCACTTGCAGCTGAGAACTATGTGGGCACGTCTGTGTGCCACGCTGTCCTGTGCTGTACTTTCAAATGTACTTTTACACATTTAAACAATTTTTAAATTTTTACATGGTCTTGCTATGTTGCCAGGCTGGTCTCGAACCCCTGGCCTCAAGCAATCCTCTTGCTTCCGCCTCCCAAGGGGCTGGCATTGCAGGCGTGAGCCGCCATGCCTGGCCAGAACATGCTTTCACATTGCAGCAATTGATGTGACAGATCAGGTTCAATCCTCCTGTTTTCGCGAGCAAATCGGAATGAATCAGGGCACGTGCTGAGTCATTTTTAACGTGATGCCAAGGTTTGGTACTACTAGCTGGTGGTGTGTTTGTCTGTCTTGGAGAGATCCGGGGAGTGGGGGGCTCAGTGTGTTCCCATGTTTGTCAGACTGTGATATCAGAACCTGCTCACAGGTCGGGCGCAGTGGCTCATGCCTGTAATCCCAACACTTTGGGAGACCGAGGCGGGCGGATCACCTGAGGTCAGGAGCTCGAGACCAGCCATGGCCAACATGGTGAAACCCCATCTCCACTAAAAATACAAAAATTAGCCAGGTGTGGTGGTGGGTGCCTGTAATCCTAGCTACTGGGGAGGGTGAGGCAGAAGAATTGCTTGAACCCAGGAGGCTGAGGTTGCAGTGAGCCGAGATTGAGCCATTGCACTCCAGCCTGGGTGACAGAGTGAGACCCTGTCTCCAAAAAAAACCTGCCCATGGCGGAAAATCCACTTGGTGTTGCATCCAACTTGCGAGTTTTTCTTCCAGGTTGTATGTAAACTGGAGGTTTATGAGAGGAATCGAAGCCCAGTTCTTAGCTCTGCAGAAGGGGTTCAATGAGCTCATCCCTCAACATCTGCTGAAGCCTTTTGACCAGAAGGAACTGGAGGTATGTGCCTGCTGTGCGGAGTCGACCCAGGGCGTCCCTGTGGCTGGCGTCTGCCTGTTTTAAATCCTTGCTGCAGGGGGCAGTGTGTGCCGCTTTCTAGTAAGCCTAGGAGCTGCTGGGGTTCCCAGACTAGAGCCAGGGCTGGAGCAAGAGTGGGGAGTAGAGGGTGTTCATGCCAGTTAGTAACCGGCGAGATGTCTGCTTGGCGGTAGGAAATCTGACTAACTCCCGGGAAACTGTTCAAGGTGGCTGTGGCTTCCCTTGTTTGCAAGATCTCTAGCAGGGGAGATTGCATAGCCCTCTCCTGTCTTGGGAGAACCAGGTTCTCCCACAAGAGCATCTTACTGCTTTTTATTCTGGCTCTTCCTAGCCTAGGAACAAGGGGCTACTGTCTTCTCTAGTCATACTGCATGCACTTGAACACGGTGATTCATTCAGCCCTTATCCATCTCTGGTGCCAAATAGCTCAAGCCGTGTAGATTGTTCTCCAAGTCTTTCTGCTGCCAGTGAGGAGAGCTTGGGAGCCAAGAGCTTGGATGGAGCAGTAGTTCTGGGGTGAACTTTTGTGGTTTTTTTTTTTTTTTTTTTTGAGACACGGTCTCGCTCTGTTGCTCAGGCTGGAGTGCAGTGGTGCGATCATGGCTCACTGCAGCCTCGACCTCCCAGGCTGAAGCCATCCTCCCACCTCCGCCTCCCGAGTAGCTGAGGCTACAGGTGCACGTCATCATGCCTGGCTAATTTTTGTATTTGTTGTAGAGACGGGGTTTTGCCATGTTGCCCAGGCTGGCCTTGAACTCCTGGGCTCAAGTGATCTGCCCAACTTCGGCCCCCACAAAGTGCTGGGACTACAGGCGTGAGCCACTGCACCCAGCAGGGGTTGAACTTTTTAAGCCAATTGCGGAAACATGCCCTATCGGCCCCAGCCCCACCTAACTCTTGCTGAATTCTCCTCTCTTCAGACTTGAAACTCCACATGTCCTTGAGTGTCCTGGAGAGACCCTGGGACGTGCCGTTATTCATGGTTAGCTCTGTTCAGTGTCACCGGTTGGTTCTTTGATACTCCTCACCGATGCAGAGCAAAAACCCCGCTTTGGTTATAAAATAACATCCCATCAACAGCTGTGCACCGCGGTCCTTGGGGTTGGAGACCCGTTTGGAGGAGGCGGACGGAAGCATGTGCCACAGGCCTCCTGTTTGTAGCTTTCTTCCTGTCTCAACATCTGCCTAGTACACAGCTGCTGCTTTGCTTGGGAATCGACTTTTCACTGTTGTGTGTCGGGTACCTAGGAGGCGCATCCTGACGTGGGTTTATGCATTTTGGAAGTAATTCACCTTTCTGCACCTCCTCAGCTGATCATAGGCGGCCTGGATAAAATAGACTTGAACGACTGGAAGTCGAACACGCGGCTGAAGCACTGTGTGGCCGACAGCAACATCGTGCGGTGGTTCTGGCAAGCGGTGGAGACGTTCGATGAAGAAAGGAGGGCCAGGCTCCTGCAGTTTGTGACTGGGTCCACGCGAGTCCCGCTCCAAGGCTTCAAGGCTTTGCAAGGTGACTGACGTGGAGGCAGGGCTATTCGATGACGCGTCTATGTGCGCTGTGGGCAGGAAGAGCTGGAAGGTGGCTGGGATGTTTTTCTGAGATGTGTGCTAGAAAATGGCATAAGGAATGTTCTCCAGTAGCTAATGCTCTGCCCTACAGAGGTGGTTACCTGGCAGGGGCCGTGTGTGAGCAGGTGTGGGGCCCCGCTGAGCAAAGACTGTGGAGCCACTCCAGGGCACCTGGATTCCCCCTCCTCACTGCTTCCAAAAAGCCAAGAGGGTCTGGACAGCAGGGGCCTTCAGAGTGTCTGTGAGGCCAGCTTAGCCAAGATCCCGGGGAGGGAGCTATGGGGGAACCGCCCCCAGTCTCAGTGGCTCCAAAGCTTGGAGCTGCACATGAACCCGTTTAGCCACCAACCACACCGAAAGATGATGTCCTGCTCACTCTGTTTAAGCCACTGAGGTCGCCGGAAGTGGGGTGGAATTCTGTGCGAAAGGTGCCCATCTGCCTGTAGGGCAGGCGGCCTAATGTCTCATCTTTTACACTTAGGGTTTGGAGGGTACGTTGCTGGAAGGAGTGAGGTGAGTGAAGGGTGTCACCATACTGAAATTTAGCTGATTGGACTGTAAATGCTGATAGACACACAGACACATTGTAAACACAGAATATTCCCTCTGCCTCGCTGAGTAAAATGAGGTTAATTCCATTTCAGTCGGCTTTGGCCATCAGGGCACCTGCATCTTTTCCATTGTGACCTCTGCCTATAGATTTGCTGCTGGGGGCCCAGCATGGATAAAAAGGGGTTTGAGGCTGAGCCCCGCTCGTATCTGGGAGCCTCTGTCTGCCTGACCATGACAGCTGCTCCCAGAGCTTGCTGGTGCCTGTCATTTACAAAGCCTTTCTCATTCAGTTCTCCCAACAACCCCGAGAGCCTGGCTGATGGGGATTATTAGCCCCATTCCATGGATGAGGAAGCCGAGACTCACTGAGGTCATGGGATTTATTATCCCCCCGAGGAAAAAAAACAGGAGGTGTGAGTGGGGAGGCAGGGCAGGAATCCAGGCTTCCTGACCAAGTCACTTTTCTCATGGCGCCATTGTCTTGCCCACAGCAGGTCCACATGCTAAACCTTCCTGCTTAGAGATAGTCCCTGTCATTGTAAGGGTCTCATTAGTCCTCCAATAATTGGATAGACTTTAGCCCAGTGTCCTCCAAGTGTCTAGAAGGTGGGTCAGAGGTGACCAGGGTCACAGTCCCGAACAGGGAGTGCTGGTGCTGTGGGAGGGCACTGAATGGTGGCCCGGGCAGAGTGGCCAGGGCCCTGCAGGAGGTCTCTGAAGGCCCTCACCTGGCCCAGCCTGTCCTGACTCCCCAGGAGGCTGGGGCTTGGAGGGTGTGGCCTGTGAGGGGGAGGAGCCAGCTTCCTGTCCCAGGACCCCAGAAACCAGGGGCTGCACACTGAGACCCTCTGCCCAACATAAAGATGGTGTCTCTGCTGGTCCTCATTGCTCCCGGAGTCCTGTCCTGCCACTGACCTTGGCCCAGCTTGAAAGGAGTATCTGTGAATACACAGGAGCAAGGGGCAGCAGAGCCAAGGCCCGTGCCCTCTGCGCCCTCCTTTCCCAGCACCTGGCACCCCTGTCAGCTAGCCGTCTTTGCAGCAGCAGTGGTGGCTGCTGGCCAGCCTGGTGCTCACTTGGGGCTGAGTTTGGAAACACCTGAGCAAGAAGGGGCCTGGTGCCTCTCCCTGCCCTACAGAACTGGTGGGCAAGTCGTCTATTCCAGAGGGTGGGTACAAATAGCTCTGACCCTCAGGGAGCCTGTCTGGAGCAGGCCCATGGTCAGGGTGCACTTTAGGGGGGGCCTTAGCAGTCCTTGCTCTGCCCCCTGCGATATTCTAAAATGTTGGCATCTTGGCTGAGTGTGGTGGCTCACGCCTGTAATCCCAGCACTCTGGGAGGCCGAGGCAGGTGGATCACCTGAGGTGATCCAGGAGTTCCAGACCAGCCTGGGAAACATGGCAAAACCCCGTCTCTACTAAAAATACAACAATTAGCCAGGCGTGGTGGCATGTACCTGTTATCCCAGCTACTCGGGAGGCAGGAGAATTGCTTGAACCCGGCAGTCAGATGTTGCAGTGAGCCGAGACTGCCCCACTGCACTCCAGCCTGAGCAACAGAGTGAGACCCTGTCTCAAAAAAGTGTCTGAATTTTGTCACTTTGATAGCCATTGCAGGCATGTCCTAAAACCAGGCCTGGGAACCTCATGGCCCTCTCACAGGACAGCCTGCCTGGGTGTGGGGGTGGGAATGTGGTCAGGGCCCTGCTCCTGGGGGCTGTGTGGCCGGGAAGCGCCACGGCTGTAACTCTGAAGTACATTAACTAGAATGTTGTCTTGTAAGGTTCTACAGGCGCGGCAGGGCCCCGGCTGTTCACCATCCACCTGATAGACGCGAACACAGACAACCTTCCGAAGGCCCATACCTGGTAAGCACCGCGGCCAGGAAGTCACGGCGTCCTGGGAGCCCCAGAGGATGCTGACGTTCACGTTTTTTTTTTGTTGTTTTTTTTTGAGATGGAGTCTCTGCCAAAATATTTTTGTCATCATCAGAACTCAAAAGCCACAGCACCTGAGACAGAAGGAGAAATTCTAGAGTTGAATGACAATTCTGAAGCCCTCAAGCAAGAGACTTTCCCCCCGACATTACGACACTGTATAGAGCGGCTTTACTGGCCATGTAAAAAAATACCTGTAAGAGGGCCAACATTATTGCTAAACTTAACATACATCTTTCTTACAGTATATATAACCTAAAATTTAAATATAGATTTTCTCTTGATTTAGTTTTTTGTTTTTGAGACAGTCTTGCTTTGTCACTCAGGATGGAGTGCAGTGGCACGATCTCGGCTCACTGCAACCTCTGCCTCCTGGGTTCAAGCAATTCTCATGCCTCAGCCTCCTGAGTAGCTGGGACTACAGGCGCACGCCACCACACTTGGCTAATTTTTGTATTTTTAGTAGAGATGGGGTTTTGCCATGTTGGCCAGGCTAGTCTGGAACTCCTGGCCTCAGGTGATCTGCCCACCTCGGCCTCCCAAAGTGCTGAGATTACAGGCGTGAGCCACCAAGCCCGGCCTCATGTTATTTTTTAAAGCTGTTTTCCGATTTGTAGGACTCTGTTTCATTTATGCCAATTCTCAATGACTGGCAGTAGTGCTTGTGTCAGATGGGACAAGTACTTTGCAGCGTCCCACACAAAGGTTGTCAGAGTCTCTTATGAAACTAATTTTGTTATGAGCCATGTAATTAATTAATATTGGTGTTTCAGTGGAGTGTGGCTACCACTCCAGCAGGCTCAAGTCTTCCTCTCTGCCAGGTCTTATGTACACACACCTGTTGGTAAGGAAAATTGTATAGTTTTTAGTTTGGATGTATTGGGCTTCACTTTATCTGACATTTCTGGGTCCCCATCTTCTTGGAATCCTGCTTATGACACACGTACCTTGTCTATTGCAAATGTTTTCTTCCTAAATTTTAACTTAAAAACGAGTCTCCATAGTAGATTATTTCCTGTATGGTTTACAAATACAATCACTTGCGTACACTTTGTCCTGGAACCATCCATTGAGACGAGTAGCCACATTTCCTTGGGGGAACCAGTTCTAGATGCTGCTGAGATGCCCCGTGAGATGATGGAAGGTTCCTGTCTTGGAACCCAAGGATGCGGGGTCAGATGCTAGCTGTGACACCCTCTGACATGTGATTTGGGGCAAGTGACTTCATATTCTAACTTGGTTTTCCACACCTGTGAAATGGGGTAATGCAGCTGGTCCTGGACCATGGTGGGTGCCAAGGTCCTGCTCCAAGCATGGCTGTGGCGTCCATTACGGGAACGCACCATGTTGGCTGCACACCCTACTCACAAGGCTTTTGTCCTTTAGTAGTTTAGTGCTTGGAGTTAGATGGATGTGGAAAGTATGCTCTGAAGCTCCAGAAAAAAGAGTGCCCGCCCTGGAACCCAGCTCTGTAGAGACAGAAACCATCCTTAATTGCTTACCCTAGAAAGCCAGAAGTCACTGTACATCCTCTGGGTCACAATTTTGTATTTTTTGGTTTGCTACGATAGCTTCTTAAAGGATGTCTTTTTCTTTGCACAAATACTGGAAATGAGCTTCCCCCTGGAAATATCGAGTCAGAAGTTGAATATTCATTTCATCTTTTAAGGATCTGTCATCTTGTTAGTTTTGAGATCTATTTTGTTTTTGCAGGGAATTTTCCAGACTGCCCTGTTTTGGTCTCAGATCAAGTCCCAGAGGAACAGACAGACACGCAGTACATCGTTAGTGGTGACGTTGCCTGACAGCCAGTCTAGGTTACAGGGGCTGCCAAAGAGGCATTCCCAGTACAGAGAAAGAATTTCTCCCAAAGACAGACAAACAGAAAACAAGTGGAGAGCTTTGTCCTGATAGAAGCAGTAAATAGTAACTTGGTTATGTTTTGGTTGTGAAGGCCCAAGACTTACTTTACTGTGTGTTGATTGGGCACAGTGGCTCCCAGCACGTTGAGAGGGCAAGGCAGGAGGTTCACTTGAGGCCAGGAGTTTGAGAGCAGCCTGGGCAACCTAGCGAGACCCTGTCTCTACCAAAAAGCAAAAACAAATTACAAATCTTTGTATTAGAAGCAGAAAAACACAGGGGACATGGAGAACTCATCACCAACCCTGCCCCACCCCCCATTCCTCTCCCCTCCCACATATACTTCTCACTGCCTGTCCTTGGCCTTGAGGTTGGTCCTAGGGCTGGACTGCCCACACGGTGACTCTCTTTTGTCCTTTTTCAGCTTTAACCGGATCGACATTCCACCATATGAGTCCTATGAGAAGCTCTACGAGAAGCTGCTGACAGCCGTGGAGGAGACCTGCGGGTTTGCTGTGGAGTGAAAAGCAACCAAAGGCAACAGAGTCTAGCTCATGGCCACCAGACCAAAAGCATCCAGCTTCTGTGCACCTCCTGCAAAGCTGGCAGAGGCCCTGGAATTCCAGATCACCTGAGGGGAAAGGGTTGTCTCTCTCCTTTCTGTTGGGGGAGGGGGATGGGGGACTTTTGTTGGTGGCTCCCACCCATATATCCCTCCTTTACCATAGTACTCCCACCCACTTCCATCACCCATCCAATAAAATGCAGCCAGGTTTAGCCTTTGGCTTTGGTCACACAGGATATTCTGCTGTGTTGCAACCCATGTGGTGATAAGGCTCACAGCCCTGAGCTCTTTACGGGAGCATCAACTCACAGTTAGGGGACTGGGCGTGGCTGATTGAGGGTTTGGAACTGGTGGCTATGCCAGCTATTCCATCTCAAAACAGCCTTGAGGCCCCTTTTCAATTTGAGCAGCTGCTAGATATCTTATCAGAGCTCAGATTCCAGATTTCACATCCCAGCAGCCGGTTCTGGGTAGCAGATCAATTTCCAACTGGAAAATAACTATATAATGTATGCTTATTGGAATTCTGCCACAGCAGGAAGCTTGAGTCAAAATGTGTTTCCCCTTTGAAAGGAGAAGGAATTGGAGCAGCTTTTCCTGGAGGCCCAGGATATTTCTTTTCTGGGTATCTTGGCTGAAAATTTTGTTTTACATAGAGAAAAACGATCTTTTAAGGGTCCCTTTTGCTGCATTATCTGTCCAGTTTGACTTTTTTTTCAGTGAAAACACCATGTCATGGAGTGTAGGAAAGAGCAGACCAAAATCAGCCCTAGAGCCAACCAGTCAGTCCCAAAGCTGTGACCTCTGTGCCACTGTTGTCCATAGAAGAGCATCGACTGTGTCACTTAAAATATTAGTAAACCATGATGCAGCAACTGCTAAGAGCTAAACTAACAAAATTGTGTCATCATAGCTGCTGGCTTGGTGTGAACTCGCTTAAAAGCAATGGTGAAAGGATAACCTCGATGATGTAAATCCACCCAAAGATACTGTTCTACAAAAAGTAGGGTGTGGACGCAAACCTGTGACAGCAGAGGGGGACGACTTCACACTCACTGCCTCATGTGGCCCCTTTCCCAGTGGCAGCTGGTGACACTAACGATTGCTACTCGGTTCACTTGCCCAGATGTCTTCATATGATGAGCAAGGCCAGAAGCAAGGCTAGATTCGAAGTTTCTGACACCATTTCCAGTTTGCACAAAAGTCAGTATTTTATCTTAAAGTGGCTTGATTTCCAATAGCTGAACTTGGGCAGAAAACAGCAGGCCAATGTTCCTATGTGGTTTCTTTGTTGTTGTTTTTGTTTGGGGTGGGGGCAAGTACAGGGTAATTCATGAGCAAGACATTTCACTGCTGTCGAAGTCTCTGGGATCCCGCTGTGGGTCTGAGATGGCCTGGGAAGGACCTTGTGGACAATGGTTTTATCTGTTCTTTTTGTCACTGTTAATTTCTGGGCTGCTGAGGTTCTAGAATAGAAGGGCTGCCAAATGAGGTTTGCTGCAGGAGGAAAGTTTAATCCCCCATTCCAAAAGTCCAGGCCAAATGGTGGGCTTAGCCTCTTTGAAAAGTTCTGCCTTGCCCCCACAGGTGGGCACATCCTGTGTCTCATTCACCATGATGCTTCCTGAGGGTGTTCTAGAAGCCCGTTCCCCAGTGGCTGTATCCAGCCTTTCCTTGCATCATCTTCCTCTTGAAGGTGAGGAAGTGAAAACTACAGACCTCCCCCGGACAGCCCACTCTCTATCACGAGCCTAACCCGCGGGAGGCGGAAGAGACATCCATTCGAGAACTGAAGCGGCCTCCGGGATGAGGTCAGAGGCCCCACCTGATTTTCCTGGTGGTGGTATCCAAAATCTTCAGTAACTAGGAAGGAAACCAGGGTCTCATGGTTTAAAAGACTTTGAAGCAGGAATGTTGCATTTGACGCCTTTAAAACTACCTTTTTGCTGTTGGGAGGAGTCGGGGGCGAGCCTTAGCAGCTGCACCGCCATCCCCATGCTGGTTGGTGCTGCCCTGCCTCTCGTGCCGGGTGTTGCTTCAGCCCAGAGCCAGAGGGCTGGGTCCCGGGTCCTCCACAGGTGACCCCGGTGGACACACGCGTTCCCATCCTGGCCTCCGTCTCTGCTTTTCCACTTCTACCTGCGTGTGGGTTTGCCGCCTTGTCATCGGTTGTGTGAGTGTCGCAGACCTTTCCAGAGCTCCGGTTCACTCTTTCCAAACAGGCCTCCCTGTCGGTGGCACTGCACTCCTAGAACCTTCAGTTTCTACGATGGTTTGTTTGGTCCTTTTGAACCACCCCAAAGAACTCAACATGGCAAAGCAAATGGTAAAAGCTTCCCGACTGTTCTACTTTGGGTCCGCGCGAAGCCCACTCACGTGTGATCTGTGTTGCCCCTCTCGGTGGTCCCAGGCGATCCAGCCATGCCCCCTGCCCCTCTGCCCAGATGCTTCAGGGGCCCGGCTTTTCAGGCTTGCCCTCACCAGCGGCCGTCAGCCGACACTCAGGGATGTAGCTAACACCACTCCGCCAGTGCTTTCAGTAGGAAGAGCTGAGGCTGCCTGGGAGGCCCGGGGCGACCGGAAAAGGGCTCTCTCAAGTTCTGAAAAGAGAATCTGCCACCAGATCGAATTTCGACCCCTGAGCTTGTTCGGACGTATGGTCCAAATTCAGATTAAGGTGGTCACCCAACCCGAGATGTCAGGAAAGGCCTTCTGCAGAGAAAATGTCCCCCCACCCGCCATCTGCAGCCAGGTGTGTGCCACACGGCAGCCTTCCCGAAACATAGTATGGATTTTAAAAATGTGTTTATTTTTGTTTCTCAACCACTTTATAACGTATTTTTTAATTTATTTTGTAATGTCTTGTTTTGAAGTATTGCTGCTATCCTTGTTATCCTTCCCACTGTTTTTATCACTGATTTATTTTGTGAAAGTTGTACACTAATGTTCTATGTCAAAATCAAAAGTATTTAATGAAATACTAGTTCTATTTAATGTGGTTATGGAACCAGCTGGAAACACAAAACAAACAGTGATTGTACAGCAGGCTGGGCCCAGGAGGTCAGGTTCATTTTGTTACATATGCAATAAACTCACGACTTTACATTTTTGGCGTCTGTTATTTTGGTGTGGAAATGAGATTCTAGTGTCTTTGCAAACCCACAAGAAAGGAAGTGTGTAGGCAGCAGGAATACTGGCAAGGGCCTTCCAAGGAAGAAGGACAGAGATAAGGATAGAATTGTAAGGGAAACTAATGGCAATATGGTAGTGGGCTGAAAGTGCTCTATCGGGAAAAAACATGGGATTGAGAAAATTTAGAATTTCTTTGCGCACCGGTTATCTTTTCGTTTTTTCCTTTTTTTTTTATTTTTTTGAGATGGAGTTTTGCTCTTGTTGCCCAGGCTGGAGTGCAGTGGCGCAATCTCGGCTCACTGCAACCTCCACCTCCCAGGTTCAAGCAATTCTCCTGCCTCAGCCTCCCGAGTAGCTGGGATTACAGGCTTGCGCCACCACGCCCGGCTAATTTTGTATTTTTAGTAGAGATGGGGTTTCTCCATGTTGGTCAAGCTGGTCTCAAACTCCCAACCTCAGGTGATCCGCCCGCCTCGGCCTCCCAAAGTGCCGGGATTACAGGCATGAGCTACTGTGCCCAGCCCTTACTTTTTTAAAAAGTTGTAGTAAAAATACTGTCAGCCCTACATACCAGTGGGTTCCACATATATGGATCCAACTGGGGATCAAAAATATTTTTTTGGCTGGGTGCGGTCAGGAGCTGGAGACCAGTCCCAGCTTCTTGGGAGGCTGAGGCATGAGAATTGCTTGAACCTGGGAGGTGGAGTTTGCAGTGAGCTGAGATCACGCTACTGCACTCCAGCCTAGGCAACACAGCAAGACTGTCTCAAAAAAAAAAAAAAAAAAAATTTTTTTTTTAAATGGATGGTTGCATCAGAACATGAATAGATTTTTTTTTCTTTTCATTATTCCCTAAACCATACAGAATAAAAACTACTTACATGGCATTTATATTGTATTAGAAATTATAAACAATCTAGAGATGATTTAAAGTATACAGGAGGATGACTTTTTTTTTTTTTTTAAAAAAAAGAGTCTCACTCTGTCACCCAGGTTAGAGTGCAGTGACACAATCTTGGCTCACTGCAACCTTCGCCTCCTGGGTTCAAGCGATTCTCCCGCCTCAGCCTCCCGAGTAGCTGGGACTACAGGAATGCGCCAACATGCCCGGCTAATTTTTGTATTTTCAGTAGAGATGAGGTTTTACCATGTTGCCCAGGCTGGTCTCAAACTCCTCCACCCACCTCCACCTTCCACAGTGCTGGGATTACAGGCATGAGCCACTGCACCTGGCATTACTGACATCTTAACAAAGTTAAGTCTTCCAATCTATGAACATGGGATGTCTTTTCAATTTACTTAAGTTTTCTTTAACTTCTTTATACAATATTTTGTTTTCGGCAGACAACTGGCAAGTCTTGCACCTGCATGGTTAGCTTTATTCTTTTAGATGCTATTATAAACATAATTGCTTTCTTAAGCTCTTTTGTGGACATTCATTGCT
Organism: Homo sapiens; assembly: GCF_000001405.40. Taxonomy (NCBI): domain Eukaryota; kingdom Metazoa; phylum Chordata; class Mammalia; order Primates; family Hominidae; genus Homo; species Homo sapiens. Next base: position 99,025,966 of record NC_000007.14, on the reverse strand, counting down.
AGTATATAGAAACATAACTGCATTTGTGTGTCAATCTTGTACCCTAAAACTGCAAAAATTCGTTTCCTGGCTCTAGTGGCTTTCTTGTGAATTCTTTGCAATTTTCTATCTGTAGGAGATAGCTTTACCTTTTCCTTCCAACTTGGATGCCTTTTATTTTTTATCTATTAGCTCTGGCTTATACTTTCCAGTACAATGTTGAATAGCTGTGGTAAAAGTGGGAATTTTTTTCTTGTTCCTGATCTCAGAGGGAATGTTTATAAGTAAAATGCCCTTCTGTATCAGTTGAGATGTACATGTTTTTTTCCCTGTGTTCTATTAATGTGATGTGTTACATTGATTGATTTTTCTTATGTTGGGCCACCTTTCCCTTCCTGGGATAAATTCCACTTGGTTGTGGTGAATAATTCTTTTAATATGGTCTTGGGGCCGGGCGTTGTGGCTCATGCCTGTAACCCCAGCACTTTGGGAGGCCGAGGTGGGTGGATCACGAGGTCAGGAGTTCGAGACCAGCCTGGCCAACACAGTGAAACCTTATCTGTACTAAAAATACAAAAATTAGCCTGGTATGGTGGCACACGACTGTAGTCCCAGCTACTCAGGAGGCTAAGGCAGGAGAATCGCTTAAACCTGGGAGGTGGAGGTTGCAGTGAGCCAAGACTGCGGCACTGTACTCCAGCCTGGGTGACAGATCAAGACTCCGTCTCCAAAAAAAAAAAAATGCTGTTGGATTCAATTTGCTAATATTTTGTTGAGGATTTTTACATCTATATTCATAACAGATATTGGTCTATAGTTTTCTTGTAGTGTTTTTGTCTGGCTTTCAAAAATCACCGTAATGCTAGTCTCATAGAATAAGTTAGGAAGCATTCTTTCCTTTTCAACTATTTGGAAGAGTTTGAGAAAGACTGGCATTAATTCTGCTTTAAATGTTTGCTAGAATTCACCAGTGAAGCCATCTGGTCTTGAGCTTTTCTTTGTTGGGACGTTTTAGATTTTTGATTCAATCTTCTTACTAGTTATCAGTCTATTCAGATTTTGTTTCTTTATGATTCGGTCTTGGTAGGTTGTAGAGTTCTAGGAATCCATTTCATCTAGGTTATTCAATTTGTTGGCATACAGTTGTTCATGATACTCTACGATCCTTTATATTTCTGTAACATTGGTAATAATGTCCCCTCTTTCCTTTTAGCTGATTCTTCCTTCTTAATCATCTAAAGTTTTGTCAATCTTGTTGATCTTTTTGAAGAACCAACTCTTAGCTTCACTGATTTTTGTCATTTGTCTTTTATTTCCTCTGCTATAGTATTTATTTTCTTCTGTTAGCTTTGGGTTTAGTTTGTTCTTTTTTTCCTAATTCCTTCAGGTATAATGTAAGTTGTTCATTTTTAACCTTCTTTTTAATATAAAGATTTACAGCCATAAGTTTCCTTGGTCATGGTGAATAATCCTTCTTAGCACTGCTTTCGCTGCATTCCATAAGTTTTGGTATGTTGTGTTTTCATTTGTCTCAAGATATTTTCTAATTTCCCTTGTGATTTATTCTTTGACCCACTGGTTGTTTGAAAGCATCTTGTTTCATTTCCACATATTTATGAATTTCCCAGTTTCCTTCTGTTACTGATTTTTAGCTTCATTCTGTTGTGGTCAGAGAAAATACTTTGTGTGACTTCAGTCTTCTTAAATTTATTGAGACTTGTTTTATGACCTCTCTGGAGACAGTCTATTCTGGAGAATGAATGTTCCATGTGTATTTGAGAAGAATGTGTACTCTGCTGTTGGGTGGAGTGTTTGTGTATGTCTGTTAGGTCCAGTTGGTCTACAGTGTTGTTCAAGTCCTGTATTTCCTTATTGATCCTCTGTCTAGTTGTTCTATTAATAATTTATTGAAAGTGGGGTATTGGGCTGCGCACAGTGGCTCATGCCTGTAATCCCAGCACTTTGGGAGGCTGAGGCAGGCGTTCACTTGAGGTCAGGAGTTTGAGACCAGCGAAACCCCGTCTCTAATAAAAATACAAAAATTAGCCAAGTGTGGTGGCACATGCCTGCAATCCCAGCTACCCTGGAGGCTGAGGCAGGAGAATCAGTTGAACCTGGAAGGCAGAGGTTGTAGTGAGCCAAGATTGCACCACTGCACTCCAGCCTGGGTGACAGAGCAAGACTCTATCTCAAAAAAAAAAAAAAAAAAAAAGTGGGGTACTGAAGCTTTCTACTATTATAGTGGAGCTATTTCACCCTTCGCCTTTGCTGTGAGCCTCTCTGGGTTTATCCTAGCTGAAATTTGTCAAGCTTCTTAAATTTGTATGTCCATTTCTTTCTTCCAATTTGAGAAAGTTTTGTCCATTATTTTTTCAAATAAGCTCTGTCCTCTTCCTTTCTTCTCTTTCTGGAATTTCCTAAATTGGACCTGTCCTAAATCGGACACCTTGATGTGTTCCATAAATCCCTTGAGCTCTCTTCATTTTTTCTCTTTGCTCGTCCAGTTCAGTGATTTCAAATGATCAGTTTTCTAAGGTGTCTGATTCTTTCTTTTGCCTGTTTGAGTCTGGTGTTGAACCACTGTATTGAATACTTCATTTATTGTATTTTTCAGTGCCAGAATTTGGTTCTTTTAGATAATTTCTATTTTTGGTTGATATTCTCATTTTGTTCATACATCACTATCCTGATCTCCTTTAGGCCTTTGTCGTGTTCTCCCATAGATCTCTGGGCATATTCAAGACAACTGTTTTAAAGTCTTTTCTAACAAGTCTGATGCCTTTGTTTCTTCAGGGATGGTTTCTAGAGATATATTTTGTTCCTTTGAATGGGACATGTTTTCCTGTTTCTTTGTATTCCTTGTGATTTTTTTTTTTTTTTTTAAACTGGGCATTCGCAAAAGCAGTCATCTCTTCCAGTCTTTGAAGAGTGGTGGGGAAAAGCTTCACTAATTCAGAGGGTATATCGTAATAGTTGCTATCAGCCTGAGGCGACAGCTTAAGGTCATCTCAGGTCTTTTAGGGGCCTCTGTTTTTCTTTCGTTTATACCATATACATGGCTGCTTTTCAAAGTCTTAATTTTTAGCCAGGCGCGGTGGCTCACGCCTGTAATCCCAGCACTTTGGGAGGCCGAGGCAGGCAGATCACGAGGTCAGGAGATCGAGACCATCCTGGCTAACACAGTGAAACCCCGTCTCTACTAAAAATACAAAAAATTAACTGGGTGTGGTGGCGGGCGCCTGTAGTCCCAGCTACTCTGGAGGCTGAGGCAGGAGAATGGCACGAACCCGGGAGGTGGAGCTTGCAGTGAGCCAAGATCGCGCCACTGCACTCCTGCCTAGGCAAAAGAGCGAGACTCCGTCTCAAAAAAAAAAAAAAAGTCTTAATTTTTCAAAGGGTCTTAACCCAGCTGCTTCTTAGGAATAAGATGTTCTCTTATATTTTCTGCCCATAATCTCTTGCCCCAGGTATCCACTGTGGTGCCCCTGGCAGATTTTACATGTCGTACCTGCCACTGCCTTCCATGGCTCTTGCCAGCCTGAGATCTGAACTATGCCACCTTCCCTGTTTCACCTCTGAGTCAGATGACATAGAAACCAGTCCTTCAGGTAGCCCAAAGACAGGGCAGAACACTGCAAATCAGTTCTGCTCTGCTCCCTCCGGTGCAAGGGAAGACACTGGAAATTGGGCTGCTTCCTCCCAAACACCCAGTTGTGCCAGGGAGGAATGGGGGAAGGGCAAATAAAAATGACATAAAAACTATTTTCAATGTGGCTTTTTCTTGATTGGGTGTTCAGCTGGTTGCTATAGACCTTTGGCTGGTTCCCAGAGCTCCTAGTGAGTGCCTAGTTGTTTTTTTTTCCCCTCAATGTTTCCTTGGGGAAATGTGGGCCTGGAGCTTCCTGGTCTGCCATCTCCAATCTCTCTTGATTGGAGAATTCAATCCATTTTACATTTAAAGTACTTACTGATAAGAAGGGACTTACTTCTGCCATTTAAACTTTTTTTTTTTTTTGGTTCCTCATTTCCTCCATTACTGCCTTTCGTGTTTAGTTCATTTTTTATAGTGACACGGGGATTACACTTGACATCCTAACATTACAACAACCTAAATCGAATTTATATCAACCTAATTTGAATAACATACAGAACTCTGCTCCTGTACTGCTGTCTCCCTTACTGTTACTGACATCACAAATTACATCTTTATACGTTGTGCACCCAATATTAGCAGTTGTTAATGGATCTGTCTTTTTAATCATGTAGAAAATAAAAAGAGTTACAAACCATCATTAGAATATACTAGATTTTATAACTGTCCATGTATTTACCTTTACTGGAGATCTCTATTTCTTCTTACAACTTCAAGTTGTAAGATGCTTAGTGTTCTTTTAAAGAAGTTTATAGTGTTCAGCGTTTCAACCTGAAAGACTCCTTCTAGCATTTCTTGCAAAGAATGATAATGAACTCCCTCAGCTTTTATCTGGGAAGGTATTAATTTCTTCCTCATTTCTAAAGGACAGTTGTTAGATGTAGAATTCTAACAGGTTTTCTTTCTTTCAGCAGTTTTCATATATGAGCCCATTCTCTTCTGATTCCCAAAGTTTCTGATGAAAAATATGCTGATAATCTTGAGAATCTCTTGTATGTGATAAATTACTTCTCTCTTGCTGCTTTCAAGGTTTTCTTTTGTCTTCAATGAAGTGTCTTGGTGTGTGTTTCCTTGAGCTTATCCTATCCAGAGTTTGTTATGCTAATTGGGTTTGTAGATACATTTTTTTTTTAATCAAATATGAGCAGTTTTCTGTTGAACTTTCTTTAAATATACTTTCTGCCCTTGCCTCTCTACTTCTGGTCTCATTTATGGCATTCCATAGGTAGGTTCCTTAGGTTTTCATTTACTTTCTTCATTTTTTTTCTTTTGATTCCCCAGATTCAACAGTTTCAATTGCCCTATCTTCAAGCTCATTGAGTGGTTCTTCTACCTGCTTAAATATTTTGAACCCTTTAGGGAATTTTTCATTTCAGTTATTGTACTTTTTATAGTTCCAGAATTTGCTTCCTTTATAAAATTTCTATTTATTGATATTCTCATTTTGTTCATATACTGTTCTCCTGTCTTTGTTTTCCTTTAGCTCCTTCAGCATCTTTCAAACAGTTGTTTTAAAGTTACTGTCTAGTAAGTCTGCTGTCAGCGCTTCCTCAGTGATGGTTTCTGTTGATTTGTTTCTTTGAACGTGCCATACTTTTCTATTTCTTTGAGGGTCTTGTGATTGTTTCTTGTTCAAAACTGGACATTTGAATCTTATAACTCTGGAAATCAGATTCTCCTTTTTTCCCCCCCAAGCATTTACTCGTCTCCCCACACCAACTGTTGAGGGTATCTCAGGATCAGCTTGAGGTGAAAGCTTAAAGTCTTCCCAGGTCTCTTCTGAGCCTGCATATTTCTCTAGGTATGTGGAGTGGCTTTCTAAATTGCCCTGTATACACATTTATTTCACAGTTGATTTCTCTGCTCAGGGACTCACAAGGCTGCGATCAAGGTGTCAGCCAGACTGTATTCTCATCTCTCGGCTCAACCAGGGAGAATCTTCTTGCAGGCTCCTCCAGGTTGTTGGCAGAATTCATTTTCATGTGACTTTGTGATGGAGGGACCTGGCATCTTACTGGCTGTTGGCAGGAGGCCCAAGTAAGTTGTCCGCACATGTGCTTTTCAATATCCTCATCCTTAAGTCTGGCTCCCCAAATGGAAAAACAGGTAAGAAGAAAAACAATAGCTCAGGCTGTTCCCTTAAATCCTCTGGAAGCCACTTCAGCCAGTGGGGAATGCAACAATGGCTACCCACCTCTATGTTTGCACTTCTGCAATCAAAACACTGAACCTTGATACGTGGAGGCCAGATCCTTACTTTTCACCCTGGCTCCAGGAAGTCATGCCAGGAACACGGGCATGGCTGCCTACCACAAGACTCAGGATGGGGAGACGCTAATATCCTAAAGGCTGAAATTGACCGAAATTAACTGCAACTTACCAGCCAAGATTTTCCTTGGAAGTTGCAAGCATCCAAATTAGACTCCAGAGTTCCAAAACGGTTACCTCAGACAGATTCTGCCACTCCAATTTTTGTCTCGGTGCGGAGAGAGATTCCTTCCTCTTCTGTCCCCTTGCTGGATGTCACTCTTATATCTTTTTTTATTTCTCACCCTGGCACAGTCACTAGAATGCAGTGTGTGTCTGTAAGCTTAGCCAGCAGACACAGTCCTGCGCTCTGATGTCTGTGAGAGGATGCAGCACTCTAGGTTAGGGAACGTGTGTCTGGCTTGTTGGGGCATTTTCTACTGTCAAAAGTCGGAGTATTTTCAGGTTTTGATCTCAGTGTCATCACTAGGTAGTTGGGGCTTTAAACAAGTTGGTAAGCCTATCTGTGTGCCCACATCTACCGTGTCTACTACCTTGATCACTTTTCTTTTTTTTTGAGACAGGGTTTTGCTCTTGTCGCCCAGGCTGGAGTGCAAATGACATGGTCTCGGCTCACTGCAACCTCCGCCTCCCGGGTTCAATTGATTCTCCTGTCTCAGCCTCCCGAGTAGCTGGGACTACAGGCGCCTGCCACGACGCTTGTCTAATTTTTGTATTTTTAGTAAAGAGGGAGTTTCACCATGGTTGGCCAGGCCGGTCTCGAACTCCTGACCTTAGGTGATCTGCCCGCCTTGGCCTCCAAAAGTGCTGGGATTACAGGCATGGGCCACCGCACCCGGCCAATGACTTTTTTAAAACATGCTCTTTTGAAACTCTCTCGTTTGTTCTTTCATCTTCCCTTCCACCACCATAAGCACTGCAGCTCCCTCAGGAAGCCATAGCATCCTTGTCTTCTGATTTTTACCTGATGATCATATACAGATATATATGTATACATATTTTTTGTGTGTGCCGATTTTTTTCCATGTCTATGCTCTCAAGAGGCAGGATGACTTTGTTGAGAGCAGAGCTAGGATGTAGGATCAAGGCTTTATAACATGACCTTGAATATTACCCTGATACCAAAGCCAGGCACCAGGAGAAAACTACAAACTAATGGCCCCTATGAATACTGATGCAAAGATTTTCAACAAAATACTAGCAAACCAAATCCAACAGCATATTAAAAGGACTATATACCATGATAAATTGGGATTTATTCCTGGGATGTGCAAGGATAATTCAACAAATGAACAGGATAAAGAGGAAAAACCACAAAATCATTTTAACTGATACAGAAAAGCATTTGACAAGATGTATCACCTTTTCAGATAATAACTTCTTCCAGCAAACTAGGAATAGAAGGAAAACACCTCAACATAATAAAGGCCATTATGCAAAACCCAGAGCTAAGATCATACTCAATGGTGAAAGACTGACAGGGCTTCCTCTAAGATAAGGAATGAGACAAAGGTGACCGTTTTTTGCCACTTGTACTCAACACAGAAGTGGAAATTCCAGCCAGAATAATTAGGCAAATGGGGAAAAAAAATCCAAATTGAAAAGGAAGAGGTAAAATTATCTGTTTACAGATGACATGATTATAGAAAAGTCTAACGAAAACAAACTATTAGAATAAACATATTTAGCAAAATTGTAGGATACAAAAATCAACATACAAAAATCAGCTGTGTTTCTATACACTAACAATAAATAATCCAAAGAGGAACTTAAGAAAACAATTCCATTTACAGCGGCATTAAAAAGAATAAACAGGAACACACTTAACCAACAAAGTCAAATACTTGTATACTGAAAACTGTAAATCATTCATTAAAGAAATTATAGAAGACGGGCCGGGCATGGTGGCTCACGCCTGTAATCCCAGCACTTTGGGAGGCCAAGGTGGGCGGATCACGAGGTCAGGAGATCAAGACCATCCTGGCTAACACGGTGAAACCCCGTCTCTACTAAAAATACAAAAAATTAGCCGGGCGTGGTGGCGGGCACCTGTAGTCCCAGCTACTCGGGAGGCTGAGGCAGAATAGCGTGAACCCAGGAGGTGGAGCTTAGAGTGAGCAGAGATCCTGCCACTGCAGCCCAGCCTGGGTGACAGAGCGAGACTCTGTCTCAAAAAAAAAAAAAAAGACATTCCAAGCTTATGGAATAAAAGACATACTATATTGTATTTTTAATTTTTCATTTTTTTTTGAGATGTTCTCCCATCCAGGCTGGAGTACAGTGCTACAATCATAGCTCACTGCAGCCTCCAACTTCTGGGGTCAAGTGATCCTCCTTGCTCAGCCTTCCATGTAGCTGTGACTACAAGCACACACCAACACACCCAGCTAATTTTTATATTTTTGGTAGAGATGAGGTCTCACTATGTTGCCCAGGCTGGTCTCAAGCTCCTGGCCTCAAGCAATCCTCCTGCCTCAGCCTCCCAAAGTGCTGAGATTACAGGTGTGAGCCAACACACCTGGCCAAAATATTGTTAAGATGTCATTACTACTCAAAGTGATCTATAGATGCAATACAATCACTATCAAAATCCCAACATTGGGCTGGGCGCAGTGGCTCACGCCTGCAATCCCGGCACTTTGGGAGGCCAAGGCGGGTGGATCACCTGAGGTCAGGGGTTCAAGACCAGCCTGGCCAACATGGTGAAACTCCATCTCTACAAAAATACAAAAACTAGCTGGGCGTGGTGGCATGCGCCTGTAATCCCAGCTACTTGGGAGGCTGAGGCAGGAGAATCGCTTGAACCCAAGAGGTGGAGGTTGCACTGAGCCGAGATGGCGCCACTGCACTCCAGCCTGGGCGACACAGCAAGACTCCGTCTCAAAAAAAAAAGAAAGAAAGAAAGAAAAAATCCCAACATTTTAGCAGAAACAGAAAAATAAATCCTCAAATTTGTATGAAATTGCAGGGGACCCCAAATCCAGAACAATCTTGAAAGAGAAGCACAAACTAAGAGAACTTACACTTCCTGGTTTCAAATCTTACTAAAAAGCTACAGTAAGCAAAACATTGTAGTGGTGGCATAAAGACAGACAGAGAGACCAACTGAACAGAACAGAGAGCCCAGAAATCAACTCTCCACACCATATGCGTCAACTGATTTTGGGACGCCAACACCCTTTCCAACAGGATCGTCTTCTCAACAAAATTATGTTGGAAAAACCAGATATCCACAAGCAAAAGAATTCAGTTGGGCCCTCAGCTTATAGCATATACACAAATTAACTTCAAAGTGGACCAAAGATCTAAAGTAAGTGTTAAAACTATAAAACTCTTAGAAGACTACATAGGAGAAAAGCTTCATGAGATTAGATTTGGCAATGATTTTTTGACATTACATGAAAGGCAAAGGAAAAATAAATTGAACTGCATCAAAATTAAAAACTTTTGTGCATCAAATGACACTATCGACAGAGTGAAAAGGCAACTCACACAATATTAGACATTATTTGTAAACCATCTATCTCCAAGGGATTACTATCCAGACTATATAAAGAACTGTAACTCAACAACAAAAACAACTCAATTGAAAAACGGGTAACGGACTAGAATTGACACATCTCCAAAGAAGATATATGACTGGCTCACAAGCATATGAAAAGCTGCTCAACTTCACTCATCACTAGGGAAATGCAAATCAAAACCACAGTGAAGTACCACTTCATGCCCATTAGGATGGATGTCATAAAAAAAAAAAAAAAAAAAAAACCCAGCTGGGCGCGGTGGCTCACGCCTGTAATCCCAGCACTCTGGGAGGCCGAGGTGGGCGGATCACACGAGGTCAGGAGATCTAGACCATCCTGGCTAACAAGGTGAAACCCCATCTCTACTAAAAATACAAAAAATTAGCCAGGCGTGGTGGCGGGCACCTGTAGTCCCAGCTACTCGGGAGGCTGAAGCAGGAGAATGGCATGAACCCGGGAGGCAGAGCTTGCAGTGAGCTGAGATCGTGTCACTGCATTCCAGCCTGGGTGACAGAGCGAGACTCCATCTCAAAACAACAACCACCACCACCAAACAAAAAAACAGAACATTGCAAGTGTTGGCAAGAACGTGAAGACACAGAAAACCTTACCTATTGCTGGTGGGAACGTAAAATGATACAGCTGCTATGGAAAACAGCATGGCAGTTCCTCAAATAATGAAAGATAGAATTCCTATATGATCCAGCAAGCCTACTTCTGGGTAGATAACCAAAGAACTAAAAGTAGGAAATTGAACAAATATTTGTATGCCTATGTTCAGAGGAGCATTATTCATAGTGGACAAAAGAGAGAGAAGCCAAGTACCCATCAGCAGATGAACGAACAAACAAAATGTCCACACAGGCAACGCAATGCAATTCAGCCTTAAAAAAGTAAGGAGAGTCTGACACGCTGCAGCATGGATGAACCTTGAGGTCATTATGCTAAGCGAAATAAAACAGTCACAAAAGCCTGGGTGCTGCGGCTCATGCCTGTAATCCCAACACTTTGGGAGGCTGAAGTGGGTGGATCGCCTGAGGTCAGTAGTTCAAGACCAGCCTGGCCAACATGGTGAAACCCTGTCTCTACTAAAAATACAAAAATTAGCCGGGTGTGGTGGCGGGGGCCTGAAATCCCAGTTACTCAGGAAGCTGAGGCAGGAGAATCGCTTGAACCTGGAAGGCGGAGGTTGCGGTGAGCCGAGATCGTGCCACTGCACTCCAGCCTGGGTCACGACAGTGAAACTCCGTCTCAAAACAAAAACAAACAAAAAACAGTCAGAAAAAGACAAATATTGTATGATTCCACTTACATGAGGTCCCTAGAGTCATCAAATTCACAGAGACAGAAATTAGAATGGTAGTTGGCAGGGGCGGAGGGGAGGGCTGATGGGGATTGAGTGTTTAATGAGGACAGATTTTTCCAGATGGGAAGATGTAAAAGTTCTGGAGATGGATGCTGGTGATTGCTGCACAACGAAGGTGCATAATGCCACTCAACTGTGCACTTAAAATTCATCAAAATGGTAAATTTGATGTTATACATATCTTACCCCAAGAATAAAAAGAAGTCTGATCATAGCACTTACCTTGAAATGGTGTTTGGAGAAAAAGGGCATATTGTCTGCATGGTCTGGACCCTCCTCACTCTGGAGCCGGCAGCCTCCCGGGTCCAGCTCCCAGCAATGCTGTGCCGGGTGGACAGAGCTGAGGTTCATGGTCACTGAGTTGCTGCCTGAAGGGCTCCAGACTCCAGATCCTTGATCTTTCCACGTGGAGCTCATGAGAGCTCCTGGATCTTCACCGGGGAGGTGCTATCTCCTGCCTTGGCCATTCCAAGGTTGGTTTTCCCAACAACCAGGGGGAAGGTGTGGGCGAACCTGGCAGCAGGCCGGGCCTCTTCCTCACCAGTAGCACCAGCTCCAGACTCCCATTCTCCAGTGTGAAAGACAAATGTCCCCCAACCCTAACGCCACCCACACATCTGCACAGACACCAGGCTTCATGGAGCGCAAGACGACTCACACAGTGGCCCAGGCCTTGTCACACGCAGTGAGGACAATCAGAGGAGCACGGTCACCGCTCAGGCCTGATGCCAGCAGGACACCCACCAGCTGCCAGATGAGCACGCAATCACTCCTCATTTGCAAAGCACGGCTCCCATCATTCCAGAACCCAAGACACTGTCTCACAAAGACAGCTCTCTGCAAGGAACTGGGAAGTAACTTGAGTCCAGTCAGACCGGCAAAAATCAGTCCCTCGGCCTTGACCTGTGAGCAGCATGTGGGCTTGGAATCAGGCTGGACGGGCTTCCCTCCCAGTTTCTCCACAGCTGCTCCAGGCCTGGGACAAGCTTCTCACCTTCTGTGAGCTGGAAACCCCCTCTCTATAAAGTGGGGAACCACCCCTCTGGGCTGAGGGCTGGAGCCCAGCACAGAGACCTTGATGGTAGCTGCCAGTACCGCCCACTGCAAACCAGCCTGCACCCAGGCCATAACCCAGCAACACAACTGCGATCTCAAGCTGCCAAGGGACATCTTGTCAAGGCCCTTTCATTTGACCCTGTGGTGGGATTTGGGTAAACTCAGCTGTAATCATCATTCCGTGGTAGCCTGGAACAATGGAGGGTAAATGAAAGGCAAGGAGAGTCAAGGGCTGGAGAAGGTTCTGTGGCCTGCGGCAGAGGTCCAGAGAGGGCTCCGTGCTGCCCCCGTCCCCTGGGGCCTGTAAAGGGCCATCTTCCTCGAAGAAGATGTTTCTGACATCATGGCGTGTGCTCCTTGGGGACTGCCCCTCCCACACGAGGGCAGGCCTGGCTGAAGGTACACACTGGATGAAGGACAATGAGGAGGTAGAGCTGGGTACAGAGTGCTTCATGCTGAGCCTCCGGGCATGCTTCGTGTACACTCCGCACACTCTCCACACACACACGTTACATGGCAGCAGTCCTGAAACACATGAAGATAGCTGAGGGCTCCGAGAGTCTGGCATGCCGACCCGCTGCTGAGATCAGGCCGCCATTCTGAGAGTCCCGCACGCCGACCTGCTGCTGAGGTCGGGCCGCCATTCCTCATCAACTTGACTGAATATGCTCTGAGCTGGCTTCCCAGGTGCCAAGTCATGGCCTCCCCTGTGATCACAGCAGCACTGTGCCTGCCCAGGCAGCGCACGCTGTCACCAAGAGGCTACGCTGAGGAGCCCACACTGTCTCTGGGGCCTCTGGTTCCCAAGGGGCTAGGGACATTGAGAGGGAAGAAACCCCTCATGGAAACAAGCATTTTAACATAAACAAGGGACAATAAACCCTTTTATAAAATATTTATTCTAAAAAAAAAAATCACACTGTACAAATTTAGATAGAACATTATCAATGCTCAGATTTATAAAAATGGGAACAGAAAGACTAAAGCTAGCGAAGGAACGTACATTTCTGTTTTGTCTTTTTAAATTAGGAAGGTAAAAGTGATTTTTTCTTCAGGTGCAGTGATAGTAAATGTCTAGAAGACATCCGAAGAGCCAGAAATAAAAAGCACAGGAGCCGCCTGCAGACTCTCAGAGTTCTGTCTTCACCCACTGAATCCGAAGTGGATGCGTGTGGCGCTCCCGCAGGGTGGCCTGGCCCCGTGGATCCACGCCGAACGCTCAACGAGATTCCCAAGGCTGGCTGTGTACAGCCTAAAACTTTGTGCTCAGAGAAAAACCAGCATGATGGGTTCATCAACTCCTGTTTCTCAAACAAAATGAGTTTTCTGTACACTTGTTACAAAGGTCTGTACAAAAGCACGAAGCTGCTGTGAGGTGTTATTTCCGAAAGAGTTAAAAATGGATGGAAGGGAGCTGTTCGTACAGTTCCGCCTGTACATTCACAGAGGGAGGACACCATAAAAAAAGGACTCACTCAGAAATTCCAGACCGGAGAATCCTGGCTTCTTAAAAGATTATTTTGAAAGCTTGGAATAAGTTTCAGCTCTGCCATTTCCAACCGCTTCGCCCAGCATCGTCATAGTTCAGCTTCCTCTAAAACTATATTCTCCCTTTCTTACACGCAAACTACCAGGAAAATAACCGCAACCCAGTGAAACTATGGGGCTTCTGTGAATATAAGGAACGAGGCAGGGAGAAGTCGTAAAAGCTGCGGGCTCAGAGCCCGGAGCGCCCTTCACATTCCGGGTGGCCGTGGCGGCCACAGTCACAGCCAGGGGTGCCAGGCGGGGTCCATGCGGCACAGATTGTCCAGGCTGTTTGCCGCGGCCACCAGGGTGTTCACCTTGCTTTCCCCGCCTTCGAACTGGGCGAGGTTGTGCAGGCGGGTCATGATGGCGGTGACGGCTTTCTGAACCAGGGACACCAGTTGCTGGCTGTCCATGTTCTCTGGCTGCCCGGCGGCCGAGAGAGGAGAGGACGTGTCCTCTTGTGTTTTTTTGTGCCAAGCAATGATCTCGTCCCGGAGAACCGTTTTCAGAATGCCATCCACCTGCGTGAGGGAGAGAACGAGACGACTTGTGTTTAACCAAGAACAGCCCACAGGGGCAGCTTCCTAACAAGGTGGGACTCAACCACAGCGGCCGCTCAGGGCCACCAAGGGCCAGTCGAGTTTCAGCACCAGGCCAGGCTGTGTGCCCTCAGGACGGGCTGGGGAAGCCGCTGGGGGACAAACCCCTTCCTCCACTTGGAGCAGCAGCCAGAAGGCCTCAGTGTTGGGCAGCGCGGACCTAGATGACAAAGGCAGCCATGCTGCGACTGAGGCCCAATCTGTTTATTTGTTCACTTGACACCTTCCGGCATCTGCCGAGTGTCAGGCAGGCCCGTTCCAAGCACTACAGACAAGAGTGAACCAAAGAGAAAACCATCCCTTGCCCTCACAGCAAAGGACATAACACACAGGGGTGCTGGCCACTGTGGAGAGCGCAGAGCCCGTGAGGCACATCAGCAGCTCCTGCAAGGCCGTGACGCGCGGGCATCTGAGTGGCTCTAGCCTGCGCCTGTGATAGGACGACGTGGAGACCCACCTTAAAGTTTGGCTGGGCGAAGCACCGGGCGACCGCAATCATGGACGCTGTCAACGGGCCGGAGACCCCGATGGTGGTCAGAAACTCAGAAATGTTGGGCGTGAGTCGAAATGGGACAGGACGGTTGGCATCCAGGTCTCCAGTCGCGTCGTTTATGTCAAATCGAAAGTAGGCAACATTCAGTTTGCCAGTGTCCTAAATTTCAGAAGGAGACACTTTAGGAACTTCAGCAGAAAGGCGATGTCACGAGGAGAGGATCTGGCTGTTCAAAGCAGGTTACCTGAGCGATCTGTAACATCTCGGGGTTGAGTCTATTTAAATGCAGGACGAATTCCGCGAAGCCTATCAGAGCCAGCTGGATGGTGAACATCTTCCGGAACGTCCAGTAGTCCGTGGCATTGGGGAAGGTGTGCAGCGCCCACTCCTTGAGCATGCTGCGCGGCACCATGTTACTCTGAACCTCCTTGAGGATGTCGCGGAGGACCTGAAACACAGCGCTCCGTGACACTCCCATCTCACTCACTGATTTTTTTTGGAAAAGAAAAATTCTCAAATTGCAATTCCTCTTTAACTTAGCACCAAGAGCAAATTCTGTAAATTCTGGTGACAGATTTAACGCACGCATTGTTAGGAGACTGAAGGCGAGGAGGCACAAGATGGCTGTTTCCCTCCAGGGTTCGCCACTGTCTGCTCTAAAGCACCAATGCGGCTGGTCTGCGTCAAAGCTGCAGTTACCTAATATGCGATACCTGACAAGAATGCAGGTAAATATCTGAACATTTCCACCCTTGCTGACTATGGAATATATCAGGCCAATTAACAGAACACAACAGCTGGACAACAGCAGCACCACTTCCAACCAAGACTTTATACTAATGACAGATGTTTCACAAACTGAAGGAGCTGGTCTAACCACACACACCACACGAGAGACTGAACTCTGTACTAGAGACTCATAGACTACTGCAGACATCACCAACTCAGTAAGAGTTCACTCAGTTAATGGACTTCCCGTTCGACCATCTGGTACAGGCCATCTACGGGGTCTTTTCCCAGCTTAGTCCTACCCACGTGCTCTGTGGGAATGGCTGTGAGAAAGCAGGCCCTTCTGCCGGCAAGAACAAGGGAGGCCACCGGCGACACATGCAGTTTGTTTGTTTCCTCATCCGTCAAATGGGAAGAAGCACTTCTGAGACTGCAAAGGAGTTCCAAAATCTGCTCCTTAAGCAGTGAGAATGCTGGCAAAACCATCAAAATCAACTTTGTCAGAACTCTAGAAATTAAAGGCTTACAACAGTCTGGAGGAGCTTTTTTATTTAGTTAAAAAACAAAACAAAACAAAAAAGCCTGGGCTGGGCGTGGTGGCTCACGCCTGTAATCCCAGCGCTTTGGGAGGCCGAGGTGGGTGGATCACGAGGTCAGGAGTTCAAGACCAGCCTGGCCAACATGGTGAAACCCCATCTCTCCTAAAAATACAAAAATTAGCCAGGTGTGGTCACAGGCACCTATAATCCCAGCTACTCAGGAGGCTGAGGCAGAAGAATCGCTTGAACCCAGGAGGCGGAGGATGCGGTGAGCCGAGATCGCGCCATTGCACTCCAGCCTGGGCAACAACAGCGAAACTCTATCTAAAAAAAAAAAAAAAAAAAAAAAAAGAGAAGAATGAAGGAGTAGAATAAATAACAAAATAAACAAGAGGAGGAAGCGGCTCTGAAGCTGGATTCCTCTGTGCTGTGGGCATCTCCCTCTGCCTATAGGCCCTGGCAGCTGCTAAGCTGGAACAAACTGCCTAGTCGGTCACTCACGCTGTTTAGAAACAGGATGACTCTGAGGTCAGCATGTATTTGTCACTGGCTTCCACGCTGTCGAAAGTTAATGTCGCCTTAAGAATATAATCCATTCCTCTCCTGCAAATACCTCAGAACTGCCCATCATCCACAGAATGACCAGGCCATGGCCTGTGCCACAAAAAAGCCCTGGTGTCAATTCCCAAGAGAGGCCATGAACTCTGTCAACAGAGGCTGATCAGAAACAGGGATCCATGCCTCTGCCTGCACAGAGCTGGAGGCTGCACCTGATGCTGCAGCCTGGAATACCTCGGGCCCTGCCGTGCCCTGGGCCACAGAGTACACCATGGGCTCAACCTTCCTCAACCAAACTAAGTCCTCCAGGAGCCAGGAGAACTGGAACAAGTCCCTGGGTGACTCGGGACAAGGTCACAGCATCCACCTCTGTGGTCTCTCCTTCTTGGGACCCATAGAAAGGACCACGGGGCACCCAGGGAGAGGCCAAAACAGCTGCCCCTGGGTGCCCCACACAATCCCCCAAAAATCTCCCCACCTAAAGCCCATACCTGCCCTGCCTCCTACCAAGGGCAAAAACGTGCAGGTGAATGAGGGGCCTCTGTACCTCCGAGGGGCTGCAGGCCAGGGCCACCCAAGACTCCTGCGGGCACCATGCTCCGGGCTCAGGCAACCGAAACAGCTGGGCCCCATGCACTCCAGAGTCTGTCGCTTTTTGTATTTTAGAAAACAGCACACATGCTGCACATCGCCTAACACCTCCAGCAGCAGACCAGGTGAACAGGAACATGAAGTGGATGAATGAAGCCTATAAACAGCCTCCCATCACCTCAGATCAGGTGTGGCTGTCAAGTGAGCCTGCCAGAAACTTACTTTAAAATTCTAATTTCGGCGCTTCTTTGTAAGTACAGGCAGAGGGCAAGGGGCCTCTCCAAGGTCGAGGACTGACCCGTGTCTGGTCATAACAAACCGTCCACGACAAGTGTCCTCTCACCAAGGTCAATAGCTGTCTCATTTCCACCATCTCATGAGTCTAATAAAGTTACTTTAAATGACAGAGGTGGCCCCCAACAAATGCCTGTTCATCTCCTAAACACCCCTGTCTCCAGGCACTGCCCCACACAGGAGGGCTGCAGGCGGCAGCTCGGCCCCCGGCCCGGCCCCACTGCTACCTGGTGGCTGGCTTGGGTTCCCCGCGCCTGCACCGTAGCCAGCCGGTCATAGTAACGGGAGATGGGGTTGTCATGCTCGATGCCCTTCTTGGCGCAGCGCTGCTTGTAGATCTCCACAAGGGAAAGTGAAGAGGGGTTGTCCTCCACGAGGCGCATCTGTGGGGAAACTGCCACAACCCGGGGCACTGGGGAGAGAGGAAGAGAAACGGGGCAGGCTGAGGGTGACCGCGGGCCAGTGCTCAGCTCCACCGTCAGAGTGCCACTGGGAGCAGAGCTGACCCGGCTCTGTATGCCTTGGGGGCTTAGCTGGAAGAACCCGGTGGTCATGCACCATCCATTTGCTCAACAGATGGCATGAGGCTCTGACGGCACGAACTGATCGTCACCTTGTGTCCACAAACAGAAATGCTTTAGAAGGCAATCTTAAAAAGACATCTTGGCCGGACACAGTGGCTCACGCCTGTAATCACAGCACTTTGGGAGGCCACAGTGGGCGGATCACGAGGTCAGGAGATCGAGACCATCCTGGTCAACATGGTGAAACCTCGTCTCTACTAAAAATACAAAAATTAGCCGGGAGTGGTGGCAGGTGCCTGTAATCCCAACTACTCAGGAGGCTGAGGCAGGAGAATCACCTGAACCAGGGAGTCAGAGGTTGCCTTGAGCCGAGATCACGCCACAGCACTCCAGCCTGGCGACAGAGCGAGACTCCATCTCAAAGAAAAAAAAAAAAAAAAGACATCTTAAAAAAACAAAAAATAAAGGATAGCCTATAGTCCCAGCTACTCGGGAGGCTGAGGTGGGAGAATCGCTTGAGCCCAGGAGTTGGAGGCTGCAGTGAGCTGTGACTGCGCCACTGCACTCCAGTCTGGGTGACAGAGCAGGACCCTGTCTAAAAAATAAGAATAAACATGGCTGGCCATGGTGGCTCACGCCTGTAATCCCAGCACTTTGGGAGGCCAAGGTGGGTGGATCACATGAGGTCAGGAGTTTGAGACCAGCCTGGCCAACATGGCAAAACCCCATCTCTACTAAAAATACAAAAATTAGCCAGGCGTGGTGGTGCGCACCTGTAGTCCCAGCTACTCGGGAGGCTGAGGCAGAAGAATTGCTTGAACCCAGGAGGTGGAGGTGGCAGTGAACTGAGATTGCGCCACTGCACTCCAGCCTGAATGAGAGAGTGAGACTCCGTCTCAAAAAACTAAAAATAAAAAAAAACAGACTCTGCCAAATGCTCACTCTTAGAGGCTTTCCTTAATCAGAGTCTATGGGAAGAGTCCGGCCTTCCTGCTCTGAGACAGCTGCTGTCTAATGATGCAAACTTGTCTTTCAGCACCTAGGACGGCTGTGCCCCATCTTTGGAGGAGGAAAATCATCCCTCAGGTCATCTTCTGTGTTCTGTCCACATAAGGAAAGCAACCAGCATCAACCTGATCGTCTAGCCCCATTAATGTGTAAATCCCTGTCCACACATGGTGACCAGTACTCTGTTCCCAATCACCATTCGGTATTGGAGATGCAGTTAATCTACAACCTGCCAGACAGGATGCTAACCTGCACCGAAACCACTGTGGTCTGAGTCAGCTGGAGGCGGCAGGAGCGCTGGGCGACCACTCCAGAGCCTGTCTCCCCAGTGACGTCACCTTGGGGAGCAGCACCAGACTTGTGTGCAGTTTCTCTTCCAAAAGTGGGATAATAGTACCTACCCCATAGGGTTGTTTGTGGATTAAATGAGATAATACTTTGTGAAGATACTAGGTTCAGGGAATATTCAGATATCTTGTTGCAATGAAGTTGGAGGGAGCTGAAAGATTTCCAGAAGATGGCAGATTAAGCCTGCCCGGTGAGGGTCCCAGTGGCAGCTGTGTCCCAGCCACTGTAACCCCTGACGTGGAGTCAGGGGCATGTGAAGTGCACACAGATGATTCTGACTTCTGTGAACCAAGTGGCTGATTCTGTCTAATGTCAGTTAAGCCACAGCTGATGGCTTGCTGTCCTGGCGTCTACCCATAAAGAAATCCCCAAATGACTCCAGGACACACATTAGGACCACCATTCTGTGCTGACCAAGCATTTGGAAGCAGAGAAATCAATAACCCACAGCTGGAATCAACACTACAGGTCATGTTATATACATGTTAAAACATACACAGCTTTCTGTGATGCATTTTGAGCTTTCTTTAGGCTTTTAAAAAAATCTTATTTTGAGATATAAAAAAATTAAGGGTCAGAGATTTCAGGTCAAAAGGGGCTGATCACAGCTTTGGTGGCAAAAGAAAGTTCCATAAAGGACTAGATAACATACATTGCAGCGGGCTCCCGACTTCAGGGATTACATGCTAAAAAGTCATCAAAGTGGCTCTCTTCTCTGGATAACATTATAAGCATCTCATCTACGTGCCGGTACAATCAGGCCACTCACGATAACTCAGTGACAAAGACTTCATTCAGAGGTTGCTTATCAGCTATTTGTGTCCCCCTGGCAATTTCTGTGGCCTTAACAGGGCAGCTAGACTTTCCCGAGTCCTGCATTTCACCCAGGAATGAAATTCAGGGAGGGCCCAGAGTGCAGCGTGTGAAGCAGCTAGAGGCGCGCTGGAAACCTGATGCATGCTGCTGCCTCGCTGGCGCCCAGGCTCGGCCGGGGTGGTTTCACTTCTCCTCCCAGCAGCCTGGGTTCCCGGGAGGAGAAGCAAAACCGGCAGCACCCACTGAGACGCCCCAGCTCTCCAGGGGCCCACTCCGTAGAGTGCAAAAGACCTTAGAACAGGGATGTCCAATCTTTTGGCTTCCCTGGGCCACATTGGAAGAATTGTCTCAGGCCACACATAAAATACACTGACACGACAGGTGATGAGCTAAAAAAGAAAAAAAAAAAGAAAAAGAAATCTCATAATGTCCTAAGAAAGTTGACGAATTTGTGTCGAACCACATTCAAAGGCATCGTGGGCCCCATGGAGCCCGCAGGTTGGACAAGCTCGCCTTAGAGGAAAGGTGGACACAGCTCTCATCTCTCAGTGAGAAGCCTGAAGGCCTGGAGCTGCTCCTCTTCCTGAGGCCTTCCCTGGTCAGCACAGACTACAACATTCTCTGCTGACGCAGCTGGACCCTCAAAGGCTAACGTGAGCTGCCTGTGCACCCCACGAGGTGTGGCTCTCATCCCCACCTGTGAAGCTGCCTGTGTACCCAGCGAGCTGTGGCTCTCAACCCTACCTGTGAAAAACAAGTGCCTCTTGGTGGTCTCCTTTCTCTTCTCCAAACAGGGGTTCAGCAGACGCAGCAGCTGCAACACACGCTCCTCTCGCCGTGACTCTGTGAGGCAGGCGTCGTTCATGACGAGGTATGGGTAGATCTTGCCATTGTGTCCCCGGATGTACAGCCGCCGGGCTGCGGTGTTGTGCTTCTGCACAATCTCTACCCGGGGCATGAACCTGCCAGAGCGAGAAGCCATGAGGACATGCCCTGCATCTCTGCTACCAGTCCTTGTCTTGAGAAGAAGCTAGGAATGTCCGAACTGTCACGGGAAAACGGACTGTGTAGGCCAGCGGTCGTTTATCAATTTATTTGTACCCTGCCTCACCCTGATGCGGTGTAAATGAGTCACAATATTTTCAATTCAGCAGCCACGGACGGAAGTCAAGGAGGAGGGAGAGCTGGCCAGGACAGGAGCCAGATTTGGAGGAAAGGGCAACTAAACTCTGGACATATAGAAAAGCAGAGCTGTGTCTGGTTCAGAAATAAAGACGAAACACACTTTTTGTTAAAAGAAACCTCTTCAAAGCCCTTTCAGCATTTCAAATGAGATGCAGCACACTCTAGGAAATGCTACAATCATCTGATTCTGCCTCAATACTGTGCTTCGAGGATTTACAAGAGTGGGACACACACTGTTTTGTCAAGTTCTATGGTGACTCGGAAGAAGGTCTGCTGAATGCAAACCCAGACTGCACTCAGGACAGCTAACCAGTCAGCGCGGGCAGAACTTGTAAAGTGCCTGACCACTTACATTCCAGAATCATCTTATGTTCTCCCATGTCAGGGAATCTGTGTCCAAAATTCCCCACAGGGTCCACCCTGGAGCTCCCATGGGGCTCCATGTCCATGGGCGCCGTGGGTTAGTTCCACCTGCCAGGCTGGCCCACTCACCGTGCAATCTTGATGTAATAATGCGTTGGCTTTGGCATCAGAAACTCCCCAGGAATTTCCACTTCAGCTGTCTGTGCCGAGAAATTGCTCAAGAACCGGCACTTTTCCTCTATGAGGAAGAATTTGGGGAGTTGCTTGGTCTTGGCCTCCAAGATTTTGATCCACTTTTTCAACTTAGAAATAAGATTATGAAGCTTCATGGATCCTGGAACGCTGAAGTCAAAATCTTAAAAATAAAACATGATTAAAAACGTTTTTAGTCATCTGGGCCAGTTCTAACACACTGCAAAAAACGCTCAAGCCCCTACCAGCTACGAATTACATGTTTTGTTTGTTTGTTTTGAGATGAAGTTTCACTCTTGTTGCCCTGGCTGGAGTGCAGTGGTGCGATCTCCGCTCACTGCAACGTCCGCCTCCCGGGTTTCAGTGATTCTCCTGCCTCAGCCTCCCGAGTAGCTGGGATTACAGGCACCCGCCACCAGGCTTGGCCAATTTCTTTTTCTTTTGTATTTTTAGTAGAGACAGGGTTTCACCATGTTGGCCAGGCTGGTCTTGAACTCCCGACCTCAGATGATCCGCCCACCTCAGCCTCCCAAAGTGCTGGGATTACAGGCGTGAACCACTATGCCCAGCCGAATTACACGTTTTATACATGGTGTGGAGCAAAACATTTTATGTCCCTTGCTCCCCAAGAGGCTGACAGAACAAGAGAAGCCCCGTCAGGGACCTCCCACCGCGTGGAGAGGAAGAGGAAGAGAGGAACCACCAGCCTGAAACCCCATCCCCAACCCCACAGGCCCTTCCGGGAACAATGCCGTTGAGGCAACGTCTACCTCAGTGTGTGAGGCTGGGGCCCTGGGAGACACAGGAGCCTGAGGGCGGCCTGTGAAACCCAACAACCAGGAGCCCGTGTCACCAGGGCCTGAAGACCAGCATCCAACGGCAACCCCGCCTCTGAGCACAAGTGTCACACGGAGCCCTAGGTCTCGTGTCAAAGCTGATATTGTAATCAAAGTGAGCCTAAGGCAACGGAAACGACCACCCAGGAGATAGATCCTAAATGAGCCATGAGAAGGAACTAATGCAGGATACCAAAATGGCAAAAGCCAAAAACATTTTTCACTGAAGCAATTCAAAAATCCCTGGTTAATATATTTCTCAGGCCACTCATATTAAAATGTCTTTCTGTAGAACGCCTCGACTTCCTCCCAGACGAGCGCCAGTGCTGGAAGGAGCCTCGTCACCCTAACTCACCAGGGCGACTGGAGGTCAGGACGAACCCAACCAAAACTGCAGCAAAGCAGGGGCCCTGGGGGAGCCACGAGGAGGCACCGTCCCCAGGGCTGGCGTCCTGAGCCCAAATGGAATGCTGGCTGAGTCGTGGCGGGAGACATGCCAGCTTAGACCTTGGAGCACGCCGCTGAACCTCTTAGGGCCTCACTTTTCTAACCCGTGGTATAGGAACGGGAATAATTTAACACCTGCCCCGAAAGGATGAAATTAAACGAGGCAGCGCACATGAGGCGCTGGGCATAACACCCAGCTATTCAAGTGGCCTGACCATCCCTGCCCACGCGTGATAACACCCAGCTATACGAGTGGCCTATTCCTGACCATGTCTGAACTTGGCTGTCCACAAATGTCATTGGTTTCATGAAAGCCAATGTATTTTGTGTGTGTGTGTTTTTTTTTCATAGCACTTGTCTGGTTTCCCTTTCATTTTAAGCTCTGTGGCACCTCCCTCCTCTGCATTCCTCACAGTGCCAGGACTCCACACAGGCAGGTGGCTGGACAGGCTGCTGTGCACCAAGGTGAGATCCCCCAGCAGAGCCGCGAGAGACAGAGGCCACCACCAAGGACGCAGGCCACCTCATTGTTCCCTCTCCACGCTGGACCAAGAACGTGCTGCCAAGCTCATGCCTGATCTCTTTTTAACTTTTATTCTGAAATTCCTAGAGATTCACAACAGGATGCAAACAAAATATACAGAAAGTCCCATGTACTCCTAACCCTCTTCCTCCCACACCAGCATCCTATGCAACCCAGTGCGATGCCAACACCAAAAAGTGACATTGGCACAGTCCAAAGAGCTGAAGAGCTGATTCAGACTTCACCAGTTATGTGTGCACGTGTGTGTGCGCACATGTGTGTATGCATGCGCACACCTCTGGTCATGTCACTGTGTGGCCTCGCAGAGCCACCAGCACAATCAGTTGCTGAGCTGCACCATCAGCACGGGATGCCCTTGGCTGCCCTTCACAGCTACCACCCACCCCCACCACCCCACCCCCCCGCCTCTCCCCTGCATCCCGAACACCTGGCCAGCATGAATCCCTTCTCCGTCTCCACTGTGGTATTTCACAATTAAGAATCCCTCAGTACACATCCAAGTTGGCTTTTTGCACTCAGCATGATTTCCTGGAGGTTCACCCACGTTACTGTGTATCAATAATTAACTCCTCATTGCTGAGGTGTTTCTAATGTATTCAATACCTTCTGAAAGGGCATCTGCATGGTTTCCAGTTTTGAGCTATTATAAATAAAGTAACAAAGGCTCTGAATATTTGTGTACCAGTTCCCACATGAATGGAAGTCTTCATTTCTGTGGGATAAATGGAGTGCGCCATTTCTGAGCTTTCTTCCACCTCTTTACAGACATGTGGTTGGCAGCCCACACATGCAGCTCTGCTAGAGAATCGGACTGCATTCCACGAACGGAACACAGACAAAGAGACAGAAACAGCCTCCCCTGTGTACAGGAGAGCGGAAGGTGGATGAGCTCTGGCTGTGCGTGTCTGAGACCCACTGCACTTTGAGATGAGTCAGGAGCCTCATGCTGACTTTTTCCAGTTTTGGTTTTGTGATTTTTTATTTTTTTTTACATCAAAAGCCAGAAGATCTATCCCATTTCTGATTCTCTACTTTTTTGATTTAATAATGTGGACATTTTAAGATAAAAGCATGCTGAATACCACCATTTCTTTCAAGTAAAATATGATTTCCATAAAACTTTCATCTCGGACTCTTCCGTTCTCAGAAGGGTGAAAGACCACACATCACACACACTTCACAATAAGCCTGAGGAGATGAAAGCGCTTCACGTATAGACGGGGAGGACCGGGCTTGCCCTTCACTTTTCAAAGAGCACCTCCCTCAGCTGTGGGTTCACCTAAGGCAAGCCCAACCCACACATCACGAACAGGGAGCTGCGCCCCCAGACTGCCTGGAGCAACTGCAGGGCACACGCCACACTTCAGCTGGATGCAACCTCGATGCAACCCTGGTCACAGCTATGGCTGTTGAGTGTCCTTTCCGATTAAGGAGATGAAGATTTTCTTTTATGTGACTTAATATTAACTGTGTCATCTAGGACACAATGAGTCTTTAGGAGATTCTTTGAATACCACACATGTGAACCACTTAGTCTACGATTTAACCCATCAGTGAAGAAAGAACGTGGCAAAGATCATTACAAAAGCGCTAAGTTGGGCACTGCAGGGCAGCTGGAAGGTATGGTAGGGACCACACTCTGGGTGTGCAAGGCAGAGAAGGGGGCCGGGCCAGAACTGCTCAGTGGGCTTCGATCCCCCAAACTCGAGACAGGGTGCCCCCAGCCCAGCCTGGCCACGACCCTTCAGGGTGCTGATGAGGAAGGGAAAGGTGTGGGCCCTGCTCCTTCAGGACACCCCAGGCTGGCCCATTGCTCACAGGCCCACACAGCGCCCTCTGATCCCAGCGCTGGGGCAGAGAGCTAGGCTGCGGCCTGCCCCACTTGTTGGTCAGTTGCCCAAGTGACGCCGGCTGGCGAGTGCTGGAGACGGCGGCAGTGGCATGCTGAACCCAGACCAGGGCTGGCCCCAAGGCTGGAGTGCGCAGAGTGTGGCCTGGAAGAATGAAAAAGAGTTTCGCAGGCTGGAGGGAAACACTGTGGAGGAGGGGCTTCCCTCACTGGGGTAGCAGTTTCCGGCTTGCCCCACATGGCAGGATTTCCATAGTATATGTAGTATGAGTTCTACATCTTGGCCTGTTACCCGGCTTTGGCAGTCTCATCTCCACCACCTGGAGAATAAATGGGATCTGCACGAACTCCACTCTAAACTGAAATACATGGCCGGGCAGTGACTCACACCTGTAATCCCAGCACTTTGGGAGGTCGAAGTGGGTGGATCATTTGAGGTCAGGAGTTCAAAACCAGCCTGGCCAACGTAGTGAAACCCCACCTGTACTAAAAATCAAAAATTAGCCAGGTGTGGTGGCACGTGCACCTGTAATCCCAGCTACTCGGGAGGCTGAGGCGGGAGAATCACTTGAACCTGGGAGGCAGAGGTGGCGGTGAGCTGAGATCACGCCACTGCACTCCAGCCTGGGCAACAGAGCAAAACTCCACCTTAAAATAAATAAATAAATAAATAAACAAACTGAAATACAGATTGCGGTGCTGACATCCTTTTTTTCTGATTGTTATTAACAATTCCTCATAAAATTAAATGTTGTCAGAAGACTGAGAAGCTCAGGAGGTGAGCTGCTGGCCCTGGCGAGTATTTAAGATGGAGATGAATTCGGAAAAGCAAAGCCTGTCTGAGGTGGAGAAATCAGCATCGATCGGGATTTGCCACAGAACTTCAAGTTATTTGTGAGCGGCAATTCAGATGAGTGCCCCCAGAATAGTAGCTTTGAATATACCATTTGCTTTCTCCCTCCACTTGTGCTGAACTCTGAACTGCCACCAGATTATCCATCCTCCTTCCCACCTTCATTCACACTTAGTGGCAAATTGCTGTCACCAACTCAGCTCTCTGCTCTATGCAAGCACTTAGACAACCTATGGGAAGAACACAGTGGCAGTGGGATCCTGTCTGCCTGGATGCAGTTTCTTAAGCAAGAGACCCTGGTGCACCCCAATATTGTCTCTCCCTCTGAGCTCACGATAAGTTCTCAGGAAAAAGTGCCGAGAAGGATAGCTCAAGCCCCTCCCATCAGAGCTAGATTTTGGAGGAGCTGCTGGATCTCATGTAGATCAAGAGGAAATTGTGGATGAGAGAGCTGTGCAGGATGTGGAATCACTGTCAAGTCTGATCCAGGAAATCTTGGACTTTGATCAAGCTTAGCAGATAAAATGCTTTAATAGTAGACTGTTCCTGTACGACATCTGTTTCTGCGAGAAGCTGGGCAGTGAATGCATGTACTTCTTGGAGTGAAGCCTGTGTACTGCAAAGCCTATCTGAAGGACTGCTTTGAAATCCAGATCAGAGATGGCCAGGTTCAATGCCTCAACTGCTCAGAACCAAAGTGCCCTTCGGTGGCCACTCCTGGCCAGGTCAAAGAGCCAGCGGAAGCAGAGTTCTCTGCCCGTCATGGCTGCCTTCTCCTCCCATCCACCTTGGAGCTGGTGGCAGATGTGGTGTGCTGCCCCCGCCTGTGGGGGCCTGCAGGGCCTGGCTGTACCACGGGCATCTGCTCCAGCTGTAACTTTGCCTTCTGTACCTTGTGCAGACTGACCTACCATGGGGCCTCTCCATGTAAGGTGATGGCAGAGAAATTAACAGACTTACAAAACGAATACCTGCAAGCAGATGAGGCCAAGACAAGATTTCTGTAACAGAGGTAAGGTAAGAGGGTGAGTCAGAGGGCACTGGAAGAGATGGAAAGAAAGGAGTGGCTAGAAGAGAACTCGAAGAGATGCCCATGCTGTGGAATTCACATAGAGAAGTGAGGTGGATGCCATGTACTGGCTGCAGGCTCTATTTCTATTGGGTCGGCATGGGTTCTCTCTCTAGCAACCCCTTACAAACATTTCGCCAACCCTACTTCACCGTGTTGTAACCGGCTGTTTCATGCTTGGATATGAATGGAGACATTGGGGAAGATGAGATTGAAGACTAGTTAACTACTGCTCGAGCTATGGAAGTGGATTGGTTTTCCCTAATCTTTCGTCAAGTACACAAAGTAACCTCACAGGATATTTACAGTACTATTCATTCACTCTTCCTGTGTAGAAGAGATGGAAGAACATGGCTTATATTTTCATCTGGTGAAGGAGCATTCATACTTTTTTTTAATGTAAGTTGAGAAAAAAATTCTAAGCCAAAGGTTCAGAAAATGAAGCTACAGAATATTAAATATTATAATGTGCTCAAAGCTCTGAAAAGTTAAAAATTAAATATTTATTTTCTTCCCCAAGCTTTAGGTAAGGAGAAGAGGGGTCAAGAGTTAAACTTAGAGCCCTTCTGTCTCTGGGAAGCACCCCTGTAAGACACTGTGTTGGAGCTCCCTCAGTACTACTCCCTACAACTGGGGTGGGTAGAAAAGCCTTACGGAAATTATACTGAGAGCCTGATGTACTTCATGTTACTCACATTCCTTCCAGCCTAGGTTTCTGCCAAGTCAGTCCTCTTTGGAGGGAGCCGTTTAGTCTGTAACCGACTGGATGGTGCAGCATCATTTTGATCTACTGCTTTTCAGAATATAAACTTATAATAATTAAAAAAATGTAATACCACAAACACTGTGGATCACTTGGTATTTATTAGTGGTGTATGTGGTCCACTGGTTTCAGGCCAAATCTAGAATTTAGTGATAATGACTCAGGAAGAATTTAAGTTCGATTCAATTTTCCTGGGCAGTAGAGCCTAGACTTAAGGTGACTTGTCTTTGCTACGTTTGTTCCACATTCTCTTTCTTTACCTTCTGCGTGTGGGGACAATTTTAATATTAATTCCAGCAACACATGATTTTATTTCCTCTGCTGGACTAGGAGAAAGCCTAATATATTTCCAAGCTGAATGTTCCTGAATTATCTGCATTTTGAGCCTGTCTATACCACTGTAGTTCCACTCTTAACTTTCTGAATTCTTTTAAAAGATCTTCTCTAACAAGCTATGGGAATTCGGCTTCCTACTCTAATTTTTTTTTTTTTTTTTTTTTTTTTTTTTGCAACAGCAGTGTTTTGGGTGATAATTTTGGACTGATACCTACTCCTTTTTCTGGATTTTGTTGCCTTTTTGAAAAACTGTCTTTCCTTATAGTTAGGTGAGTGGCTTGGTAGTAAAGTAAGATTTTTTGGAAAAGGGGACAGAAAAACTGAACTGCAGCTTGAGAACATATTCTTTTTTGAGACAGAGTCTCACTGTTGCCCAGGCTGGAGTGCAGTGGCGTGATTTTGGCTCACTGCAACCTCCGTCTCCCAAGTTCCAGCGATCCTCCCACCTAAGCCTCCTGAGTAGCTGGGATTACAGGCGCACGCCACCACGACAGGCTAATTTTTGTATTTTTAGTAGAGATGGGGTTTCACCATGTTGGTCAGGCTGGTCTCGAACTCCTGACCTCAAGTGACCCGCCCACCTCGGCCTCTGAAAGTGCTGGGATTACAGACGTGAGCCACCGTGCCCACCAAGAACATACTCTTTTTTTGTACTTTGTCATTGAAAATTGAGGAATCCTTTTTAACTGTTTTAGGTGTGTGTCCACAGAGTCAGCAAAGACTATGTTTCTGGATTGTCAAAGAGGATACTTAATCTTAAAAATAAAATTTAAAATCATCTTATAATTAGAACAGAGTTGCTGCTATTTATTCTGTCACCAAGGCAACTAATCACATTTTTAAACTGTTCGGCATATAACATATTATTAAGAGGAAAAAGGTCACAGAATAGCATCTCTTCTTTTTACCTGGGCTAGTGACTGAGCTTAGGTTTGAAGGCCCATATTTTGTTTTAACCAGATAGTTTCATGCACTTCCATTCAGGACATTTTGTATAAAAATTGAAGTTAATTTAAAGAATAAGTTGAAGATAAGAAATGAAAATTAAAATGATTTGTTCTACAATTTTAAAAATGCAGTAATTAAGCTTTTAAATGTGAATGATTTAATCTTTCTTTCATCTCTGGGAAACTGTACCAGACAAATCTCGTTTTCACACAGCAATCACTCATGTGCTGCAATCACTCATGTGCTGACACTTGAGAGATGAAGGCTTGGGGAAGTTACTCAGGCAGCTGAAGCCACATCCTGGGACCAGGAGCTCTCAGTGAGAACCTGGCAAGAGAGCCCGCCACGCGCTTCTCTACTAGGGAGCCCGCAGGTAAGTGGGATGGAGGCTGAATGAGGAGTAAGAAGCAACGTGTTCCAGACAGCACGAGAAGCAGCTGTGCCTGTGCGCACCGCGGTGGATGTGGGTGTGCACAATGGGATGTGGATGCGCAGATGTGATGTGGGTGTGTAGATGGGACACAGTGCATACGCGGGGACACGCGTGTGTAAATGGGATGTAGGTGTGTATGATGGGATGAGGGTAAGTAGATGGGACGTTGGTGTGTAGATGGGACATGAGGATGAGGGGACGCAGGTAAGTGGATGGGGTGTGTGGACTAGACGGGGGAGTGTGAATGGGACAGGGGTGAGTAGATGGGACGGGGGTGCATGGATGGGATGGGGGTATGAGGATGGGATGGGGATGCGAGGATGGGACGGGAGTGTGAGGACGGGATGGGGATGCGAGGATGGGACGCGGGTGTGTAGATGGGACAGGGGTGTGTATGATGGGACATGCGTGTGTAAATGGGATGTAGGTGTCTATGATGGGACAAGAGTAAGTAGATGGGACGCGGGTGTGTAGATGGGACATGGGAGTGATGGGATGCAGGTGATAGGATACAGGTGAGTGGATGGGGTGCATGGACGGGACGTGGGTGCGTAGATGGGACATGTGTGTGTATGATGGGATGGGGGTGCAAGGATGGAACAGGGGTGTGTAGATGGTGGGGGGGGGATACTGTGGGGTGAGGATCCCTGTTTGACAGAGGAAGAAACCTGGGCTGAAGGAAATTGGACTCCTTTCCTCACATCACAACATAAGAGGCAGAGCCAGGAGTTAAGCTGTGAGCCTAGGAAAACGCATTAATCTGAACTACAGACAAGCATTGAAAATACATCTCCCTATTACGATGCCCAGAATCCACAGTGAGCTTGCACTTAGCTCGTCGCTGCAGGCCCTGCCCCTATAAATCCTACTGGCTCACCCGGCGCCATCTCCCACCGGCGCACCCAGACCCAGTCTTCCATGGGCCCACCGGACCCTGTCTCCCACTGGCCCGCCAGACGCTGTCTCCTACTGGCTCACTAACACCATCTCCCACCATCCCACCTGGTGCCATCTCCTACCGGCTCACCCGGCCCCATCTCCCACCGGCTCACCAGGACTCTGTCTCCTACTGGTTCACACTAACAATGTCTCCCACCACCCCACCCTACCCTGTTTCCCACCAAAAACAAGTGAAGGAAGGGTCTCAGGAAGGCAGGAGGGCAGGAGGGCAGTGTGGCCTGAAACCATGCATTTTCTACCCCGTCTTGGATCCTGGCAGCTCCTGCTCCAAACCTTGACCCCTCCCTGGGAGAAAAACATGTGGTCTCAGCTATGCACTCTGAAGTCTGCACTGTAAACAGAGTGTAACCAGTGTGCCCCGTGCAGTGATCAGAAAACCAAGGATCCAATCAGCTTCAACACTAAAGCCGGAGGAAATCAGCGTGCACAATTCTCCCTATGGAAGGGAAGGAAAATGGAGACTCACCCGTCGTGAACTGGCCTTTCAGCTTCTGAAAGACAGGGTCTTGTGCAGTGGCCTGCGCCCGCCGGGCCAGAGACTCAGAGGCTGCGCTGGAGAACATGGTCGAGACGTTGGACACATTCTCCAGGCCCACCCCAAACGTGCTCACCAACTTCTTCACAAAATTGAGAGTGTGGGGGGTGATTTTAGCATCGGACACCGCTCCACTTTTCTCAAACGCCACGGAGTAACATTTCGCCAGGCCCTGTTGGAGCTGCCTGAGAACCTGGTAGAAAAGAGCCAGAGACAACTGACAAACACAGCCCTCCACTCCAGAACCAGCAGCCAAAAGCGCCTATTGAGTGCGGCCCTCCCAGCCCAGGGTCATCTCTGCACTCCCCGGCAGGACCCACACACAGCAGGCATGAAATCGGCGTGTGCAAGAAACGGGACGCCTGTGCATGCCACATGGGAGCAGGCGCTTTTGACCTTGGGGAGTAAGGGACCTGAACATTCAAAAAGCGAAAACAGAAAAGCCCCACTTTTTTGGATCATACACCCGTCTGCGATTAGCCACAAAACCCCTGCATTTTCAGGCAGCTGTACTGTTCCCACCGCGTGTCTGCGTGCACTGTGCACACACGAGACTTCACAGCAGTAAGGAGCTGGCCCCGGGGCTCAACCAGGTAAGCATCTGGGCAGTGAGGCGTGGACTATTCTGTCATCAGCTTAAGCCAACGTTATTAAGGAAGTGGTCTGACTGCTGAAAAGACCCCACATCCCTACAATTTCCCATCTATGGAAATTATAACCCTGTTACTCATGCCACTGCTCCTGCTCACACCTGGTTAACAGTGGCACTCAGGTCACTGAGCTCAGGGACATGAGCACGGCCAGCATTTTAACAGCAAGAAGTGGCTTCCTCAATTCCACCCTCTTTCATGTCTTGTACTTTGAATCTTTAAGGCTGTACTAGTGTGCAGAGATAGCTATTTGCCTGGTCCATGGTTAAGTTCAACAACAAATATATAAAAGGACCGGCAACTAAAGCTCAAGGGAAGAGAGCCACAGAAGCATACAGAACACCACGTCCCCTCTACAAGGAGCCACCATGTGCAAGATCAGAGCCAAATACCTCTTCATGCCAATTTTCTCTGAACCAGACCATCTGATCGACGATGCCTTCCAGGGAAGACAGAAGGGTGGGGTGGAGCTCTCGCTGCATGTGCATGATTCGGCTGCAGCGCCACATGGGTGCTGTTGCTCTTATGGGCCCTGGATCTGATGCAGAATGGGACTGGTTACCCACTGAACTTGGCTGCTGCTGTCCAGAATCTGAGAGCAACACACACAACGCCAGTGTCAGCGCAAAACCGACAGACGCCAGGGCTCGGAGCGCTGCAGGACCCATGGGCCAAAGGAGCGCTGGTTCCTGCCGGCGTGTGAATCCCTACAAGACCGCTTCCCCAAGGACTGCGTGGGAGAAGGCCCTGGTTCTAGGCGCAGGTGCGCTGAGGGACGCGGGGAGGGACAGCGCAGTTGTCTACAATGCGGCTTCAATCCATTCCATTAAATAAACCCGTGTATGTGTTTTAGGAGGATGCAGATGTGACAACACGCCGCCTGGTGAGTCCAGGTGAGGGCGCACAAGAGTTCCCTGAGAACTCCTTTTAACGTTTCTGTTACGTCTGATCATCCTAAACATAAATGTTTGGAAAAATATCTCACAATCTGTTACACGTTCCTTGCTACTATAAACTCAGAGAATCTAAAAGCAGTTAATAGGAAACTGGTTTGGAAAGCCAAGCCAATTGCAAAATACTGCTTTTGAAAAATACGGTCATTTTTCCCTGTGAGATACATTGCAGAGCCTTTAATGACCATTTTTTTCTGAATTTACCTCTCTACACTTAGTCTTAAAACTAAAAAACCTTAATTTTCAAATGACCAAGACATGAAGCCACCTAGGCAGACTGACTCCCCAGAGGTTAGAGCTGAAATGTGCCATGCAGCCCTCATCCACCGCCTCTCACCAACCACACACGGCCCACGGCCCTTAGGAGACTCAGCATTGAAAACAAGGGGCAGTAAACGGTCGTCTCATTATTTAAAGCACCCTGCCTAGTGGGTAACTGAAGCCATCAAATCAGTTGTTGCTTTGCATACAAGGGCTATTCAATATAGATTAAAAGTCTTACACTGTGAGTGAAATTTCACCAACATCTGGTAAGACTGACTTCAATGCTGATTCTTCTCACAGCTGAAGATACTCCTCATAACTTAAACACACACACACACACACACACACACACGGCAGCTGGCATCTGCTGTGTATTGGGATGCACTTACTACTAAGGAGAAAGGTAAACTTTACAGTTTTCTGAAGCTGAAAATTTCACATATTTTCTCTACCTATAGATCAAATCACTCGGATAAATGAACGCTTATTACATCCTGGCAAAAGAGAGACTGTACTCAGATCAGACTTTGCTTCCTGCCCTACGGTGCTGCCCACTGAGGAGAGATTGGCCACGGCTATGAGTGAGCTGCAGGGCAGGGGTGGCTGCGGTGGTCTGTCTGGATGTGGGGCACCCCCTGGAATGAGCCCTTCCCGGCCTGGCCTACCGGCCCCACCCGAGACGTACCGCTCTTGTAGCGTTCCCGCTGTTCTATTTTCAGGGTCAGGTACAGGGTCCGGATGGGAAAGTAGACCGCTTGGGGATACACGCGTCCAACCTGCTCAGAGACAAGATGTTATAAACAGTGCTGCTCTCTGCTGAGCTCTGGATAAAGATAATTTGTACTGAAAATAACCAATGTCAAGTCAGAAACAGGTGTCTGATCTGCCTTTGGACCAAGGAAGCAAATACTGCAGCACTGATCTGACGCACAAGGCCAGGTTCAACAGCAGGCAAAATATTTAATTCACTTTAAAAGAGCCAAGACACATCAACACATGCATTTCATCAACTCCACCCAGGAACTGTGAGTGACAGGGAAACCACGCTTTCCTTCCAGGCAGTAAATCTGAGGAAGGCAAAATACATGTGTCCCCAGATCTCACTGAAGCAAATAAAAAAACAAACAAATACCAGCTAATCTGTCAGGCACAATTCACTGTGGATTGTGAACTAATTCCATTATCAAATAACTTTATTCTGCCTAACTGCAGCTGGGAGGAGATGGAGGGATGTCCGTTTCAGTTAAGAAACTCCCATTTGATTGAACTGGAGTTCTGTGGCTGACAGGACAGTACCATGTCACTTGAATCTTTCAGAATGTGCCCATGAAAGGAAGAAAGGAATAACATCTAAGCCGTCACAGGCAGAGGCGGCTGCTCTTGAACCTGAGATGCTCCAGAAGTGATGAGACCAAGTAGGTCGGACCTGCATCCTGAGGATAAGTGCTACACAGAATGCTGGGACTCAAAAACACAGCTGCCTCCTCAAGGAAAACCAGGGCATCGCTCAGGGCCCACATAGCACAGGTGCTGCGTGCAGGAAGGAGCCAGAGGAATGGGTGGGCAGAACGCGCGGGCCCAGCTCCTTCCTGAACACCTTCACGGACTCCTGCGGTGCTTCGTGATTTTACAAAAGCAACCACAAAGGCGCTGTGTCCCAAACCTCACTGTAGCCACGCTTCCGCCGTTTCTGGTCCTTCCTCTATGCCTGGGTCTTTTCACGGGAGAGGGACATCCTGGAATCATTCTCAAGAGATGGTTATGAGAGCCTTTCCATAGGGCCCTGGGCTGTCCGCTTCCCCGGCCTGGCCCCACTGCCCTTGAGAACCATGGGTTCCTTATGATGCAGCTCAACTGTCGAAAGGGCGACAGCCACAATTGGGCATGTTTTAGTTTAAGGGCAGCTCCGAAGAGCTCCCAGCATATGACAAAAAATCAGAGGAAAACTACCAATCAGATTCAGGGCTCACTGTCATTCTCAGGGTACCCACTGGCAATTGTATGTTTTACTACAAGTTTATTTTACTTACATTATATATGGGAAAATGTTTAAGAAATTAGAATTTTAACACTGAACTGCTTTATTAGCTATTTCATTTCAACTCTGATATATTCTTTAATAACTTTTAATTATGCTTTATATTAAATAATATCTACATGATTATATCTTCCCATCTCTTTAACTTGTTTTTAATACTTTGAACACTCAAATTTACTTTCTGGGAGAAAAAAGAACGCAAAATGAAGACACAATGTTTTGTGCACGTGAACAAGGCCACCCTGCTCTTCCCACCTGGCTAATGAGGTTCAAGAGCAGCTTTCCCTCCGAGCCAACCAGGCAGGTGAGCAGCTGTGGGATCCAGGCCAGCCACTGGATGGGTGGCACACCAATGCAGTACTTGTCGACGGCATCTGCCAAAGTGTTTTTGTCATCATCAAAACTCAAAAGCCACAGCACCTGAGACAGAAGGAGAAATTCTAGAGTAGAATGACAATTCTGAAGCCCTCAAGCAAGAGACTTTTTCCCCAACATTACAACACTGTATAGAGCGGCTTTACTGGCCATGTAAAAAAAGTATCTATAAGCAGGCCAACATTATTGCTAAACTTAATGTAAATCTTACAGTATATAAAACCTAAAATTTAAAAATAGATTTTCTCTTTAGTTTTTTTGTGTTTTGTTTTTGAGACAGTCTTGCTTTGTCACCCAGGACTGGAGTGCCGTGGTGCGATCTTGGCTCACTGCAACCTCCACCTCCCGGGTTCAAGCAATTCTCCTGCCTCAGCCTCCCCAGTAGCTGGGACTACAGGCACACACCACCACGCCTGGCTAATTTTTGTATTTTTAGTAGAGATGGGGTTTTGCCATGTCGGCCAGGCTGGTCTTGAACTCCTGACATCAAGTGATCCACCCACCTTGGCCTCCCAAAGTGCTGGGTTTACAAGCGTGAGCCACCACTCCCGGCCTTTTGATTTAGTTTTAATGACAATTACTCGCTGATCTAATCCACTGACTAGCACTGACCAGTGACCGACTGCAAGACAGCAACAGGAAGATGCCTGGGGCCTGCCCACCCGTTAACCTACACTCATGATCTCATCCAAACAAAATGAACTTTTGCTAAAACTCTCAGATGCTCATCACCCCGGCAACAGGTAGGCCACAGGCTGGCAGCCAGGTGTCCATGGACGACTGAAACAATTACATCTGGGTGTAAGCAACCCGGAGCCAGGCACTGAAGCAGTGCGTGTAGCTGTCTCTGTAGTCGGCTTTAACTGCCATGTGCTGGTGTACATTCCAAATTTTTATGTTAAATCAAGGAATTCTAAAAAATCCAAACCTTTAATGGACAAAATAGGAAAGGGAACAATTTATTCTTGGGTTTCCTGCTGGAATTAATTCTGGGTTTTATTTGTCTGCTTCTTGGGGGAAGACAGGAAGCCACATGAAGGGGGAACCTGAGTGTCAAGTGCACATCCTTCAGTGAGCACGTGGGTGACACCCACCCTGAGCTCAGGGCTGCTGGGGGGCACGGTGCAGAGAGAAACCCACAACCACCCCAGCACGCCAGCTCTGTGGCTGTGCTGACAACAGCCCTGCAGGGGAGGGATGACAACCTAACGGGCGTCTAGGAG
This sequence comes from Homo sapiens, assembly GCF_000001405.40. NCBI lineage: Eukaryota > Metazoa > Chordata > Mammalia > Primates > Hominidae > Homo > Homo sapiens. The sequence continues at coordinate 98,989,276 of NC_000007.14, read as the reverse complement.
GGAAGTTCTAGCTCCACATCCCCTCCTCAGCCCTCTGTTTCGTGTGAGCTCCCACAGGCAGTGCTAGACTTGGGCTCTACGTGAGGCTTTGCCACTTGGAAGTTCTGGGGCCCTAAGAGTGTCCAGGCCTCAGTTTTCTCAGCTTTGAAATGGAACTGTGAAAGATACTTCGAACAGTGATGAGGATTAAGAGTTAAGGCATGAAATCATGCCTCACACCCGGCACGGATGAGTAAACTATAGCTAAATTTCTGTCCAAATCTGAAGGTGACAGATGGCCTCTGGTCAAAGCTCGTTTTTTCGGTCTCACCTTGGCTAAGTATTTCCTCGATTTGCTCTCGTTCTGATGCCGGCAGGCGTGCAGGTAGCAGGTGATGGCAGACACGCCCAGGTGCAGCTGCCGCTCCTTCACAAAGATGTTCTCCAGGTAGTCGCCCCACATGGCCCAGGCTTTCACCAGCACATCGTGCATCTGCACAGCTGCAGAGAAGGCTTTGTTTGCCTCCTCGGACCTGTGAGGAGACAGAAAACCAAAACGTGTATGGTTTTCAATTGAAGCGAGCTTCACGTAATCTGAAATTAACCATTATAAAATGAACACTGCGGGGCATTTGGTCCATTCACAATGTTGTGCAACCGCCCCATAAGCAGTCGCTCTGAACCCCTCCCACCTCCAGCCCCTGGGAACCTGCAGTCTGCCTTCTGTCTCTGTGGATTGACCGGTTCTGTACATTTCATATAAATTGAATCATACACCATGTGATCTTTTGAATCTGGCTTCTTTCACCTAGCACAGTGTTTTCGAGGTTTATCCATGTTGAAGCCTGTGTCAGTGCTTCATTCTCTTTAACAAGTGAATAACATTCCATTGCACACATAGAACATAAACATTTTGTTTATCTGTTCATTTGTGTTGTTTCCACATCTTGATTATTGCAAATAGTCCTGCTACAAACATTCCCGAACAGGTATCTGTTTGTTTCAACACTTCTGGGTGTATACCAGGGAGTGGAAATGCTGGTCACGTGGGAACTCTATGCTTACTTTTTGTGGAACCGTCAAACTGTTTCCACAGCAGTTATACCGCTTCACTATTACACCAGCAATGTACCAGACATAGCAAGGGAACTTCAGACCCAGGTGCTTTATGATACAGACGCAAACATCCTCGACAAAAATGAGCAACCCAACTCCAGCAGCGGATTAAAAGGATTATCCATCATGACCAAGTGGGATTTATCCCAGCAATAAGGGTGGTTCAACACAGAAAACAAAAAAGTCAATATAAATAAAACCAATCAATGTGATATACCACATTAAAACAATGAAGGAAAAAAAACACAATCATCTCAGAGGACACAGAAAAAGCCATTTGAAAAAAGTCCAACAACATCTCATGATAAAAATACCCAGCAAATTTAGAACAGAAGGGAAGTTCCTCAAGCTTATAAAAGGCATCTACAGAACACCCACAGCTAACATCATACTCAAGGCTGAAAGACTGAATGGCTTTCCCCAAGATCAAGAAAAAGACAAGGATCTCATCTCTTTAATTCAGCACTGTACTTGAGGTTCTAGTCAGGGCAATTGGGAAGAAAAAGAAATAAAAGGCATCCTTATTGGAAGAGAAGATGTCAGTCCATCTCTACCTGCAGTTGACACGATCTTATACACAGAAAAGAAGAATCCCCAAAAAGCTATTAGAGCAAATACACTCAGCAAGGTTGAGAAATCTAAGATCAATATACAAAACCCTGGTATTTCCAAATGTTAGCAATGAGCAATGTGAAAATGAAGAAAATGGCTCCATTCACGTGACAATATTGAGGAATAAATTTAACATAAGTGCAAGACTTGTACACTAAAAACTAAAAAACATTGTTGAATTAAACTAAAGAAGACCTAAACTAGTGGAAAGACATCTCGTGTTCACAAACTGGAAAACTTGCTTCAGATGGCAAAATGCTCACAAACTGATCTACAGATTCAATGCAATCTCTGTCGTAATTCCAACTGTTTTGGCAGAAATACATGAAAATAACCTAAAATTCATATGGAAATATGAGACTCTACATAGCAGATCAATGGAATAGAAGTGAGAGTCCAGAAATAAGCCCACAAAAAATGGTCAACGGATTTTTGTTTTTTGGGTTTTGGAAATGGGGGTCTCCACTATATTGTCCAGGTTGGTCTCAAACTCCTGGGCTCAAGTGATCCTCCCACCTCAGCCTCCCAAAGTGCTAGGATTACAGGTGTGAGCCACTGGGCCTGGCCTCAACTGATTTTTGATGAGGGTGTCAAGACCATTCAATGGAGAAAGACTAGACTTTTCAGCAAATGGTGCTGGGACAACCGTATATCCACATGCAGCATAATAAATATAGACCCCTACCTCACACCACATAAAAAATTATTCAAAATGGATCAGAGACCCAAATGTAAGAGCTAAATCTATGAAATGCTTAGAAGAAAACATAAGAATAAATGCTTCTGATCCTGGATTAGGGTATGGTTTCTTAGAAGACGTGAAAAGTATGAGCAACAAAAGAAAAAAATACATGAATTGGACTTCATCAAAATTAAAAACTTGTACATTAAAGGACACTATCAAAAAAGTGAAAAGACAGCCCACAGAACGTGACAAAATACTTGGAAATCATATATCTGCAAGAGACTTTTATCCAGACCTATAAAGAATTACAAACTAACAATCAAAACCAAGAAAAGAAGCTCAGCATCAACAGTCATTAGGAAAATGCAATTCAAAACCACAATGAAATATATTTTATACTCATTAGGATGGCTATAATCAGATAAATAATAAGAAAATAACAAGTGCTGGTGAGGATATGGAGAAATTAAAACCTTAAACATTGCTGGTGGGAATGTAAAAATGGTACGGCCAACTGTGGAAGATTGACAATGTCTCAAAAAGATAAACAGAGAAGTACAATATGACCCAGATATTCTGTCCCCAGGTATATAACCAAGAGAACTCAAACATGCTCACACAAAGACACATATTCAGTGTTTACACCAGCATTACTCATGTAGCTAAAAAGTAGGAACAACCCACACATCCATCAACTGCTGCATGGATAAACAAAATGTATGGATATCCAATGGAATATTATTCAGCCATGAAAAAGAACAGGTTACTGATACATGACAGCACATGGATGAAGCTTGAAAACATCCTGCTAAGTGAAAGAAGACAGTCACAAAAGGCCACACAGTGTATGCTTCTATTTATATGAATGTTCAGAATAAGCAAATCCATAGAGGCAGAAAGTACATTAGTAGTTGTCAAGAGAAAGGGGGAGGGGAGAAAGGAGAGTGACTACTAACAGATACAGGGTTTACTTGGGGGATGATGGAAATATTCTAGAATTAGCTAGTGGTAATGGTTGTGTAACACTGTAAATATACTAAAACCCACTAAATTGTACACTTTGGAATGGTTGTGTCTGTCACATGAATTTAAAACATTACACAAAAAGATAAAACCTTTTTATGTTGACAAAACTGCTTCCTAATTTAAAAATAAGCTAAACATGCAAGCCCCACAGACTGAAGATGTGAAAAGCAGGCACTGGAGCCTACACAAGGCAACAGGCAGCATCTTGTGAGTCTACCTCATTTGCATGATATTTACAAAATCTCCTCTGACGTTTACTTCTCTAAACCAGGGTTTGGCAACCTTTCCTGCGATGGGCTAGACAGCAAATGGTTTAGGCTCTGCAGACCATACGATTCCTATCACAACTCCTCAACTCTGCAGTAAAGCGAAAGCAGTCACAGGCAACATCAGTGGGGAGGGATGTGTTCCAATATCACTTCACTGACAAAAACAGGGCAGTGGCTGGATGTGGCTGGCCCCCAGGCCATCCTTTACTGACCCCTGGTCTAAAGCAGGAATCATCTCCACAAAACGAACCAGCTCTGTAAATGGCGGACTGAGGAAATGGGGAAATGAATCCATGTTATCAGCAGTTCTGTGATCCAGTAGCTCATTTGAGAAAAGCTTTTAAAATACTACACATCAAATAGGCTTATCAATTTGTCACAAGTTACTCTTTTTGCAGAGGTGCAGTACCTAAAAAATCCTACCTAATGACTGTCACCAAATCATACCCATTTCTAGCTTGAGCTTCACATTGGCTTCAGGTTATAAATAACTTTAAATAATCTGATGCATTTTTTCTCTTATCCTTTCAATATAACATACATACTTGTTGATCTGAGCCAAGAACATTCCCTTCAGTGCATAAAATTCGGCTGTCATCTCTTTTGTGAAGTATTTTAAATTTGTAGATTCAATAACTTCAAGGCCCTGTTCAAAAAAAATGAGCAGAAAAAAAGTTCTTGAAATTTCTAAACAATATGAAAACCTCATAAAATACTAATCTAGGCAGTAAGTCCTATGAGTCATTGACCAATGTACTTTAAATTGACAAAAGATTTGCCTACCATGAATATTTATTGATTGACGTTCAGAATTTAAACTGAATTACTAAAGCTAACTTTAAGTATTTAATCCTAAATACTTAGGGGTCTTATTTTCTCCAAAGCTTTATAGGTCTGGTCGGTTTTATTGTTCTTATCAAGATTCCTCTGAAAATAGTCAAAATCTATCTTAGATCCTCATAATTCTGTAGTGTGTAATTTTTTTCTTTCCTTAAACACATTAACTAAGTATATAGTAGGACAGAGACCACAAGAGACTGTAATTCACAGTCAAGTAGCTTCCTTTCCCTTTTGTGTTTTGGAAGGACTGTTTCCCCCTTACTGAGGCTGTATTTGTGGAAAGTTCGAGTCCACCTTCCTTATATTCTGAACCAGGAGACCCCACATTGCCTCATTCTCCACCTGGCCTCAATCTCCACCTGGCCTCATTCTTCAAGTGTCCTGTCCGCACCTGCATGCACTCGTTTTTGCCCATGACGCCTGCCAGCTGGAGGTAGCATTTAACTTGCTGTCGAATCTTCTGGAAGCAATCCACGATAGGAACAGTTGGAATAGTATGAATCCGACTTAATATATCCAGAGCTACATTGACCAGTCCTTGTTTCCGGGCGATTTTTCCATACTGGATGATCGCTGAAGCTGATGCATGAACCCCAAGCATAGCGTTATTTGAACTGGGATCATGCTGAGAGCTATTCTCATAGGCAGTTACAATCGCTAGAGGGCAAAGAAAGGAATCATTAGCCCACACCGATCCTCTTTCAAAGCACTTCACAACAAGGCTTAAATAAAAAATGAAACACACACACACATGGCTTATGAAAATGGGCAGCTCTGTGATAAACCCTCGTTACTTTGTATTTTATGCCATAAGCAACTTTTAAAAGGTGCTAATTCTTGAGTGGAGTGTTACCATCTTGGCTAACCAAATCATAAAATGACAAAGGCTGCTCTAAACACGTGGATGCCTGACAGGTTTAGGGGATAAGAGGGGGACCAGGAAAACCAGAAAAGGCCACGCAGAGCCACCTGAGCACAACTCGTCCTGGGATGGGACCTTCAACGCAGAGTGCCATGGCTCAGAGCATTGATCCCCCCGGCCTGTACGATTCTGCCCCAACTAGAAAAATGTAACAGGTACAGAAACAAAAAACAAAACTTTACTTCTTCTACCACCTTCATCTTTCCCTGTACCATTACCACCCCGACCTGTCATTCCCTACCCCAAAATAGAAAACCTGGGGGAAAAAAAAACCAAACCAAACCAAACCAAAACACAGAGACGAAACCAGAACCGTGGGGCGTCTGGAAAATTACATGATGAATGCATGCCGGACCAGGTCGGTTTACCCTGGTAATGATGCTGCCTCCACATGAAGATGCTGCTCCAGTGGGACAAGTCGTCAGACACGATGGGCAGTCGGTTCCTCCAGGTCTTCACCACCGTCTTCATGTCGTGCAGGCTGTTGTTCCTTCCCAGGTTGGTTGGCTGTAAGCCTGCGTTGATTTGTGCAGCTTCCTGGAGTTCGATGATTTGCTGGGCTGCCTGATGGGACCAGCATAAGAGACTCTGCGGTAAATGTCAGTAAAGATCAAACGGGAAAAACACACCAGAGTCCATTGGGGACATGATTATCGCAAAGATCTTATGATGCAATTACCAAAGGAAGCACTCTCATTTACACCACAGACACCTGAGATCCCACATTTCATTTACTGTTCACCCCAAACACTACTTTCCTTATGGTGTCTCCAATTTTAAAACCTCAGCTTGTGGCTCCTGAGAGACAGGAGACTGGGAGAACGATGGTACAGACACCAAACCTAGCTAATGGGCAGTCCTCAAAACTCCTCCTCCTGCTGTCCATGCCCTTTGCCACCCTCCCTGCCCGGCTCTTTGTCCAGCAATGCCTAAGGTCGGGACAGCCTGGCATCCCTGCTGCAGGCGTGCCTTTTCCCAACGTGCCTGCTAAACCCCACAGCCACACTAAGCACCTGCAAACGTGGTTCTCATGACCTCTTTGGACCCATAAAATGTAAACACATTTTTGAGTCACCGTCCTATGAGCCTGGGAGGTAGACTACCCTTAAATTCCAGATGCGCTGTTGGCACCAAACTTCTGATACCACCTTCTCACCTGGAAGGCCCTGGCCACAATCCTCAGCCTATCCAAATTCTGTCCTTGGCTTCTATGGCGCACACGATATCTTCCTTCCCTCGATCCTCATTATCCTGATTTTCTGTCTGATGAGCATGGCTCTGAATCACAGTCTCCCTCCAAATGTAAATTTGTTTCTATGGCTATGCCCGCTGTCTCAGGTTCAATGCTCCTTTGAGGCAGAATCTATTGTTTTAAAATGTTTTTTAATCTCCTAAACATAACACTTAGTTCAATACTCTGTATCTTGGTTGACAGTAATTTTTGAAATTGCCTAGAACAATCTGTGCTTTCTGTTTATATTTCAAATTTAACTCATTACATTCAGATTTCGGAAAACATTTCCTAACCCTGTCCCTCCAGCTCCCGCCAAAAGCTTGCTGAAAACAGAGCGATGGACTCTGTAACTGAGGGTGGCACAGTGGGCACTGAAAACAATCCCTCAGGCAAAATTCAAAACCAGAATCACTGTGAGGATGTCTTCAATCCCGCAGAAACACCGACATGTTTTTCTCAACGTTTTAACTGTGGCCTTCCTTTCCTGAGGACGCGTATAAGTGGGAGAGGACAAGACAAGCAGAAGGAGTTTCATCTCTGCTGTCCGGAGCAGTCTGCAGACCTAAGCCTGGACACCGGCGCTTGGCTGCGACAGGCCACAGGCCTGTGCTCGCATGGGGGCACCGCACGCACCTGTAGGAGAGGCGTGTGCACGTGGGACACTACGTGGGGCAGCCGCCGCCACTCGCGGATGGCCAGGCTGCTGGCCATCTCCACCAGGCGCTCGATGAAGCTGAGCTGCTGCTCCTCGGGGTGGCAGATGGCCAGGTATCCGCGGTACATGTTCACCTTCCAGGCCATCTCCTTCGGACAGCTCACTTCCACCTGGCAGTGAAAGAACGTGACACAGGACGTGAGGGGCCTTCTTTCCCTCAGTGTAAAGTGTCAAACAGGAAAAAGATCACTTTTTTTGGTCACTAGGTATGCAAGGCAATACACAGAAATTAGGCTATAGAAATGTATTTTCTTTAGAGAAGTCATGCGTTTACACAGTCTTTTCTGGATACTCTCCTTTTCTAAATTCCAGTGAGCGGCCAATCTCTCTAGCTATGAAAGCATACCACAGGCTTCTGGCTTTAAGGTCATCAGTTGTTCCAAAGAAAAGAAACTGATCAATGCTGTTATGACAGATCAGATGAAAAATCACACAGTCTGCTAACAAGTCAGCCGGCATTATTATTATTATTTTTTTGAGACGGAATCTTGCTCTGTTGCCCAGCCTGCAGAGCAGTGGTGTGATCGTGGCTCACTGCAACCTCTGCCTCCCAGGTTCAAGCTATTCTCCTGCCTCAGCCTCCTGAGCAGCTGGGATTACAGGCGTGTGCCACCATGCCCAGATAATTTCTTGTGTTTTTAGTAGAGATGGGTTTCACCATGTTGGTCAGGCTGGTCTTGAACTCCTGACCTCAGGTGATCTGCCTGCCTCAGCCTCCCAAAGTGCTGGGATTACAGGCATGAGCCACCGTGCCTGGCCAATCAGCACATTTTAAGCTGTTATATATATATTAATCTCCAGTATGATAAACATCAGTGTGATTTTTTTTGAGACAGGGTCCCCCTCTGTCGTTCAAGCTAGACTGCAGGGTCATGCTCATAGCACACTACAGCCCCTCCAGGGCTCAAGTGATCTTCCTGCCTCAGTGTCCCAAGCAGCTGGAACTACAGGCATGTACCCCACACCAGGCTAATTTTTGTTTATTTTTTGTAGAAACGGGGGTCTTGCTGTTACCCAGGCTGGTCTCAAACTCCTGGGCTCAAGTGATCTGCCTGCCTTGGCCTCCCAAAGCGTTGGGATCACAGGCGTGAGCCACCACGCCCGGCCACATGGGTGTAATTTTGAATTGCTTCCAATTCATATTGTTATCCTGGGAAATTAAACCGTTCAGGTGTTAATTCAGGTTTACATGAACATGAGGGAACATGTGCAAATTTTACTGTCATTTTAAAGCCACACTTTCTTGCCTACTATAAAATGTCCCCCAGATTTCCTGCACTCCAGCGTCAGTTCCATGGAGCAGCCGATGAGCCTGGGCCAACCGCTCCTCAGCCAGGTGGAGACCATGTGTTCCTTTCTGCCCTAAAAGGCCTTTTCTTTTTTTTTTGGCTCATTACCTTCTGAAGAAAGCACTGGAACGCCTCACATTTTGTTAATCTCATTTAAAAATATTTAAAAAATTTTTTTCATGAAAGTTTTCAAACATCTCTGTGATTAGAAAGATGGAAGGACATCTCTATGATGGGAAGTTTACAGGAATTGCTGTAGCAAGATCAATAAACATTCCTCTTTGGAAAACAATAAATAACAATAAAAGGGACACACATGAGTGCCATGATGGTATCTGTCCCAAGGACTGCATGCAATAATGGTAATAATGACACCACCCCACAATTATATGACACTGTGGCTTGTTTTTGACATCTTACTCTTCCAAAGCACATTCATGGTACCTCTTAGTTCTCGATAACCCACTGAAGAAGAAATTCAGGAAGGCAAACAAGACTACAGCAGCTTCCAACATTACCCTCCACATTGGCACCAATGTCACAGGGTCTGGACTCGAACATTAGTTGAGATAGATTTTTGCCAATTACAACACCTACCCTCAGTTACACTAAGAAAAACGGCATCTCTTCTATTTTCCCCACTGAAAAAAAGCTAACCCACTTACTAAATGAAACCAAGAAACTACCCTAGGAAGCACAGAAACAGACAGAAGTAATTTGCTGAATCCTTTTCAAGACTATTTGAAATTAATTTAGTGCAGATTACCCAGGATGTTTACTCACATATTTGAGTTTTTTTCTAAGCAGTGAGTAATTTACAAGTTTTATAAAATGATCAAGAATCTATGAAAGAAGAAATGCATCTGTGAGACCTCGGGACCATGTGACGCTGCATATATCCAGCTAAGGGAAACTTTGGGAAGGAGAAAGAAGGGAACGTTAAGGTGAGCTACAAATACTTATTCAATTTTATGTTTTGTCAGAGTAAAGAAGGAATAAGCATCGTAAATGCATTCTGACAGCAAAATATATACAACTGGTCCTCCATATGTGTGGATTTGACCAACTGTGGATGGAAAATATTTGGGGGAAAAAAAACTGCATCTGTACTAAGCATGTACAGAGCTTTTTCTTGTCATTCCCTAAAAACTACAGTGTAACAAAACAACTGTGTAAGTAGCAATTACACTGTATTAGGTACTGTAAGTAACCTAGACAGGATTTAAAGAACCCAGGCGGCTGTGCAGAGATTACATGCAATACTACACCGTTTTATATCAGGGACTTGAGTGTCCGTGGATTTTGGTACCGCTGGGGTGTCCTGGATACTGAGGGAAGAATGTATTTTTACTGATATAAATGACTGGTTATTTCTCTAAGGAACACAAACTCCCTGCATCCAATGAGTCATTTCCCAGGTCCCAAACCAGAAGTCAACACCTGGCCTCGATTCCATCTTCTAGTTCATAGTTTGTGACTATTTCTAATCTTCAATTTCTCATTTTGTAAAAGTGTCATTACTCAAATTCAGGAAAGGTGTTAGACAATCAAAAGGAACCTTTCCTTCCCAAAAGCTGTCTTTCCACTGCCAAAATGCTTGTTCTAAGGGAAATCTCCCAAGAGACACCTGCAGCTTCAGGAAAAGGGACCCAGGCAGCGGCAGGGATGCCCCCGGGGCGTCTCACCTGCACCAGCGCCTCCTTCATGGCAGTCCAGTTGGACACCCGCCAGGCGCACTCCAGGACGAGGTAGGGGTTGATGTGGCCTTTGGACTGACCGTACTCCGTCAGGGCTTCCCACTGGTTCAATTCCTTGGAGCATCTAGAAGACCACAGATCCCAGAGCAAAAGCTCAATCACCAGCACACTCATGAATTCACAAAGGCAGGGACAGGGTTTTAAGGAGCAAATTTCCATTCTACAGAAGAACAACACAGTAAGAGTGGACTTCTGTGGGACATGGAGGTGTGCTCCATTGTGGGGAGAGCCCCCTGCCCACCCTGGACACCACAAACCACCTGCTATTCAGCAGACAGCCCAGAGCACTGGAGCCAGGGGAGATGCAGGGACAGTTTACTGCTTCTCCAGTTGACTTGTTTAATTACTCAAGGCTTTAAATGCTGGTTTTGGGTTTCTATTTGTTCTTTATGTGGCCATAAAGTAGCAAAGCTTTCTTTAAAAAACGCTCATTACAAGAAAAGGTCAGAGATTTTTCCCTGGTTCCCTTAACTGATTCATGCACACGTCAAGCACTGTGTTTGGCTTACCGAATCCAGTGGTCTTCCCAGAGCTGGTATTCAGGGAAAATAGCAGGGGAGGCGTTACTCCTCTCATGTTCTTTTTTGGCTTTATCCATTGCCTTTTCATAGGATTCTTGTGCCTAAAAAAAGTTAATGTTTTTAAATCACTGTTTAACTAGAAACACACCTTTTCTTTCTTTTTAAATTTAAAACTTAGAACTAAGTTTTTTGAGATGAGGTTTTGCTATGTTGCCAAAGCTGGACTCAAACTCTTAATTCCTAGGCTCAAGGGACCCTCCTGCCTCAGACTCCCTGAGTAGCTGGGCTACAGGTGCCTGCCTGCACCTGGCTAAGAAACACAGCCTTTTCACTGCCATGGCCCAGTTGTCTAGAGCAGGCTGAATCACAGACCTGGGAGCACATGGAGCTCTTCTCCAGGAGCACTAAATGCCCGCAGCTCTCTGTTCAGAGACAGAAGACAGTGGGATTCCCTGAACAGAATGGAAGGAGGAGAGGCTGTCCAGACGTGGGATTACTTTCTCCATCCTTTAGTAATCGGAGCAGGAGCCGCAAGGCCACATCTGCTTCTGGAGCTTCCGCGGCACAGCACCCTACACAGTGCTAGGAATTGCACCCTGAAATGGTGGCCTGAGCCACACTGAAGGGCAGACACAGGGAGTAAAACGTAAGCAAAAACAAAACCTATCACTTCCAACAGGACCAACGACGGGAGGGAAAAAGCATCCACGCTGGCATCTAATGCAAAGGACTTATCAGGACTGTGCTTTAGCTCATGTCATATACGTAGGTATCTCTTAAATGCAGACTTCAGTCATAGAGCCTTTACGTGCGGGACTGAAATGCTTTAAAACGTATTTAAATGTGAACTATGGGCCAGGCGCAGTGGCTCATACCTGTAATCCTAGCACTTTGGGAGGCCGAGGTGGGCGGATCTTAGGTCAGGAGTTCGAGACCAGCACGGCCAACATGGCAAAACCCCGTCTCTACTAAAAATACAAAGATTAGCTGGGCATGGTGGTGGGCGCCTGTAATCCCAGCTACTTGGGAGGCTGAGGCAGGAGAATCGCTTGAACCTGGGAGGTGGAGGTTGCAGTGAGCCGAGATTGTGCCACTGCACTCCAGGCTGGGCGACAGAGCAAGACTCCATCTCAAAAAAAGAGAACGTGAACTCCGACTTGAGGACATTTTATTAAAGAACCGTTATAAATGACCTCTCATTACACACCCAAGACCGTCAGTGGTCTGAGGTTTACCTGCTCAAAGAACCCGTGCTGCTCGTAAGCAATCGCAGTCGCTGTCTCCGAGTACTTGCACCGCTTCTGCCACAGACCAGCCCACATATCTTCCTCTTGTAACAGGGAGTAAAGCTCCGCAAGGGAATCCAGTATCTCCTGAAAACACAAAGTAAGGTTCCTGAGTGCTTGAGACAGAGACTTTTTTTCCCCCCTAAAAATAGTTTCACTGTGCTGTCATTTGAAATCATTTGGGAGGAGTATTTATTTAAAGTGTGAAGTCACTGGCAGGGAAGAGGTAATTAACAAACTGAGGCGCACCCTCACCTGCTGCGGCGGGGTGATGCTCTCCTGCTCATAAAACTCCGTTGTTTGCTTCGGCTTAATCTGAAGACTCAGACCCTTTTCAAAAGCCTGGTGCTCCAACATCAGCGTGGACCGGAACCAGAGGTTGTGTGTCTTCCCCAGGTACTTCAGGACGCAGGGTCGGATGGGGATTGGCGGCACGCACTGGGACATGGCTTCCACAAAGCAGTTCAGCGCGCTGGGCTGGCAGTCCCGCTGCACCTGGTGACTGCCGCTGCACAGAAATGGACTTATCTCACCCGCGAGTGCCTGAAACCAAAGCACATGTCATTTAGGCCTTCATTCAAAAATCGGCAAGTCTTGCTGTCTCTCTCGATGCAAGAATACCTTTCCTAATTCGCTCGAGTGACAGCCAGCGGTTCCCTCATTTTCTGAAACTTGTTCGAGACTGTGTTCTTTTATGAATACTTACCAAAAGCTAAAACTACAATTTTCCAAAACAGGATTTTAAAGATACACTCACATGCTGCTGTCTGTCAGAGAGGATCTTCCACAATCTGGGGAAAAGCTGGACCCACGTCTTCTCTGCCAGCGTCGTGGAAATGTGGCACAGCTGAACGAAAGCGCTGAGCAGCGCTCCAGTCTATGAACAGAAAGACAACAGGCTGAGATGGCCACGGGCTGGGGGTGCCTCGCACAACCACGCTCAGAAGACACCCATGATCTGTCTCATACATTACCGATGCTCCTCCACTTTCAAAGTTTCAAAGATCTGAGAAAATGCCATGTTAGAGTAAAAGCCCACAGATCCTGAGTGGTGGGAAGCCATGGTGCACTTAGCAGCCAAGCCCAGGCATCCCGAGAGGCTCAGCAATGGCGCCTGCATTTGTCCTTAGTTTTTAAGGGGGTTTCTTAACACTACTGATCCCACCATATCCAAGAAGGACAAAAACACTGACAAGACTGAAAGAGTAACTTAGAAGGACACAGATGTCACCGAGGCCCAGGCCACTGAAAATAGGAAAGTGAAAACACACGTATATGACATAAACTATTTGCCAACAGGTATTATTCTGAAGAACAAATCAAGAACTGAAAGTTCAGTCTCTGCAATCTGCAGTGGACAAGAGGCAGGAGAAAATGACCGAGACGGACTGAAACAGAACAGAAGAGAATGGAACGGACTGGAACGGAACGCCTGGACAACTAGAGCCCGAAGTCGAAACTGAGGGCCTGGAGGGCACAGCAAATTCACAGTTGTGTTTATCTCATCCCAGCCCTCTTGTTTTTGAAGATCTGATCTGAATTAGCTGCCAACATTCCTTATTAACAGCCAGGTTTCTAGGTCTGCCTGAGGCTGCTCTAGCCCACAGGAGACACCCTACATGGCATCAGGCAGTGGCGCAACAGGGCTGGGGCACATGCTGACAGCCACACTGTCCCTGCTGCCCTGGCACGGTGGCAGAGTGCCAGGGACATGATTATGCTTTCATTTGTCCTGCAGCAAACCCAAGGGGGAAACCATGGGCACATTCACGTTTCTACTAAAAACAGACACCAAGGATACAAATCTTTCAAGGAAAATGGGTGAAAACATTTAGGTAAAGAACGCTCCTAAGTATCTGTCATCAGGCTGCCCTGTGAGGACTGTGATGAAGTAAGCACAGTTTCCCTCACATGGCCACACACTTCACCCTGACCAGCCCATCAGGGGCTCTCAGCTCCACGTCAGTTTAGCGGAGACCAAGAGCTGGGGAGAATTGAAGAGCCCAGCAAGGTCACTGACCTGCTGATAAAGCTGCTCAACTCCAACCGTGGGGGTTTGGATCAGAATCCCAAAAGACACAATTCTATACACCCTAACCCCAAGTGTCGAAATCCTCAAAGATCAAAATCCCTGAAAAAATCATCATCACAGCACAGCTGCATCAGGTTAGAAACTATTACATGTTACTGTCTGCATGGTTTAAGGAGATGCCTATGGGTGCCATGTTTACAGCATCAACTTGACTGGACTAAGGAATACCTGGAAACCTACCTAGTAAAGTATTATTTGGGGTATCTCTGTGTATGTTTTAAAGAATTTTTAAATTGTTTTTTTCCAGCATTATATTTTCGGGATTTGAGAGGTTAGAAATTTTGATCTTTAGGGATTTCAACATCCGGGATTATGATGTTCAGGGTTTTGTGTCTCAGGATTACAGTCCGCTCCTGCTCCCCAAGTCCATGGCTTGTTCTGATGTACACACTGTCCCAAAGAGGTGCAGGGGTGAGGACCCCGTGGTGGCCCCACAGTGTCAAAAGAGCCCAGCGAGGGGTTGCTGCCTCCACAGAATTCCCACAGGGAACAATGGCCAGACCTGGGAAATGAGGTGAAAGAGAAAGAGCCTGTGTGCCTGGGGTGAGGACCGCCCTCTCCACATTTAGAATCCAAGAGTCTAAGAAGAGCTGGTGGCACCTGACCACTTCACAGGGTAGAGGAGCTCCAGGAAGGAGAACATCAGGGTGGAAACAACAAACACAATGATTTGTAACCCCATCTTGCTCCATGAAAAATCTCAACTCCCATAAATACACAGAAGATGAAATAACACGACACCACCCTCTCCAACCCCACCAGCCCTGGCTGCTTTACCCCGGCACCCATCTCGCCTCCTGAGGGATTAGCACTTCTTTCTGTTCATTATTTCCCCTCACTAGAACATACACCCTACTGAGGACCAGCTACCACTGTGTTTCCAGTGTCCAGAACATCACCTGACACAGAGCAGGCTCTCAGTAAAAAGATGCTGAAATGATGAAATGAGATCAAATGTAAAAGGTGAACGAGGAAAATGGGACACAAAAGAACCCAAGGAGAAGGGAAGAATTAAATCACACCCAAGTACCCTGAGAACCACACCCTGCTAAGAGGCGGGCACAGGTCTGCCAGAGCGGCCCAAGGACATGCAGCAAGTGGGCGGCACACCAGGCTCAGGGGTGATGGTGTGCCCACCTGTGCTGGGCACTGAGTTCGAGGGTCTCCTCTGTGACACGCATCTGGGAACAGTATGGCTGACGTCTGCAGCTCCGGCCTGAGCAATCCTCTTACAAAGGGTGACACAGATGGGCCCTGAGACTCAGGCTATGAAGCCTCAGATCAAGAGAAGACCATGGGGACATCTGTGGGCAAGATTTTCTGTGAGATCTGCCGAGATTTCAGCCACGTCTGGTCTAGCCCAGCCGCCATCCAGAGAGCAGCCATGGCCCCACAGAGGACGTGGAGGTGTACAGCTGTGACCAACTGAGCCAAGACAAAAATATTGTTGAGTAAAACCAAATATCCTGACCCCTCGCACAACATACTGCTAGAACTTCCTCTCCTGATGGCACTCGCACCAGGAGCTGAGGCTAAAACTGAGGCCCAGGCACCTGATGACGTGGTGATGTGTCATGGTGACCATCAGCCAAAGGAGGCCTTGGGCTTCAGGACATGGACTTATAGCCCTTTTTTCTGGTGGTGGCGGCAGTAGGGACATGGGTCTATTAAGATGCCTGTAATCCCAGCACTTTGGGAGGCCGAGGCAGGCAGATCACCTGAGGTCAGGAGTTCAAGATCAGCCTGGCCAACATGGTGAAACCCTGTCTCTACTAAAAATACAAAAATTGGCCAGGTGTGGTGGTGTGTGCCTGTAATCCCAGCTACTCAGGAGGCTGAGGCAGGAGAATCGCTAGAACCTGGGAGATGGAGGTTGCTGTGAGCCGAGATTGCACCACTATACTCCAGCCTGAGCAACAGAGTGAGACCCTGTCTCACACAAACAAACAAACAAACAAAAGAAGTGCCTGGCCCATAACATGAGAGCTATCACTCACATGTATCAGGCTGCTCTGCTTCCCGCTCCATCCCACAGAAAAGCATTTTATCCTTATCCAAGATGACAATGGTGTCACTTGGGTATAAGTTCAAAGACTGATCCAGTGCACAAGTTCAACATAGGTCACCAAAAGATTTTAACGTAAAAATCACTTGCGAAAAGTAGTTTGTGCTTTTTTCCCACCTAGCTCCTGATATGAACAGAATAATCAGAATCATCACCCAGCTCCTGAAAGAACAGAAAAATACCTCCTCATCAAAAGCAACCTGGTACACGGAGCTTCAACCAGTCTTTCAAGGTCAGGACATAAAAACAGACTTATAATTTACCTGAGAGTTTGCAGAAGCCAGAGAGTTTCTACCTGGCTAGATTCAAACACAGATGCACCTGGAGGCCCCCAGTTCCACAAAGTGGGCTTGATTTAGCAAATTAACTCATTTATCATTTTCTCCTCTTTTAGTGCACTTGAAAAATAATCCAACATTATTATGTCTCCTCACACATTTTTTGTACACGGTTTTACCGTTTCTTTCAAGAGATGGTGGTGGAGAAATTAACTTTTTTCCTATTTTCTCCTATAAGACACTGTGACACTCCAAATCTCTGCTTCACGCCTATAATCCCAGCACTTTGGGAGGCCAAGGTGGGTGGATCACTTGAGTCCAGGAATCCAAGACCAGTCTGAGCAACATATCAAGACCCTGTATCTACTAAAAAATTAACAAATTAGCTGGGTGTGGCAGCCTATGTCTGTGGTCCCAGCTACCTGGGAGGCTGAGGTGGGAGGATCGCTTGGCCCAGGAGACTGAGGCCGCAGTGAGGTGCGACTGCGCCACTAGACTGCAGGCTGGGTGACAAAGCAACATCCCATCTCAAAAAGAAAAAGAAAAGAAACAGAAAAAGTTACACTGCTGTGGAATGATCCTGATTTAGGCTTTGAACTGTCCATGGGAGGAAAGCAACGAATCCTTTCCAAGCTGCGTACAGACCTTCACCTCTCGGAGAGTGTCCAGAAACTTGTCGTGCCTGTTGGTTAGCATGTGCAGCTGGTTTCCAATGTCCTTTTCTGAAAGTTCTTTGGTTTTGGGCGTGCTGGTCTGATCCCCAGGAGCTAGTTCGATGTCTATCTCTACATCCTAAGAAACAAAGCAGCAAGCAAAACCAAAAGGTCAAAGGCTTCAAGAAAACCCAACAAACACACCTCCTGTAGGCTTCTTGTTACAATTTTGGTAAAATTCGTGTTCGTTTCCTGGAAGTGTGTAAGTATTTAAATAATCTTCAATCCTAAAATAAACAAAACCTGGATTAACTAGACCAGATCGCTCTCTTTTTAAAAATGACTATAAAGAAGCCACCAGTGTGCTTTCACATTTGGGTTTTTTGTCAAAAGCACAATTTAAAAGAATAAACTTTAAACGTAAAAATAATAAAGATTAATGGAATCATAGTCTATCATTACTCAAAATGCAATACAGTCGCCCAGCTGCCTGGCTTGCTCCGACTGAGAATCCCTTCAGGGCCACGGCGGAGCATGTTGCTGGTGCAATGTTTTATATGACCATTCCCAAAGAGGAATACACCTTATTTCTGTCTGAAGGTTTGGAGAAGTCAGTCAACAATCAAACTACTCCTTGAAGTCAGGTATCGACAATTTGGTGTGTGCCCTTGAAAATGAAGAACTTCAGACTTGGCAATTTATTTCACACAGGAAGATTACAGAAAGAAAAGACCAAATGACCAGGTAATCTAGTGTTTTAGCAACAGTAAAAAAAGGAAAAAAATTTTAATTCGAAATTATTAATGAGTAGACATCCTGCACATGGAAGAGGGGACGCACCACCCCTTTTAGAGCAAAGAAGGTGCCATGCCCGCCTGCAGCACGGGGTGACTGTCTCCTAAGACGCAACGCTCCACACAGGCTGAGCCTCCAAAAACCAACGACCTTAAGGAGATACAGCCTACAAAAATCCCTGCCAGGAACAGCGGCAGCCACTACTTCATGGAGGACAGAAAGCCACCAAGCCTAAGGCATCAACCTTCGTACAGGTTCTCGGAGGAGCAAAGGCTCCCTGCTGCCCGTCCCGGGACTAGGCAGAGACATGGGTTCTGAGCAGGCTGCTGGAGGAACCAACTAGAGCCCCAGCCCCTGTGTGGCAGGCAGCATTCCCCCAGGCAGCGCTTTCTGTAATGAACACGGGCTTTTCTCACCAGGAGAGAAAAATCACGGCACAGGGAAATGTTCTGTTCTCAGCAGTACTAGCTCATGGTAACGTGATTCATCTCAAAACCGAATGGGAGTGCAAGATGCTTCTCAATTCTAACTAAAAAAAAAAAAAATCTAGCTGAACTTAGGTACCACATTCAGAGCTTTCAGGTAGACAGGTTTTTATACCTTGTTCATGCCCAAAACAAATCTAAAGCTGATACAAAAACTTCTTCCGCAGGACCAAGGATTCTGCCCGTGGGGCGCGGGGCCTCACCTCCACTCCTCTGGGATTCTGCCCGTGGGGCGCGGGGCCTCACCTCCTCTCTGGGATTCTGCCCGTGGGGCACGGGGTCTCACCTCCTCTCTGGGATTCTGCCCGTGGGGTGTGGGGCCTCACCTCCTCTCTGGGATTCTGCCTGTGGGGTGCAGGGCCTCACCTCCTCTTTGGACTCGCTGTTCTCCCGCTCCCGGGGCTCCTGCTTGACATGTGTGACCATGGCGAAGGCGGCACGGTCGTGGCTATCGGCCAGGTTGATGACGTTGGTGATGGACGGGAGCATGGCTCCTTGGCAGCTGGTGCCAATGGGGGTGCTCTTCTCACACACGGCCAGAAGCAGCTGCAAGGGGTGCGGAAAGGAGACAGACCCAAGGCATGCGCGTGGCATTCAGGGCATCTGGACTTCTCTCCCAGATGCCCCTCACTCAGGCACCTCTGACTCTGCAGGTCCAAGTATGAGCTCAGCACCCTTTCCCACCTGTCCCCAACCAGACGGGCTTCCTCTCCTCCAACCCCTCCAAGGCATCGTCCACATACAGAAGACCTCTGGTTCACTCATAGCACACACCAGGTCCTGCCACTCTTAACTCCTGAACACCTAGGCGGTTCCTGCTCCCACCTGGGTGGAACCTCCCACCTCACCCCCAGACTCGTCCTCCTGAACCCATCTCTTTCCACACAGTGGCCCTTTACCCCGGCCCACCCACCCATAGCTTCCCGCAGCCTCAGGCGACAGTGTAGGCTTCCCCGTGTGAGTTGCGAGCCCCTCCGTGATGTACTGAAGCCCCTGCCTGCCTCTGCAGTTGGGCCACTCGCCACCACACCGTTCTTCCCCACAGGCCGTGCACAAGCTGCCTGGCCACGACACTCTTGCCATCTTGGGCGAATATTCCCTGAGCACCCACTGGGTGCCATGGGGGCCCTGCAGACTCATCTGTTGACTGCACAGAGATAGTGTCCCCTGCCTCAAGGAGCTGAAGTGTCAGGGGGAAGGACACAGCCAGGCATGTGCTCACTGTGGTAACATGGCCAGGAAACAGGGTGGACTGACAGAATTAAAAGGAGCTGCACATTAGCCTGAGTGGCAAGAGTGAGGCAAGATCAAGAATATGGAAGGCCAGCACACTGGAGACTGATGCTGGAGGGAGAGGGATGAGATGGGGATGCAGAGAGAGGCAGGGGGCCAGTCACCTGGCAGAGAGAGGCTATGGGGACCATAGCCTGGAGGCTGGATTTTATGCCACGCACAATGGAAAGAGTATTGTTATCTGCTTTATTAAGAATAATTTTGTAACGACAGAGAAAACTTATCAGTAGGAGGGGAGGTGGTTGAACACTACGGAAATGGTTCCATCGTCCTAATGAGAGATGGCGGTGGCCAGTGGGCCCTGAACTGTCACCCGCAGTGAGGGAGCAGATACTCAGGGGCAAAGGAAGGAGGGAGTCGAGGACTCTTGGCTTGTGCCCTTCCCCTGACCGATTCACATGGACCTGCCACAGCCAATATGTCGTCTGTCTTTGTCTTTTTAGCACCTGACCCAGTGCCTGGCAACTAACCAGCAGTCGAAAGGTCTCCTGAACGAGTGATGGAAGAGCAGGGAACTCTGCCCAGGTGTGGCCATAGGCAAAATTCCAAACGCACGCTGCACACGCGCCAAGAGAACGCCCATCCGGCACGAACAGGAAACATGCTAGCAGGCTCTCCTGAGACCCAGCACCACAACTCACTCCCTTCTTCTCATCAAAGAGAACTAATCCACCTTCTGTCCCAGCTGTCTCAGGAGACATAGTACGTGGTGACCTGGTTTCATTCACTCCAGGTAAATGGACGAGAACTACCTGCACAGCACTGGTAACCTGCCACAGCAAACTCAAGCTGATGAGTGAGCCACAGGCTGAAACTCTAGCAAGCTAGAAGCTTACCACAATCCTGCTGGAAACTCAAAGAACATCTGACTTGCCTTCCATGAAAAGTCAATTCTACTCTAGGTCTGGACCTCGCTTTCATAACACTGAGCATGTTAAACACGCTTGTGTTGCCAGCACCCGACTCCTCACACTAAGGAACCAAAACCGACAGCGTGGTCAGGCCCTGGCCCGGCTGCTCCATCTTTCTGCTTAAGGAATGATGGGGGCCAGGCATGGTGCCTCATGCCTGTAATCACAGCATTTTGGGAGGCCGAGGAAGTCAGATCACTTGAGCTTGGGAGTTTGTGACCAGCCCGGGCAACATGGTGAAACCCCATCTCTACTAAAAATACAAAAATCAGCCGGGTGTGGTTACATGGGCCTATAATCCCAGCTACCGGGGAGGCTGGGGCACAACAATTGCTTAAACCTGGAAGGCAGAGGTTGCAGTGAGCTGAGATCATACCACTTCACTCCAACCTGGGCAACAGAGCAGGACTCTGTCTCAAAAAAAAAAAAGAACAATGGGAGTTGACAAGTCCACAGTTTTATTTTCTAGGGCACGCAGACAGAATTCAAACTTTTTTATATTTGAAGAAAAAATGAATCTTCACCTACAAAAATATACTATTCAACTTTCTGACACAGGATTTTAAATCAGCCCAAAAACGCTTTAGATGAACGCTTGCCCTGAAGTCTTTATTTTCTTCCTGGAGATCAGAAGCAGGTTTGTGCTGGAGATTTCCAATTCATCTCAGTGTGTGTGAACACCTCCTGGCTTTGGAGCCCCAACTCAGAAAACCCACAGCTGCCCCCGGCCACAGATGTGAGCCGAGTCTTCCTACCTCAATGCACTGCTTGATCCAGAAGTGGTTCCCCATGGCTTCCCAGTTCTGCGAACAGGTCACATAGAGCAAGCGCTCGTAGACACGACGTTTCATGGAGTTGTCAAAAACCTCGAAAAACTTTGCCCTGATGAGTGGCTGGGCACAGCGCAGCCCAGAGAGAAAGGCAGGCTCAAGTTTCGCCGTCAGCTCGCTGCCAGAGAGGGTCTCATCCCTGTAACACCAAGTCAGAGACAGGCAAGACGATGGACTCCCCAAGTCATATGCAAACAAGCAGAAACAGGTGAACGTGGATGTGAACTTGCTGAAATGCCACTATGAAAACCAAGAGTATGTTATAAATCGTGGCAGGCTCATGCAGCATTACAACACAAGGTCCTTTAATGACACCAAAGTAGGTCACACAATTTAGCATTTAAATGAATATTTTAAACTTAGGTATGAGTAAAAGATTAAAATCATGGCTGCATGGCTGGCTGGCCGGGGAGCACATTAAGGACCAATATATGTAGTACTTGATTAATTGCTGTAATTACCTGTAGACATAGTTAACAAGATCTAAAAACTGGGCATTTAATTCAAGGTCTTCCGGAAAGCGTTTTTCTATGTAAGTCATCATCTTCACAAGCAAAATGGACTTCTCCCGGAGTGTAGGTGTCTGTATGAAATTTGAGAAAAGACGCAGTTAAAAGTATTTCAACCATCTGCTCTAGTATTTTTTAAGCTCCTACAATTTTATCAAGCACAATAAGACAAGGTCATTCCTAAACAGTAAGGCAAAGATGGCTTTATCTTTGGATGCTTAAAATCAAGACATGCCAATGTAATTTTCGTAGGGGCTACAACTCATTTTAGAGAGAAAGCAACTGTAAATTATAAAACAAATCAGAAGTTTGCAAGCATCTAAGTGAAATGATAGTCTCTATTATTACTTTTACTTTAAGTATTATTTGTCTTATCTTTATCGCCATAAAAAGGTTAACAAGGTTCATTTAACAACTTTTTTTTTTTTCTAAGACAGTGTCTCGCCGTGATGCCCAGACTGGAGTACAGTGGTGTGATCTTGGCTTACTGCAACCTCTGCCTCCTGGATTCAAGCGATTCTCTGGCCTCAGCATCCTGAGCAGCCGGGATTACAGGCATGCGCCACCATACCTGACTAATTTTTGTATTTTTAGTAGAGACGGGGTTTCACCATGTTGGCCAGGCTGGTCTCAAACTCCTGACCTCAAGTGATCCACCTGCCTCGGTCTCCCAAAGTGCTGGGATGACAGGAGTGAGTCTTCATTTAACATTTTAAGAGGAGCAAAGCCACATTAAGATGAGCAACTCAGTTTCTATTTAACATCTGTTAAGTGCACTGAAAAAAATCCATCTTTCTTTTTTTTTTTCCAAGACAGAGTCTTGCTCTGTCGCCCAGGCTGGAGTGCAATGGCGTGATCTCAGCTCACCGCAAGCTCCACCTCCTGGGTTCACGCCATTCTCCTGCCTCAGCCTCCCGAGTAGCTGGGACTGCAGGCGCCCGCCACCATGCCTGGCTAATTTTTTGTATTTTTAGTAGAGACGGGGTTTCACCGTGTTAGCCAGGACGGTCTCAATCTCCTGACCTTGTGATCTGTCCACCTCAGCCTCCCAAAGTGCTGAGATTACAGACAAAAATCCATCTTAATTAAGAAAAGATGCTGTGAGTGCAATTACAGCAGAAAAAAATGTTTTGCTTCAAGTTTCAGAAAGACCAAGATGTTGAGGCTTGAATTTTCTTTTATTGAAAGGGAGATCACATGGCACAC
This sequence comes from Homo sapiens, assembly GCF_000001405.40. Classification (NCBI taxonomy): domain Eukaryota; kingdom Metazoa; phylum Chordata; class Mammalia; order Primates; family Hominidae; genus Homo; species Homo sapiens. Next base: position 98,965,908 of record NC_000007.14, on the reverse strand, counting down.
CGTCCCAGCTCACCTGATTGGCTGCCATTGGGGAGTTATTCTTGACCCATTCTTCCACGATTTTGACCACAGCCCGGAGGATTTTGGCATCTGGTGATTTTTCGATGAGGGATGTCAGGATGGCCTGGATGAAGTTCTTCCGCATCTCCATGCTCATCACTGCCAGGCGCGTCTTCACCAGCTCCAGACTCAGCATCACCAGCTCGCTTGTACCTGCTCGCCCCAATTAAGAACAAACCCACGGGTCTCTAAACGTTGATTTAAACAGGCAGCCACTAAGCCTTGCCTGGCATGCTGGGTTCTGCCCATTTTCCCCCTCAATGTTTTTTCCTGCAACTAGAGCTCTGGGATTTGAAGCACTCATATGTTCTTACGTGCATCTTGGAAATGTAGCCCTCTCTGCAGGGAGAGGGATGAGGGAGCTGACGGACCAGTGCAGGTGGCTCCGGCCTCTCCACACCCAGCTGTGAAGTCCTAATCATGGCCCCTGTACTCTGAGGTGCACCCAGAAGCCATGCCCACCACAGCCCCTGCCAGGCAGCCCCACACCCCCACACAGCATCCAGATTCCAGGAGCCCACTGCTCAGCTCTGGAGCCTGTGACTTAACTCTTCAGAACCAGCAACTCTGATTAAGCAGTATCTGTTTCACAGTAAGCACTGGTAAGTCTCAGTGGTGAATGCAGCATCTAAAAGTCCAACTATTTTAAAATTTCTGCATTCTTACACTCACAGACTTTAAAAGCAGGTGTGTGTGTGTGTGCACATGCACACGCATGCACACGTGAGAGAGAGTCTCAATCTGTTGCAGACTGAGTGCAGTGGATATTCACAGGCGTGATCACAGCTCACAGCAGCCTCCAACTCTGGGCCTCATGCAATCCTCTTGCCTCAGCCCGCTGAGGAGCTGGGACCACAGGCGTGCCACCGTACCCAGCTTAATAACAGTCCATTTTTAACAATGAGTTGTTTTTTAAACCCCTACATTGAAGAGCAAATGGTAACGATTTACGACCAAACAACAGGACTTGGTGAATGCACATTCCCTTTAGAGTTCAGCCCCAGCCTGCACAACAGAGTCTGTTCTCTGTTCAACAGAGTCTGAGGAAAGGCCCCCGGTGGCCAGCACATCACCTGAGGTGGCTTCGGTGCTTCCTGACGCTGCCTGAGGGTTTAAATGCTCCCGGACCATCTTCTGCAGGGAGCGCATAAAGACGGAGATCAGCCTGTCTATGTAGCTGGGGTTGTTGCTGCAGGCAGACTTGAGGATCATAAGGGTCCCTAAAATGTAGAAATTGCCAAGTGTTTCACAGAAAAGTAACAACCACGAAAAACAGAGTGAAAGCAACACATTATTCAAAACAATGTATTCTGACAAAAGCATAGTTAATCCCAGTGTCAACACTGTGAGCTTTTACATGGCTCACGCTACATTCTGAATGAAACACTGTATTTCCACTCCTAATTCTCAACTAGATCAAATCATCATGAATGAGAACTGATTTTTGTGCTTCAGTAGAAACAACGTTCTTACCTTCAGTTCTGCATTTTATTTTTGGGTGATGGCAAATTACCCTAAGTTTTTACTCCTATAATAGGTTTGGGAAAAATAAGAAAAAGAGGAAGAAAAATCTAGTCTATCTAAAGGACATGCCAAATATCTTTGAATTCAATTTGCACTTCATTCTGAGAAACAGCCTAAGATCAATAAAAATCAGCAAAGCCAATACTAGAACAGAAACACTGAGTAGAATTATCTTTCATATTTGGCATTGTGACAATCACCTTGATTTCAACCTACCCATTAAACTTTTTTTTTTTTTTTTTTTAATGTCGAGTCTTGCTCTATCACCCAGGCTGGAGTGCAGTGGCGTAATCTCGGCTCACTGCAACCTCTGCCTCCAGGATTCAAGCAATTCTCCTGCCTCAGCCTCCCGAGTAGGTGGGATTACAGGCACCTGCCACCACGCCCGGCTAATTTTTGTATTTTTAGTAGAGACGGGGTTTCACCATGTTGGCCAGGCTGGTCTCAAACTCCTGACCTCAAGTAATCCGCCTGCCTCAGCCTCCCAAAGTGCTGGGATTATAGGCGTGAGTTACTGCACCTGGCCCTACTCGTTAAATTTTAAATCTGTATTCACGGATCAACCAAAGAGTGTTTGCCAGTTATGAGGTGATTTCAGGCTAGCTTTGTTAAAAGACCAATTCTTAACAGAGCAGTCAACAAAAGACCAGTCTGGTTGTAACCCAGGCAACCCATGACACTTGATGACAGTGATGGAAATGGGGTGTACTCTGTGGTTCCCGAGTGCTATGCTCTCCTCTATGGAGCAGACGGCTGAGACTACACCCCAGATCCGGCATGGGGACGACGGTGTGGCCAACTTCCTAGGCCCACCTCACCCCGAGGCTGCCCCGGCCTTCGACACCCCACAGAGGAGGGAGGCAGGGCCCATGAGGTCAGCCCTTCTCAACAAGAGTCCTCCAGAGAATGAGCAGCGGGAGGAGATACTTGTGCTGCCCTGTGATGGAAGCTGGCATCTTCTGCAGGGTGACTCCACTTAAAAAAAGACCCAGAAGCACTCCTCACTCTCCGCACCCAGCTGCTGCCTGAAGAGAGACAGCAAGCTAAGAGAGCAAGGGACACCATGTTAACCAAATTCTCCTAGCTCCTGGCAAGTTTGGAGAGCAAGGAACTCATCCAAATATATTCAGTTGGCAAATTCAGAAAAGCGTTTGCCTAACAAGGGCTATCTATATAGGTATTTGTATACGTGTGTATAGAATATGATAATCACTCTAAAATACTGGGACTGATTGCTATTGGGAAGAGAGCCTGACAGGTGACTTCTACTTAGTATTCCTTCATTTGTATTTTCAAAGTTTCACCCAATGAATATGCAATAAAGGAGAAAATAAATTTTGAGGCACTAATCCAAAGTCTAGGATCAAAGACATGTGTCTGCCACAAAACTGAGGGCACATCTATAAATCTGACTCCTGCGTACCTGGGGCCAGAGTGACCCAGCTGCCCTGATCACCTAAGGAGGGAGGCAGTTTCCGTCTCACCTGGGCCAGCCAGAGCCTCAGCAATAAGACGGGACAAGTTCTCATCTTGTGAGTGGCTGACTCACAGGCAGGCTGGTGGTGAAAGGCAGAGTCCACACATTGTCATGTAGCTCTTGCGGTGCCTGTTTAGTGTGACACTGGGGTGGCAGGACACATGCACCCTGGCAACATCCCTCACACCAAAGCCTGTGCTGGAAGCTGAGGAGGGAGCACAGAGCAAGCATCGGCGAAGGGGGATGCAGTCTACAGGAGACGGCGGCCTTGAGGGCCCCAGGCAACAGACACCTGAACAACGCAGCGGCTCAAAGCTCTGCCCAACAACCGGAGCCCTTTCCCAAAGGGAAGCACGTCCAGTGAGCGGGGAAAGAGGCCAAACTGAGCCACCACGAACACCAGGACAGACACACACTCACCGAAGAGCTGGGAGGGATTGGCATTGGTGGCCTTCTCGTAGTTGGTGAGCCCTTCATAGATGACCTTTCCGACGGCTGCGTAGAGGCACTCCAGCTCTTCATATTTGGAGGCCACACTGGAAGTACCTACAACAGGGCAGGGACCCAGGCACTGTGGTTATGGCTCTTGGGCCCACCAGTGCTGATGCCAGGGACTGAGTGCTGGCTGCTTGGGTATCAGGAGGGATTGGCACGGGCACTTCTCTCCCTGCAGGACAGTGTGGGCCTCACCTCTGGGCTGGTTCCCGTTCTACACAGCTATATGCAGAATACTCAAAAAAGCTAACAGAATCTCCTTGAAATATACTTATTTATAACATGCTAAAATTTGATCCTGCCAAATGTTCAACATTTGAATACTTTTAATACTTCTCTTTAGTAGCTTAAAAAAATAATATTCAACTGATGAAGAACTGAATTTCCAAAGCAGACAACATTCAGTGAGAGCTGCCATTCTATGCTTTTTTTGAGATGGAGTTTTGCTCTTGTTGCCCAGGCTGGATTGCAATGGCACGATCTCGGCTCACCGCAACCTCTGGCCTCCTGGGTTCAAGCGATTCTCCTGCCTCAGCCTCCCGAGTAGCTGGGATTACAGGTGCGTGCCACCACACCCAGCTAAATTTGTATTTTTAGTAGAGATGGGGTTTCTCCACGTTGGTCAGGCTGGTCTTGAATTCCTGACCTCAGGTGATCCGCCCGCCTCGGCCTCCCAAAGTGCTGGGATTACAGGCGTGAGCCACCACACCCGGCCCATTCTATGTTTCCATGTCAGTTTTTAAAAGAAAGTTTGCAAGTAGAAAGGAAAGTGATAACAAAGCGCTCGACACAATAACTGGAGGACAAGCGCTCTCATAGCAAGCTCCGCGCCCACCGTCCACTTTGAAAGAAAAGCACCGGTGGGAAAGGTCACATACTCGGCTCTGTTGGGAAAATGCTCATCAGGCGCGAGAGAAGGCTGTGGACGGCTCGCAACACCTTGGTGTTTCCACATGTCATGCAGGCGGCAATTCCACGCTGCAGAGGTTTGAAGCTACTGAGGATGGCTGGGGACTGGAGGACAGTTAGCAGGAAGCTCAGCACTTCTAGGCCCGTGCAGATATTCCCATAGTTCACTTGGTTTGGCTGCTCCTGCAATGGACAACACAGGCCACTCACAGAGGAAACAAACACTCAATGACAACAAATTCTAGAAACAAGAGTCTGGCAAAATCTAGCACTGGATTAATTATTTGGAGACTAAGTAAAAAAAACCACTAGAGAATGACAATCGTATTTCACAAGAATGATTACTTTATAAAATCACTTTAAATAACTACTCAAACTCTTTTTTAAAAATACTTACTAAAATATTAATATTCGATAATAAACAATATTAATATTTTGAAATTGGTAAAATTCTAAAAAAGTTCCTGCAATGAATTTTGCTTTTCTCTTCCCATTTTCTTAAGATACAAAAATACAAATATCCTTCCAGGCCAGGCGCAGTGGTTACGCCTGTAATCCCAGCACTTTGGGAGGCTGAAGTGGATGGATCACTTGAGGCCAGGAATTTGAGGCTGGCCTGGTCAACATGGTGAAACCCCGTCTCTACTAAAAATACACACACACACACACACACACACACACACAAAAAGCCAGGCATGGTGGCATACGCCTGTAGTCTCAGCTACTTGGGAGGTTGAGGCATGAGAATCGCTTGAACCCGGGAGGTGGAGGTTGCAGTGAGCCAAGACTGTGCCACTGCAATCCAGCCTGGGCGACAGAGTGAGACTGTCTCAAAAAAACGAAACAAAAACAAAAAACAAATATCCTTCCAAAGACAAGCATCTTTCAAACTATGTATCATGGAATCAACTAACAGATGATGGAAGCACTAAAAATTAATAAAAACAAACCAAAGAAACAGAATAAAATAGAAGACAGAGTTCGTGGTTCATAGCAGAGGTCAAATAGAAGCAACATGGCCTTTGCAGTCCAGAATAACAAGTGCTTGCAATAGGTTTTATAATCTCAATAGCAAAAGTTTCCAAATCCTGTCAAGAACTAGAAAAACCAAATGTGGATAAGGCAAGAAAATAGCTTTTGCTGCCACCAGAAAAGCACAGGATCATGGTTTTTATAAGCAAAAAAACAGCCACCAAAATAAGATAATTAGCATTTTGGGACTAGCTCCTTGTTACCTAAGTGCTACATGGTACTTGATAACAAATTATAGCTCCATCATTAAATCTGTTTTAAAAATCCAAAGCTCATCTTAAAGGTTGTTGCAACAGTCAATTAAAAATGCTTATCCCAAGCCAACTGGTAGGTAAGTTTTAGAAACGAGTCCACAAAATGCAAGAGAACTGTATTAAGGTTAAACACTCCTACGTGTAGTTGGGGCCAGCATGAAAGCTCAAGTCCCAAAGCCATTCTTTCTTTTCTTTTCTTTTTCTTTTTTTTTTTTTTTTTTAAGAGACCAGGTCTTGCTTGCTCTGTCTCCCAAGCTGTAGTGCAGTGGCACCAATCATAGCTCACTGCAGCCTCAACCTCCCAGGTTCAGCCAACCCTCCTGCTTTAGGCTCTTCTAAGTAGCTGGGACTACAAGCTCACACCATCATGCCCAGCTAATTTTCTGTCTTCTCTTTTGTAGAATTGGGATCTCACTATGCTGCCCAGACTGGTCTCGAACTCCTAAAGCCTCAAGAGCAAAGCCATTATCAATTAGTCAAACTCTCTCCCTGGAGAGAGCAGTGGAGGCCAATGTGGGAGAGGCCATGACTGGCAAAGGGGACAGGAGATTTGGGGTTTAGGCATAAGGGTCAGAGTGATCCACAAATGTCCAGTCCCTGCCCAGGTGACAGTATCTGCTAGTGGCCTCGGTGGCGCTGCCCTGGCCCTTCAGACACTCGCACTCACCACAGTCATCAGCAGCTTGTCGAACCACTGCAGCTTGAGTTCGGACTTGGGCCACATGTCTGGCCGCAACGCAGTCTTCAGAAGGTTCACACACCGGCGAGAGAGCACCTCCCCAGGGGACCCCGCTGTGTTGGTGTTGTCATTAACCTAGGAATTCATCCGAGTTACAGCCGGCATTTCACTGCATCCGAGTTTACAGTCATTCCAGTGACAGCACGTCTCAACTGTGCCCTGGCCCTTACACCTGTCTCAGATCTTCACCTCACAGCCACCTCTCTTCCGCCTGACCTCCACACAGCTGGACACCTTCCCCAACCAGCCTGACTCATGACCCCTCACGGCCCCCTCCTCTGCAGCGCATCCGTGGTGACCTGCAATGGCTTGTGGGCCCTGCTGGCTCCCCACAGGACCTCCCTGCACACTGCAGGGAGGCAAGGAATTATCTACTGGTTAGGTACTTAGCAGATCCTTTTCAGTACTTGGAAATTCCCAACAGAACTGTAAGATATACTATTTTGTTTAACAGGAATAAGAACTTAAAATTTAGGAAAATTTCATTTACAATGGTTCTTTGAAATATAAAGTTTCAGAAATGAATTTCCAAAAATTCTATTAAGATATAGATTGATATGAATGATAAATAAACTCAAGTTATCAAAGCACTAAAACTGCTAAATGTCCCTTCCTTCTGTAGGTTGGATCATCTCACCCTTTACTGAGCTGTGTACCGTTCCCATCTTAAGGATGCAAAAAGAACACCTGGAAGTTAAATGATCAGCCGAGATCATGTCCCACCATAATCCACCAATGTTAACATGCTGTCAACTAGAAGGCACATCATTATTTTATTACCACTGAAAGAGTGAAATGCTTTTTAAAAAAATCCTATCAGGCCAGGCACGGTGGCTCATGCCTGCAATCCCAGCACTTTGGGAGGCCAAGGTGGGTGGATCACTTGAGGTCAGGAGCTCGAGACCAGCCTGGCCAACATGGTGAAACCCCATCTCTACCAAAAATACAAAAACTAGCTGGGTGTGGTGGCACGCGCCTGTAATCCCAGCAACTCAGGAGGCTGAGGGACGAGAATCGCTTGAACCTGAGTTGAAGCTGCAGTGAGCCAAGATCGCACCACTGCACTCCAGCCTGGGCAACAAAGCGAGACTCCATCTCAAAAAAAAAAACCAAAAAAATTAGATCAATTATAAGACACAGGTAGATTTTGGAAATGTTAACCTGCCACAAAATCAAGTGCAGTTGATACGAAAATGACAGAACCAGCTGGCAGACCTTGGTTTGTCTGTATCTTTTTTGATGAAATTGCCACAGATAACCTCCTGGGGTGTTAGTCAGTAGCCTCTGGTCTGCAGAAGCCCTAACGCAGGGCACTTGGATCCCGTACCTGACAGGCCACGCGGATAAGGAAGTTCACCACAGTGTCTGTGTGCTGCTTGTCAATGGGCTTGGCGAGGAGAGAGTCTGCTCCAGGTAGCGACTGGCTCCTCCCAAAGACCTGGAAAAGGACCTCCTTTCAGGCAGGAAGAGAATCGCAACACTAATTTCCAACCCAGGCTTGACTTTTCACCCAGCTAATGGGTATGCGGTACCTCCCGGGGACAGAGGCAGCTCTGGGCGCTGGGGATACCAAAGACAGATGTGGTCTGTGCCCTGGTGAAGTCGACACAGCCAGCAGGAGGGCAGATGGCTAGTCAACAAAATAGTGGCTCATGTGATGGGGAACAAAAGTGCGAGGCCCAAGACGACATCAAGGGAGGTCTTTAGGTTGAGACGAAGCGGGCCATGAGAAAAAAGAAGAGAGACAGCTCCCAGTGGAGGGAAAAGGCCAGGGGACACATCCTGAGTGAGCACAGGGCCAGAACCAGGGGTGCATTGAGAGCAGAGGGATGGCCCGCATGGCTGAGCACTGAGACGGTGCTGGGGGCCAAGAGCCATCAGCAGGGCCTGGTCACCCGGGCCCTGGAGGCCACAGTCAATGCGAGGGCTCAAGCAAGGGGAATGGCAACCTGACTTGATTCAACTTTTTACTTCCAAAGGATTGTAAGATCCACAAGAGATTTCTACAAAAACACTGTAGAGGTCTCACGTACCCTTCACCCAGCTTCCCCTGATTCAAGATGCAAAAGGAAACTTTTGTGGAAGTCTGACTGCTTTGTGAAAAATAAAGAGGGAATAAAAGTGGAGGCGGAGAGAGGAACAGCGAAAGAGAGAACAGGGAGGCAGTTGAGCAGCTCCCATCTGGTTACTTCGAGGGGTGACAGAGACTGGGACCACAGTGTGAAGGCAGGGATGAGTTATTTGCGGCAGAGTGAGACTTGCTCCGGACCAGATGTGTGGAGCGAGGCCAATGGACAAAGTGCAGACAGTGCCAGGTTTCTAATAGAAGCCGAGGGCAGACATGGGTGCCACATAAGATGGGGGATGGTGAGGGTGGGAGAAGAGCTCAGCCTCAGGCCTACGAAGCCAGAAGTAGGGTGGCCAGGCCTGCGTCCACAAGCCAGCAGGTCCATGACACCAGCTGGGGTCAGACTCAGGGCTCCTAGGGCCACCACTCCACAAGGGGCAATACCCAGGACCCTCTTGGTGGCTGCCTCGTGAAACAGAACACATGTCCTTCTCAGAAACTGATCTCAGTATGGGCACATGTTCTTAATCAACTCCTTACTTCAAAGAGTTTCTCTAGATGCCTTTCTGCAAGTAATCAACCATCATCAACAGAACTTTAATGGTATGAACTGAACGCATGAGGCAAGCATGTCTGGTGACCTGGGAACCCCTTGCATGAGTGACATGTCCTGGAGTTTCAATCTGGTGACCGTGGCTGTTCCCAGCTTCCTCTCCTGAATGCAGCTGAGCACCGAGCTCACATTCTAAATATAGGGAATAAACGAACCAACTCCCAGCAGAATGCGCAGCACCCATACAGAGGCACATGATCTTACTGCACTGATGGCTCCGGTGGCCGTCCTAAAGCGTTTCACTTCCTGGGCAGAATCCACGGACAGGCCTCTCTTAATGGAGGATGAGACAGAATTGACTCCTTCTCCACTGGAATTTGGGTCCATATCTGAATCCGGCTTAAAAACACACAGGCGCTTGGTTTTACTGACTGATTTCTAGGGAGAAGTCAAAGGAAGACGATCGGGGCACCCCTGAGGCTGACACCCCTACCTGCTGGTCCTTGATCCTCTGCAGCTCCCACTTGATGACGACTTCAGACAGGTCCACGGCCAGCCGCCTCTGCTCGATGGTGACACTGGGCGTGAAGCCCAGCCTCTGCATGGCGCTCACCATGTGCTGCACCAAGTGGTGCCGTACCGGGTAGTACACCTGCGGACGCAGGGCCAGCATCACGCCGGAACATGGGAGCTTGGTCCCACAGTGCATGCACGTGTGCGCACGTGCACACACACACCCCCGACATGCCTCTCAGCCCCAACATACACACACAGCCCAACTTGATGCTCAAGAATTCTGAATCCTAACCTGAGCGAGGAAATTCTCACTGCCTTATGTATGTGTTTATCACCCTCCCCCACCCCAACTACATCCCATTACATCCCATTACAATAGTATACTTCAGTCTTGAAAAATCAAATTCTCTTCAGACAGGAAGGTGAGTCTAATCACATGTATCAAACTTCAGAACTTGACATTGTAAAAGTTTAAGACATACCCAAAAGCAAAGTTCCTCTAAGAGGTGACTATAAAAGAATTTGCTTTCAACTCAATCCTTTCTCTTCTACCCCAAATCTACAAGAAACATTTACATATAAATAAATCCCACAAAAAGGGTAATTTGGCCAGAGAAGGAGGTGCCAGCAACATGAATAACTTTCCAAGGCAGGTGATGGAAATCTAGAGTCAATGAGGACTATCTCCCACCTTAAGGTGCAAACTTAGCAGCATACAAGGGTTAACTGGGCACAGTACTTACAACAGAAATGTAGCCTCAGACGCAAAGACACACACACCTGTGACATATTCTCTATATTACAGCAATTTCCATGCTGATAAAGCCATACACACATACACAAACTAATCAATGAACCAGAAGTAGCCTTACTAAAAGATGAACGACCACCTGATTATTGCAGAACAAGACAAGGTAAAGGTTCAAAGTGAATGCCTGAAGACGCGCGCCCCGCAGCCCACCGTCCCTCCTACACACCTTGAAGTGTTGCACTATCAGGTGCAGAATGTGGACCAGCTGCGGGACGGTGTGCCCCTCCTCCACAATGATCTTCCGGGTCCAGTGGGTCAGCATCTGGTGCCCGTCCTCCATCCTGGCCGGCACCGCCGGGGTCAGAATGGCCATCGCCTGTCTGACGATCGCTCGAGCTTCCATTGCGTGAGCCTTGAGGAGACTATGAAAAACCTAAAACAGGGAAGAGACGTTTATGGAGGATGAGAAGGAAGGCTTTAAGAAATAAGAAGACAATCCCTTGGTGTCAAGACATGCTACTTTTCCAAAACAATTTTTTAAAAACTTCTTAGGACTTTCTTATTAGGAAACAACTTAGTTGCTTTCTGTTAAGTTTTGACCAATGAATACATTCATTCTAGTATTTATAATGCACCTACTACGTGCCCGTGCTGAACTAGGCCAGGACATGCAGACAGGTAAGACCAAGCTCCCTGCAGGGATCCCATGTCCCGCCTAACCAGCAGCGAGTTAGGGAGGTACATGGCTCATCTCCCTCCGACTGCAGGATGGGAAATAAAGTGAACAGGGCCAACAAGAGAGGCGCTGAGAAGCGGCAGCTGCAGTCACTCAAGTGAGAGGTGAGGCCCCGATGTGAGGTCATGGGAACACAGAGAAGACCAGTTCTGAGGGTAGAGGGGACGGGGTGGGTGTTAGAAGCTGCAGAACCTGCTGGTGCCTGGGCAGTGGGGAGGAGCAGAGAAGGTCACAGAGTTCTCGAGTGTTTGTGTCTGAGACAACTGGGGGAGGGCAGGGCAGCCCCGAGGCTGGAGTTCTAGCTCAACGACCCATGGGAGGGGATGTGAGAGACCTCTGGCTTGATTGGGGTGCAGAGTTCAACACCACAGAGGTTCACAAGAGAAAGATGTCAGGGGAAAGCTGTCAAAGACGGTCTCACAGAAGAACTATCAGTGATTAAATAATGCCGCATGCTCGAGTGGAGTATTACATTTAATTCTCACACGGAGACATTAACTTGCCAAAGGGCATGGACCGTGTGAGCGGAAGAAACAACACTCAAACCCGGGGTGCCCAACCTCAGAGCCCAAACCACTGAGGGACTCCAGGAAGAAGCGCTCAATACCAGCCTCAAACCCGGGGTGCCCAACCTCAGAGCCCAAACCACCGAGGTACTCCAGGAAGAGGCGCTCAATACCAGCTGCACAGCAACAAGCTCATGAGATACGGATCCAAAAGTACCTATTGTCTTTGGCTAAGAGAAGTGGGCTGGGGCCCTTGAATATTATAACATCTGCCATGGAATGTCAGAGTCAGAAGCCAGAATGCAATGGACAGAGAAGCTTGAGATGGAAAAGGGTGACCTTTCCTTTTAAAAGCAAAGCTGTTGAGGAACGAGAGAGCAGAGTGGGAATGGGGGAGGAAGGGAGAACGTGGACAGTCATGGGAGGGCTCACAGTGTGGGGTGTTTTCCCCACAAATTTCCTTTCACTGTGGTAAAGCACACATAACACAGAATGTACCATCTTACCCATTTTTGGGTGCACAGCCCAGTGGCGCTCGGCACCTTCACACTGTGTGCAGCCATGAGCCCCATCATCTCCGGAATGTTTGCATCTTCCCAGGCAGAAACTCCGCACCATTCAATACTCGCTCCCCACCCCCTCTCCCCAACCCCCGCAATCTCTATTCTACTTTCTGTCTCTCTGAATTTGAGTGCCCTATGGTCTTCTAAGTGGAATCATACAGTGTCTGTGTTTTCATGGTTTTTATTGGTTTTGGGAGAAGACAACAGGAGAGGCTGAGACTGCACCAGGGAGCCAAGTGCACCATGTGAGATTCACGCTGATGTCGGCGGACAGGAGGGGCTTGCAAAATACCTGCAGGACGATCTTCTTGTGTATGGCGAATTTGGCGATAATGTGCGCCAGGAGCAAGTGTCCGCTGTACTTGCAGGCTGGGTCCACGCAGGCCTTGGAGAGCAGGCAGGGCCAGGCGAAGGTCATGAGGCGGCGCAGCTTGCTGTTGCGGTTCTTGTTGTTGTCATGGATGTGGTGGGGGGCGTGCTCCACCAGCAGCGTGGCGTACTGCAGCAGGTAGATCCGCAGCGAGTCCAGCATGTCCGCCTGCTTCTCGGGGTCCAGGACCTGTGCAGGGACAGCAGGAAGGACTCATTTCCAGTTGTGAACTGGGTTACTGACTGAGGGTCATACGACAGGTTTAAGCCTTAAAAACACACACACACACACACACACACACACACACACACACACACACACACAATGTAACATGAAGTTTTACAAGGAGGTTATCAATAACATCCTATCCATTTTCCTTCACATATATGTGAAAGGAGAAAAAAACCCCAGGACCCCAATTTGCTCTGCCCAGTGGAAAAAAATTAAGCTGAAAGCTGAGTCATGCAAGAAACTGGCTCCTTTCGTTCCTAAGGAGAGCTACAGATGAAAGGTTAACGATCTGCACAGGTGACGGCCCCACGTTCACCTTATCTTACGTAAAGTGCTGACTTACCGAGCATGAGATGAACACAGAACTGACTCTTCCCCTACCTGGTCCCCTTCTTTGGCAACGTGTGGATGACCACACCTTCCCCCGTTCCCCTTCAGCCCACTCTTCCCCTTCAAATACTGAAGCCCTCAAAACCATTTTTAGAGAAAGGCACAAATGTCTCTCCCGGACACATCCTTAACTTTGGCAAAATAAATTTCTAAATTGATTGAGATCCGTCTCAGATACTTTTTGGTTTACAAATGGATTAGAAATTCACCAAATTCAACATTTAAAATAGGGCAGGCTTAAGAGTCAGGATGCAGGGGCTGGAGGAGGGTGAGGTGGAAAAGAAGACCTCTTTGATTCGAGGTGATTTAGGACTGAGTTTCTTAATTTCCAAGTAGTTGAGATGTTTTTTCCTGGTCAACTTTTGTCTACTCCTCATTTTTCTGCATTATGATCAGAAAATGTGACCTGGAAAAATGTCTACGTTCAAAAAATTGTTGCAGTTTTGAAAGCATCTGACAGATTTTTTAAGTGTTTCATTGACATAAGAAAAAAATGTGCCTTCTTTGAGGAATATTCTACGCATCTCTATTAAATCAAGTATAATGGCAGCATCATTCAATTCAACTAAGTATCCTAACCGCTGTCTGTCTACCAGGTCTTAATAATTCTGAAAAACAGACAGACTGAAGTCTTCCACTATAATCATGTTTTTATCAAGGTCCCTTTTAGCCCCAAGGTCCTCTCTTCCCCAGATGTACTGCTTCTTGGCAGGCCCACACCTGCATCCACAGCCTCCAGCCTGCCAGCTCCTTTTCTCCTCATCCTGACGTTCAAAATCCCCACAGCAGCATCTGACCCAGGAGACACAGCCTGGAGAAGGTAACAAAGGGGAAGGGGTCCTGTCTGGACCCCATCTCCCTACACTTGCCCAGAATAAGGCAAATATCAGTACGGGGACCAAGAATAAACCCTTGGGCTCACTCTGATCATAGGGTGGAATGTCAACACTTCAGGAAGGAGGCCCAGCTGAAAGGACAAAGACTATGTAAGGTCCAAGAATCTGCCAATGGAAACAACAGTCCCCTCTGCCTTGATCTCAGGACAAAATGGATAAGAAAACCAGCAATCTGTATTTCTGATGAGGAACGCCATCACTCAGCATTCCAACAAACACTCAGTGTGAGAATCTCAGGGCAAACACGGCCTTTAACAGTGAAGATCAATACAGTAAACCTTGGGGAAATAACATGATGCAGGCATTTAATTCAAAAAGCCCTCTCTAACACAAACTGTAAAGCACAGAGATATTAAAACCGAGCTCATTTCAGACTGGACTACGGCCACCACAGGGTTTCATTCACTGGAAAAGGAGGAGTCACAGCAGCTACTGCAGGCAGTCTCATATGCTCACTGGCTGTTAGGAGAGTCTTTTGTAAAACTGAAGATGAAAATGGAACACAGAAACTCTGCTGACCGGCAACAGGGGTTTTCACAAAATAACTGCTATATGAATTTTCATTGAGATCTATTCCATTTCTGACTAAATCTATTAATGTGGGAAAGTTAATTCATTCGAAAGTAAGGCTGCCTTCAAAAACTCACTAACAAGAATCGTTAAGGTGACGGTCTGCTAAAAACTAACACAATCATGAAAAATAAACGTGTTGGCGGAACAAACTTATTTCAATGAACCCCCTTAACACACACACACACACACACACACACACACACACAGATGTTCATCCACATGCCAGGCTACTTCTCACACCCACACACATAGTGATACCACCTTGGTAATAAACACACTGGTGATGCTTTCTGGGTTATCTCCTTCTGGATTGGGAGGTCCCAAGAGCTGCTCTCCTTCCCCCTTCTCAAAGCTGTACAAGAAAGCAGGATTCAAGATATGCTGCAGAACCTACAAAAAAAATTTAAATAAAGAAGGAGAAAAACAAAGCCATGCTGTTTGTTTCTTAAGACGGGAAGAACAGCTAGTCTTGGCCTTAGCACACCATCAAGTTGGAACTCAACCCAGGGTGTGACTACCAACCTTGACTCCTATGCAAAGAGCAACTAGAAAGGTAGGTTAAAAACTTGTGGAAAAGAGATGTCAGCCTGGTTTATTCTTTTCATGTCAAACAAGCCATTTTCTAAAAACAAGGCAATTAACAAACCACCCTTCAACACTGGGTCACTCCTGCATGCACCTGACGCTCCTGAGCAACGGCACTTTCTCACCTACAGCCCAGCCCACTAATTTTATTTTTTTCTTGAGACAGAGTCTCATTGTGTCACCCATGCTGGGATGCAGTGGTGTGATTATAGCTCGGTGCAGCCTCCAACTCCTGAGCTCAAGCAATCCTCCCGCTGTGGCCTCCTGAGTACCTGGGATTACAGGCACATGCCACAGCACCTGGCTCACTCTACTATTTATTCAAGAGTGACACAGCAAAAAAAGAAAAGGGCCCAAAGTTCCCTAGAAAACCAGACCAAATACCCATACCCTTCTACAGCATAAGAGTGGGACTCACTTTAGCTTTTAATTCATCTCCGAAGTTGGGGTCGTTGAAGTCTACAAAGCGAAAGAACAGGGCACGTTTCTGAGCGATGCTGTAATTTTTGGGAATCTCTTCCTCCATATACTCTTTTAAGAATGTCATGTTGCAGAGAAAACGACCAGTAAAGGCTCGGAGCAGCTGGAACAGCAATTCTATATCTCCGTAATTCCTTCTGGAGGGTCAAAAGAAGAAGACAGGTTAACTTAGAGCAAATTTCATTAACAACTACGCCTCTGACTTGCCTTTAAACAGCTCAGAGACACAGCCCATTCTCCACAACCAATCTGACTGCACGCATCCAATGACCACAGCCTTGTACAGAGTAGAAGGAGGCTCTGGCTGAGCTTTTGGGACAGAGCCAGTCCCGCGGGGCAGGGCGGGAGGAGGCACCCACTTGCAGTAGTTCAGCAGGCAGTAGGCCAGCAGCTTGGGCTCCTTCCAGTTGGTGGCTGCCATGTTCTCCTTGCGGTGCCTCTCTTGGAAGTTCTCACTCACCCACACACGTCGCAACTGGCTCACCAGAGAGTGCTGGCTGGCCAGCCAGGAGTCATCGTTTTTCACTATAATGCTTATGATCTGTCAAAGAAGAGATAATTAGGGAACCGTGTCTCGATTAAACCCCTGGGCATTGGGGGCTGGAGGAAGGGGCGCTACCTTGATGGCCTGGAACTGGAGGTCCAGGCGCATGGTGCTGGTGCTGGGCGAACCGGGGCGCACAGCCGTCTGGGCACCCCCCGGCAGCAGCAGGGTGATGAACCTGTTGGGGTTGGCAGCCAGCACATCCCGCAGAGGTCTGGCGTCTTTGTGTTTTAAAAAACTCTGAAAGCAAAACAAATAGAAAAGCCGTTTTAAGCTAATCAAACTCACAGAAAGTTAGAGGATATGAATGTTAAATCTTTCTAAATCTTTTAAAAATCTTTCTAAATCTCTCAAAGAAGGCTTACCAAAAAAGCACCACACGCATGCTTTTTAAAAAGATGCTTTTTTTTTTTCTTTTTAAAAAGAGACAGAGTCTTGGGTCTATTGCCCAGGCTGAAGTGCAGTGGTAAAATCATAGCTCACTGCAGCCTCCAACTCCGAACTCAAGCAATCCTCCCACCTCAAGCTCCTGAGGAGCTGGGACTACAGGCATGTGCCACCGTGCCCGGCTAATTTTCATATTTTTTGTAAAGACAAGGTCTCACTCTGTTGCCCATGCTGGTCTCAAACTCCTGGGCTCAAGTAAACCACCTGCCTCAGTTTCCCGAAGTGCTGGGATTACAGGTGTGGGCCCTTAGAAAATACTTTTAAATAATAATCATACTTTATGATTTTATAATCCTGGCAGAACATTTATTTGCTACCACCACCAAAGTCCTATAAAGAGTGGTTCCTAGACCTGCACATTTCACAGACACAACCAAACAGCAATGCTGTTTCCAATATTCAAATGGATCTGAAAAAAAAGCAGCCAGGACACTGAATAGTGAAATATGAACTGAACATTTCAGAGCACGACAGCTCACAAGCATTTGAAGGGACCCCTGACTCCAGCTGCTCACAGCTCTTACCATAAACATTCTGCTCCACTGGGGATCGTTCAGTGTGGCTTCCATCATGAACAGCTCCACTGTCTGCGAGGGATGTCGAGTCAGGAACTTGATCAGGGGCTCTCGGAATGGACTCCCCGCCTGCAAAACATGTGGGAATGCTGCATCTCACAACTTCCTCTTCTCAGAGCTTGAGGCTGTCTACCTAACAAGGTCCCTTGTTACTGGAGTGCATGAACACCCACAAGCAAATGTTGACATCGAACGTCTTTATGCTGTTCCGTCCATTGAAAATACGATCAAGTGAGGACGCTATAAGCACCGGAGGGTGGCAGAGCGAGAAGCAGCCTTCAGTATGGCCCTTACCTCGATCAGCATCGCCCGCTCCGTTTTCATGACAACCTCTAGCAAAGGCTTCACCAGTGTCTGAGGAGCAGCCGGGATCAGATGAAAAAGGTTTATAATTGCTGAGCAAATCTTCATTTCCTGATCAAGAAAACCAGAAATTATAAACAGGTCGATTAATTTTGCAAGTGACAGAGGTCAACGTCACTACAGACCCTACTATAGTCTAACTATGTTGGCAAGGCTAGGCAGTGAAGCGAAGGGTTCACATGTAAAAGCCACAACTTACTAGCCTTAGGTTCTAACTGTGCTGTGTCCTAAGGAAACTGACTGCCCGTGGCCTTCAGCATTCCTGTCCATTGTAGGGGTGTGGAGGGGCCGACGGTGTACACCCGATGTGATCGTGCTGTTTGCTGTCATGCGTGCTCACAAGTGGTAAAGGTGACCTTACCAGGCTGCCATAATAGTCCCCTCACAGAAGCAGGGATGATTCCACCTGGGGCCAGAGCAGTGTGAGGATGCCCTACTTTGCCAAGGTATCACGAGGTCCTCTCAACACACTAAGTTCTAAGGGCACAGATGTCTTTTGCCCTCAAAACCTAGCAGTGGCCAGTGTGGTAGCTCATGCCTGTAATCCCAGCACTTTGGGAGGCTGAGGCGGGTGGATCACCTGAGGTCAGGAGTTCGAGACCAGCCTGGCCAACATGGCGAAACCCCGTCTCTACTAAAAATACAAAAGTTAGCCGAGCGTGGTGGCGGGCGCCTGTAGTCCCAGCTACTCCAGAGGCTGAGGCAGGAGAACTGCTTGAACCCAGGAGGCGGAGGTTACAGTGAGCTGAGATCGTGCCACTGCACTCCAGCCTGGGCAACAGAATGAGACCCGGTCTCAAAAAAAAAGAAAAGAAAAAAAAAACCACACAAACAAAAAAAACCCTAGCAGAGAAAGTTCTTCAAAAAATTAACTATTTACCCTGGAAATTAAATATCAATGTATATAAACAACTGATCCTGGTACTAAGTATTTGTCAACCAGGCCTAAAAATAAAGCTGACAAACTGCTCCGCTGAATTAAATCAAAGATGTGTGAAATGCCAAGGGTGCTGCATGTTCTACTGTCTCACAGCTCAGGGGTGGGCTGCTGTTGCTCCAGCTTTCCCTTCTCACTTTCCAGTTTTGCTCCTGTCATTCAAAGGAATTCTCCATGGCCACAAGGGAGGGACACGTTCCAATGTGCCGTGCTGCGCTGTGCGCGCTGCGATCCTCGGGGTAAGAAGGGGATGATAGCACGGATCAGGAAGGGCCCCACTCCCAGCAGCACCTGAGAGACTTTTCAGAATTTCTCTTTACACCAAAAGGCAAAGCAGGAGATGGAGACAAAATGAGGAAAATGGGCTCAAGGCCAGCTCCATGCCCCCTACAATTCTCTTCCCCAGAATCTGCAAGACTTAGGAAGAGTAAGTTCTATCCTGAAATTATAACATTCTAAAATGGTACTTTTACAATCTGCTTTTTCATTTTCAAAGCACTGTCACAGAAACCACTTCTTTGGGTCTTTGCAACACCACTGGGAGGCAGGAGTAACAGATGCCATCATCCCCATTTTACACAAGAGGGAAAGCTCGGGGTGTGTGCAATGCTGCACAATGTTGTGAGTGCATCAGTGTGTGTGTGCATGTGTGGTATGTGTGCATGTGTGTTGTGTGTGCATGTGTGTTGTCAGTGCATTGTGGTGTGTGTGCATGTGTGGTGTGTGTGCATATGTGTTGTGTGCATATGTGGTGTGTGCGCGTGTGGTGTGTGTGCATGTGTGGTGTGAGTGCATGTATG
The DNA here is from genome assembly GCF_000001405.40 of Homo sapiens. Classification (NCBI taxonomy): domain Eukaryota; kingdom Metazoa; phylum Chordata; class Mammalia; order Primates; family Hominidae; genus Homo; species Homo sapiens. Next base: position 98,946,534 of record NC_000007.14, on the reverse strand, counting down.
TTGTGAGTGCACTGGTGTGTGTGCATGTGTGGTGTGTGTGCATGTGTGGTGTGAGTGCACGTGTGGTCTGTGTGCACGCGTGTTGTGAGTGCATCGGTGTGTGTGCATGTGTGGTGTGTGTGCACGCAAGAGGGAGATGAAGGGGACTGGGTGGGTGAGTGGGACAAGCTGTAAGGTTTTAAATTCAGGGCAGTCAGTAGTGTGAAAGAACATGTAATTCCTCCCACTTCTAGCAGGCACAATATACTCTGTGTGAGTTTCCTCTCAGGAGGTTGCTAGCTATGTGTATTCAGATAGAGGTTACGAACACAAAATCTAATTCAATCTTGAATATAATTGAGACATTGCAATTCTCACACGAACTTAAGAGTCTTGCTTAAAACATCCTAATAGAAAACATGCTTGGCATCAGACAGTTCACAGCAATGATACTGATACAACTCTGCCACAGACAGACAATACAGGTCACTGCACTCAAGGGCACAACGCACTCTGTCCAGTACAGAACCACGACACAGCTAACGAGTCACAGCAAAACCAGCAACGACAACAACCCCCTCCTGTAGCTCCGCTCAAGTTCTCACCTCTACCCCTTCCATGGCAGGCTGAACCAAAACAAAAATTACAGCATGAAAAAAGGCAACAGAAAGGTAAAAAGAAAAGAAAAGAAAAGAAAAGGTAAACTTTTCTTCACATTGCAAGTCAGAAACTGACTGTTAATAGGTTGTTCTCACCTCAAACTGACAGAATGGAGACAAGGGACATCTCCCGCACTCGGAAATGCTTTCCTGAGGATGGGGAGGAAAATCATCTTTTTTCTATTTATGTTATTTACATAAAAACTTCCCACATACTCAAACACAGTAAGGGTTATTGGGGTTAACAAGACAGTAAAGACACAAATTATCAGAAAGCACACAGTAATTAACAAATGCTCAACAGCAAAAAGCACACTTTCACCTTCGATGTCAAAACACGGCCCATCTGACAGAGAGTGTCTAACAGTGGAATTCTTCCCTACAGCACGTTTTCAAAATAGGGTTTCAGGATTCTTGTGAAAGGGGAGAAACTGGAAGACCTTGTTGTATGCAAGTACATTTTTAAAAAGTCTTTTGTAGAGTGAACAAATTTTATATGAAGGGCTAAGATAATAAAAAATAACAAAAACCTCTTTCCCGGCTACAGTCAGAAGAGGTCCAGGTGGTTTAGGCCATCACCGCACCCAATGGACAGCTGGGTTATCATGTAAAGTAAGCAGTCTTCCTAAAACTAGCTCTGTGTGGGTGTGTGTGTGCACGCATGTATGTGTGCATACACATAACAAGTGGTCACGCGTTCTCCCCTGCAAGCTCATGGTTAAAAAGGGAAGCTTCCTAAACACAGTGATGGGGCAGAACTCTGATCAAAGGGGTATCCAAAGCTTCAGGGCAGGCTGGCCACTGTCACTCACGCCTGTAATCCCAGCACTTTGGGAGGCGAAAGCAGGTGGATCACCTGAGGTCAGGAGTTCAAGACCAGCCTGGCCAACAAAGTGAAACCCCATCTCTACTAAACATAGAAAAATGAGCTGGATGTGGTGTCAGGCGCCTGTAATCCCAGCTACTTGGGAGGCTGAGGCAGGAGAATAGCTTGAACCCAGGAGGTGGAGGCTCCAGTGAGCCAAGACTGTGCTATTGCACTCCAGGCTGGGTGACAGAGGCTCCGTCTCAAAGAAAAAAAAAAATGCTCGAGGGCAGCTTTGACTTATTTCTTTAGTCAACGATCTAGCATATCTTCAATTATAGTGTCTCAACGGAACACTGTCATTTGGGGATTCCACCAAACAGGAACTAACTACTTTCCAAGATTAAAATATGGTCAGAGTTCAAGAGCTGAACAGTGGCCTGGCCCCAGGCTTAGGTGATGAAGCCATGGCCCTGTTGTCTCTGGGCCCCCAAACACCATGGCCTCTGAGTTTCAGACAAGCCCCCAAACACCATAGCCTCTGAGTTTCAGACAAGCGGCCAACCTCACAGAGCTGGACCCTCCCTGGATGGTCAGGTAACACAATCACAGGATAAAAATGTTCCAGGAGGAGCTCAAGGACTTCCCAGTATCCACGACTCCATCCCCTATACAACTGCACCCCCACCTCCAAATAATCTGCTAACTTTTATGAAATATTTTATTTTTTTTTACTAGGCTACATTAAGGACTTTATATTAAATCTTTTTGATTCAAATGAGGTTGAATCTACCCACTAGGTTTTTTTTTAAATGTTTATTCTAGAACTGACTGAGTTCCAGAAAATTAATAGCTTACTATAAAAACAAATATAAAATGTAAAGCAAAAGTACCTAACAGATGAGAGAGGGAGAGCAGCACACAGACACCTGCACCTCATCCCAGGAGCCTGGGCTCATTAATATACTCTGCTCTCCTCCACGAAGAGTTCCTGATTCTCTTCCACATATATAAACAGCAAACCTTTAACAGGGTCATGCGTGGCATATCACTTCTTTAAAAAAATCCTGGTTTAGTTTTGCTTACTTGGCTGTTTAGAAGCAGTAGGAAACAAGACTTACATAAACAAAACACCTTGACACACAATGGTCAAAACAAAGCATAATAAAGCCAGAAAAGAAAAATCCAAGTTAGGATGGAACACATCCAGCAAAGGCACACGAGGACAAAAAGCCACGTTAATTATGCCTCTGAAGAACTATAAGGAAGTCCCTAATAGGAATACTGCTGTCATGTTTCACTGGGATTATGAAACTCATGGAAAAGGCAATTCCACTGCGAGGACAGCAAGTTAAAAACAAAAACTGTAAAAAATAAACATATACAAATAATATTAGATTTAAAACAGCAGAAAGCATGCATTCTTAAGAGACAAAGTCTTTAATGACCCACAATAGACACTTTAAAAGATTTAGCTGAAGCGGTTTTCCTTTAAAACCATACAAATGTGCTTTGAAGGGCCAGTCATATAACTGGGCAAACAATTGGGGTGGATGACGCAGACCTTGAAAACACACGTGCCAGTATTTATGGGATTCCTTTTTACATTCCCCTCAAAGCTTTCAGTCCCAAAAACCAGTTGGTTTTATCAGGCAATAATGATTAAACACATTTACCGACCACCCCGTGATGGAAAGCAATGGAAACAATAGCTGAGGAACGCACCACCATGTAGACAGCAGCTGCCAAGGACAGGCTAGAAAATACACTGTTTAAAGCAGAGCTGGTAAAATTGAAATACTAACATTCAAGCCCCCCAGAATTCTCAACAGAAGAGTCATATTAAAGTGAACCAAAGGGGAGATTTTAAAGAAACATAAAAAGGAATGTTTAGCAATTAAGAGAAAAGATAGGCAAAACAGAATACCAATCAAATGTGTTTAACAATTTACAAGGACTACAATCACGTCAAACTAGGTTTCTGACCGGCATTTTAATGAAAGCACTGTCCCGGCATTAGCACTGACCCAGCATGGCGGCTGGTGCCCTTCCCAGAAACAAACAAGTCACTCACGTTTCCGTCGCTCCTCTGGCCCCCTTTGTGGGTGATCACCACCACTTCCATCCACTTGCGCAGATGTTGCTGTTGGAAAAACACATCCTGAGACACAACTTCACAGTAGGTGCATTCCACTGGTGGAAACTACTATGTAATCATTCATTTCCATCGTGTTTAGTGTGAGAACTGCAGTGTTTCCATTATTAAAACAGCGCAACCATCTAACTAGTGATGAGAATAACTGGCATTTGTTCATGTTTCAAAATAAAAAGCCTGCCTTGCTCTGACACAGAAGGAAACGCCCTGACTCCCGGGTGTTCCAATACCATGCCCTGCCATTTTACTTCCTGTTAACTTGTTTCCTAGCTGTTCACTGAGTGCTTGGAAGTGTCGGCTCCCACACTGGGTGTCACAGTAGAGACATGAACGGCCGACATCATCCCTGTCATGATGTCCCTCTCCTTGCGGAGCCCGTGGTCTGATGAGGAAAAAGGTAAACATAAAGGTGCCTGCTGTGTGTAGCTACAATTACAGTGTTGTAAGAGGAAGACAGGAACCAGCTCTGGATGAGAAAGGAGGGGGTCGGGGTCCTCCTGCTGAGGATGGGACTAGAGAAGGCAGGAATGCCAGAAGCAGAAGGGCAGAGAGAAGAGGAGGGCAAAGGCCCTGACAGCACAGAAGGAACGGTGGCCACGCGGGGGAGCAGTGGGCACAATGGGGACCCTAGGGAAGGGGCTGGTGAGATAGATGTGGACCCCACTTGGTCAGGAACTGTGCAAGTGAGTGCCATAGGGCCACAATTCCCTCTGCAGAATGAGGGCCATGCTTCAGCAAGAGACTCTGCATTTAAGTGTATGGGAAGAGACCCCAGACTTTAGCTTAACCCAGGCACCTGGTAGCCAGGCTCCAGCCTCTGTGTCCAGCAAAACCAGGCAGACAAATGCCCGGGCCTTAAAGCTAAAACCACAAGAAGAGCATTCAATAACAGTTGCATATTTATTACCCTGCGTTGTTCAAACCTGCCCTTCACAACACCGAAGTCCTACAGGAAGTTAGCAAGCTGCTTTAAAAAGGTTTCCATAGTAAAACAGGAATGGGGAACAATGGTTTGGACACCTTAAAAACTCTTCTCTAAGACAAGCCTTCTCTGAGCCTTTAATGTCCTTACAGTCCATGTCAAACTTTGAGAAGCCGCGTTTCCCAACCTTACGTGGCCAATGAACTGGTCTTCATGAAACACCGACATCGTGCGGAGTCAGTGTTCCAGGGAACACTGGCATTGAGAAATGCATACAATAATACACATTTCTTCAAAGCACTCAACATTTTACCAACAACATTCCCTGAAAGATATTAATCACCAGAACAGAAATTCATGAACCCTACTCCTTACCAGAATGGCTCCTTACACAAAGATGTAAATGAGAGTAACAGAATTAAAGGGGTAGACAACAGCCAGCCACATCACCATTCTTTTTTTCCCAAAGGAATAAAATGACACTAATGGGTATATAAAATTCATCTTTAGTTTGATGAGGAAATATTCAAGCCAATCAAGCACATGGCCAGGCGCGGTAGCTCACTCCTGTAATCCCAGCACTTTGGGAGGTGTACAGATCAACTGAGGTCAGAAGTTTTAGATCAGCCAGGCCAACATGGTGTGACCTGGTCTCTACTAAAAACGCAAAAACTAGCCGGGCACGGTGGCGCATGCCTGTAATCTCAGCTGCTGAGGAGGCTGAGGTGGGAGGATTGCTTGAACCCAGGAGATGGAGGTTGCAGTGAGCTATGATCACGCCACTGCACTCCAGCCTGGGACACAGAGCAAGGCCCTGTCTCAAACAAACAGAAAAACCAACGAACCACATAAAAGACTTAATAATCATATGTCAGGTAACTCAATCTTAAGGAAACTGAACATCATATGCAAAAGAATGAAGTTGGACCATTATCTAATGCCATATACAAAAATGAACTCAAAATGGGCCAAAGACCTAAATGTAAGAGCTAAAACTCTAAAACTCTTAAAGAAAGGTAAATTTTCAGGGTTGTTTTCATGAATGCACACCCTAAAAGTAAGGTGCCTTGGCTCTTAAAATTCTGCTGATGGCTTGAGCTATTAAACTCGAAGGCTTATGAGGGAAAACAAGAGCTCCAGCAGTGACTGAACTTGGTTCTGAAGAACATGATTAAGTAGGGAAAAGTGTGTCCCTTACCACTGCCTCTGGCAGAGCACAGCAGGCAGGTGTAATTCAGGAAGACCTCTGCCACTAAGCGCAAAGGCACCGTCAACGTTAAGTCCAGGTGGATGCTGGATGAAAACGTCTGGATGCAAACTCCTCCAGTTTGAACCACTCAGAGAGCAGAAAAGGGAGGAAAAAATTCACCTAAATGAACCATTAACACAAAACCCATGTGATTTATTTTAGGCAGAAAGAACACTGGCCTTGGTCAGAAACTACAGACATTAAGGCAGCTGTCTTCGTACTGCACTAAAAAAAAATCTGGGTAACAATGTTCACTGAATGAATTCCCAGCTCACAGCAGGTCTGAAGGGTTAGACTGGGGACTAAAAATAAACAGGCTGGGCCAGGCGCAGTGGTTCACATGAGGTCAGGAGTTTAAGACCAGCCTGGCCAACATGACGAAGCCCCGTCTCTACTAAAAATACAAAAAATTAGCTGGGCGTGGCGGCAGGTGCCTATAATCCCAGCTACTTGGGAGGCTGAGGCAGGAGAATCACTTGAGCCCAGGTGGCAGAGGTTCCAGTGAGCCGAGATCGCGCCACTGTACTCCAGTCTGGGTGACAGAGTGAGACTCTGTCTCATAAACAAATAAACAAACAAACAGGCCAGGCACAATGGCTCACATCTGTAATCCCAGCACTTCAGGAAGTCAAGGCAGGTGGATCACTTGAGGTCAGGAGTTCAACACCAGCCTGGCCAACACGGTGAAAACCCAGTCTCTATTAAAAATACAAAAAATTAGCTGGGTGTGGTGGCAGACACCTGTAATCCCAGTTACTTGGGAGGCTGAGGCAGGAGAATCACTTGAACCCGGGAGGCAGAGGTAGGAATGAGACGAGATCACACCACTGCACTCCAGCCTGGGCAACAGAGCCATACTCTGTCTCAAAAATAAAAATAAAAATAAACAAACAAACCAAAGCTGCTTCAGGCAAGCATACAAAGGCAGCAAAAAATGACAGACGACTTTTCAAGAGGAGACATACACAAAAGCATTAGGACATTTGGACACATGCATAGAGCTCATGGGCCTCATGTGTGAAAGCACCTCAGCCGTAATACAGGATGTAAGATAAAGTGTTTATTGGATGAGCTCTGATTAGGAAGTGATGTAACTTTATATATTTATTTTAGCCACTCTTGTGAATATATGGAATATATGGAAACTGATAGGTGTGTATGTGTATTACATATATTTGGAAGCTTAAGGTGAAAGTCCCCAATTTGGAAAATTCACTTCCATATTATACTTTGTTTTTCAATTATAATGTATTATTAGGGCATAACTTACAATTTTAGTATTTGGGTCATTATTATTTAGGTACTTGTAGATATGAAGAAACTAGCATATAGATGAGGTAAAAAGCTACGTGTCTTTCATATATGAGAGATTTCTCTACATTCCATGTGTAGATAAATACAATGTATCTGTGCACTGTGATACACTGTATCACACACAATGTATCCATACCTGCAATATCTCTCTCTACATAATGCAATCTCTACCTTATCTGTCCATCAGTAGATATAAACTCCTGTTTATAGTTGGGGGAAAGGTACACCAAAAATAAAAAAGTAGCTCCAGTATCTTAAAACGTCAAATGGTCAAAGGCTACTTGGGAAACATAAGCATGAAAAATACATTCATGTTTGCAGTGGTGGACCATTAAATCCTGTTTATTATTTATAAATCCATTTACCAGAAGCAAAATTGAATGCAAAAGAAAGCTAACAGATGAAATCCTCCATCCGCTTACATTTCAATTTTAAACACTGTCAAATGGGTTTTTTCCTGCATAATTATTTCTCTGGTAATTCTAAAAACCCAAAGGACTTCCAATGTTCTCACCCAAGACTGTATGAAAGAAGGCACACTTATCTATTTTGTAGGAGTGTATATTGGTAAAAATTTCTTTGGAGAGCAATTTGACAAGGTGTTGAAAGATTAAAATGCATACATTCTTTTGATCCAGAAATTCTACAACTAGAAATGTACACCACAGATAAAAGCATGTGAAATTATGAACAAGTCTTTCAGTGCATCATGGTATATAATGAAAAGGCTGGGAACAATCTAAATGTTCACCAGTGAGGCCATGGTTAAATAAATTATGGCAAGTTCATGTCATGAGGTATTCTGCAGCCATAAAGCAGAATGAAGTACTTCAGGTACTGACATGAAATGATGGCTGTTAAATGGGAAAAGCAAGGACTGTGTATATATATATTGTACCCCCTTTTATAGGAAAAAATATATACACATATGTCCTCTTACATATATAAAACATCTCTAAAAGGATACACAACAAAGTCTTAACCCTGGCTGTCTCAGGGAGGGGACTGGGTAGCTGGAGGACAGGGTGGGAGGGAGGCTTTCTGCAGTACATCCTTTTACACCTTTTCAATTTTAAGCCATCTGAATGCATTGTTTTTATTTATTTATTTTTTGAGGCAGGGTCTTGCTCTGTCACCCAGACTGGGGTGCAGTGATGCCATCTCGGCTCACTGCAACCTTTGCCTCCCATGCTCAGGTGATCCTCCCACCTCAGCCTCCAAGCCAAGAAGCTGGGACCACAGGCACGTGCCACTAAGCCTGGCTAATTTTCTTTTTTTGAGATGGAGTTTCACTCGTTGCCCAGGCTGGAGTGCAGTGGCACAATCTTGGCTCACTGCGACCTCTGTCTCCCAGATTCAAGTGATTCTCCTGCCTCAGCCTCCCTAAGTAGCTGGGATTACAGATGCACGCTGCCACACCAGGCTAATTTGTGTATTTTTAGTAGAGAGGGGTTTCACCATGTTGGCCAGTCTGGTCTCGAACTCCCAACTGCAAGCGATCCACCCACCTCGGCCTCCCAAAGTGCTGGGATTACAGGCGTGAACCACTGTGCCCAGCTGCATTATTTATTTTTAAAATAATTTAATTTTTTGAAAGTTTGTTACAGAGCGTTTAAATGCATTTGGCTTACCATCATCTGATCACAAAATTTATCATTGAAGGAATTTGGGAAGAGCCTCGTGACCGAAGTCAGGCGATTCACAACATTCAGCGTCAAGCTCCGGTAATCTCCCAGCATCATCAGCAAAGGTCGCATATGTGTGTGGATTTGATCGACTTCTATGGTAGCACCTTCTAAAAACTATTAAAAAAGAAAAGTTGTAAAGAAAAATAGACAACTGAGGACACTTCATAATAGAACAGAACTCATCTTCAACCTTAGCTGCAAGTTTCCGTTCTCCTTTAGGAAGATGGAATATTAATCATATACTATTTCAGAAATTTATGACGAAATGATGGAGACTTATCTTTACTGTTTAATATTTTAAAAAACTCAGTATGACTATGAAACAGGTATATTCTTATTACAGTTTAGTGTGTAATAACCACATGCATAAAGCCTTTTAGGCATACACTGTTTATATAGCAATAAACAGGAAGAACTCTTAATGCAGAGTACACACACATGTGTGTGCACACACGCGTGCGCATACACGCACGCACACACACTCACCTTTCTCATACAGGCTTCTCCGGCCTCTTGGAGCTCACTATTGGTGGAATTCAGGGCTTTGAAGAGTGCAGCGATGATTTTCTCCCTGGACTGAGGAAGGTAATTGCAGGCAGCAAGTGCATCTTCAGGGAGAGAAATCAAGACAATTCCATTATTAACTGGAAAGATGCCCAAATAATTTTCTTCTCTGTATTTATTTATTATTATTATTTGGTAGAGAAGGTGTCTTGCTATGTTGCCCAGGTTCATCTCTAACTCCTGGCCTCAAGGGATTCTCCTGCCCTGGCCTCCCCAGTGCTAGGATTACAGCTGTGAGCCACTGCCCCCGGCTGAATTTTCTTTCCCAAAGGCTCCTACCAACCAGCAAAAAATATGAACCACGAGCCCTCTTTCCTAGTGTTTGGCCCTGAGAAAGACAAAAGTACACATGGTCTTCCATCCACATGTTGAGTATAATCTAAGAGTGAAGTCCAGCCTGCCAGAAAAGCCATGATAAATCTTACGTCTTCAGATGAGAAGAAGAAAGCTTGAGGGGGAAGAAGAGAGACCCCACTGACACCCCTATCCCAGGACACCTTCATAGGGTAATGGGGTGGCTGGATCCAGGACAGGCCCATCTGAACAAGGCTGATGGCACGGTCTCTGGTCCTCCAGTGACAGGCAATGCAGGGGACAGACACACACAGCCCAGCCTTTCTTCACTACCCAGCTTTGAGGGTAAAAGGCTTTAAGACTTTCAAAAGGCAAATATTCTTAGGGAAGGAGACACACCTCAACCTTCTATGTCAGGTGACAGGTAACATTCATTCTAGCAAAAGTAGCACCCACAATGGCTAACAGGAAGGAGGCACAGGAGAGTTCCCCAAAGAAGGGACCCCAAGAGAAGAAGAAAGCTGCCAGTCACCCCTGGTCCCCCTGTTGGCTTTGGCTTGCACTGTCTGGAACACTCCACCCCATCTTCTAGCTCAGGTATTATGGTCTGCCTCTAAGCTCTCCACCTCTAACTCAAGAAAGATTCTGGAAATATGTTATTAAGAGCATAAAAATCAACAAAGCAGGAGAGAGTCAACCAAAAAAGTTTGTATTGGGTATTCACCTTCACTCCCCACTAGAAAGAAAATGATTGTTTCTATCTCAGCCAATACAGATCTAGTCTATTTTCCTACACTTTGCATCATTCCTGTGCTTGACAATGATAACTGAGGTTTCCCAGTGAAAAGCTAGAGACTGCAGGATTAACAAATGCTTGAGTCATTGAAAAGCTTCTAAGGCTGTCATGTCCCTTACTATATATACACTCTGATTCTGGCACCATATGAATGATACGACAATCCTTTTAAACCAGAACGTCTGATTCATAAAACAACAACAGACTTTACTATAAAGCACAAAATTACTTCAATCCTAACAACACATGTAATTTTATGGCATCTCATTACACAGTTTGATAAACATACAAAAATAATTTTTTGATCCCATCTTAAAAAGACTACAAAAAGTCATAAAAATTAGACAACAACAAAAGGCCACTTTTTTTTTCTATAGACCTCCTGTGGTCAGTCTCCTTTCACTTTTATACCCCGTAGATTTTCATTAACTTACTTAATGCCGCAATTCGTAAAGGTACGAGTGACGGAAGGCTTTTATAACAGGGCAGCTTTGTTAAAGCTGAATCTTCAGCCTCACACAAATTCAACAGCTGCAAAAGATAAAACAATTTCATTTAGCCCACTCTTCCTGTGAAGACATAATAACCTTGCAAATAACAGAACACAGCAATCTTCCACACACTGCAACACAATTAACAACTGACAAACTAAGCTCAAATCCTAAAGATTTTAAGTATCAAAGTATGACTGAGCCTCTTTAAGGCAAAACTCAGTTTACTTCATTAGTGGAAAGAATTCTTAGACACTTTCTCACCCACTCTGATACCACCATGTTTTTTTCTCACCCACTCTGATACCATCACGTTTTTTTTTCTCCTCAAAACAGGGGGTTACTTTATCTAACTGCAAATCCCATGATGGCAGGGCCGTGTCTTCCTGGTTCAGATCAGCCTCCCCAGGGCCTCAGACAAGTGTTCAAGAAACAGATGGGCTATAATTCAAATATTTAAGTGAACACACTTTTTTTTTTCAAGTACAGAAAAGCATAAAGTAGGAAGCTGAACATCACTGGGAATTCCAGTGGCTATCCTTCCAGATATTTTACCACACAAGTAGATATTTCTCTATCTGTTATCTAAATAACAGATATCGTGCTCTATCACTATTTCCCCCTTCTCTTCATTCACATCCTGGAAAACTAGTATAGGCTAATATCATTTTTCCCCCTTAAAAGATTCCAACCTGGTAAAAGACTTAAAACAGCAGAAAAGGATACAGAGTGAAAAGCACTTCAAGCCACCCACCCCATTCCACTGCCCAGAGGAAACCACTGTTGCTAGGGCCTTGTATGACCTTCAAAAATACTCTCCTCACATATAAGGGCATGCGTGTATATATGCGTGCAGGTATGGAGAGAGAGAAGTCAACTACAAAACAAAACCCCAACACAGCCACACAGCATCACCTGGGAAGCTTTCAGACAGTGGATTCCCAGGTCTCACCCAAATGGACTGAACCTGAATCTCCAAGGAAAGGACTCGAGTCCATGCTTTTCAAAAGATCCGCACGTGTTCTGATGCAGCCAGGCACTGAGAGACATCTGGAAAACCAGTTTCATGCCCTCAATACTGCCAGGCTCTGGTCTTAAGTGCAGTGAGGAGTTTTCCATGCAGGTTAAAATACATCTGTCTCTAGATCAGCCAAGGGAAGTTATGCATTTCCTAAAGGTCTTGACCTTCTGTCAAGCCTTACAAATGATAAGGTATAAAGATCAGAGCCAGATCATATGATCCTATAACCATATGTCCAAGCAAAAACAGGACCTTAAAATGTCAAGAGGTAAATTTTCATAATCAGAAATTCAGACAGTATGGACCTGGAAGAATTTGCTTTCTTCTGATTTTTGCCGCGGTATACTCTGACAATGCCTCTGCAAGTGTGATTCATGTCCCATAAAAATTTTAAATTTTATCTGATCACCAGACCACTACTGTATTCTAAAGATGTTGCTTATAATTTGGCAACACCCACAGTTTCATTCCTGTTTGTCAGACTAATAGCACCCCACACTGGAATGTTTACAGTGACAAATACTCATAAGATGCCATCTGCCAGGGTCCGTGTTTGGGTCAAGGGACAAATCAAGTCCACTAAAAAAAATAAGAACTCGGCTGGACAGTGCAGTGATTAGGAATCATGCTCTAAATAACAGTCCTGGCTTAAATTCAAGCTCTCCAGCTCACCTGCCCTGTGGCTTTGGGTAATCAGCAAACTCTAAGCCTCAGTTTCCACACCTTCAAAGTAAGAACAAACAGCTCAACCCCTACACTTCAGGGGGTGCTGTCAGAACTTAGGGCACTTGTGTGATGTTCTCAACAGCACATGGCACATTTCAGTGATTAATGAATGCAATAAATTGGCACTTGTGCCGGGCCAGCTGATCTAAGAATGATTAAAGCAACTGGGTGCAGCTTCATCTTTAAAATACAACCTTGAGGCCCTAAATTCAAGCAAAGATTCCTGTTGGGGCTAACAGAGTTCTGAGAACTCACAAGACATCAGCGTCTCTGCTGGCCATACCTCCCTTCCGCCCGAGCCCAGACGCAACATACCTGCTCAGGTTGCTGTGCCAGGTGTCAGTGGGTTACCTGCAGGTCCCCGCCCGAGCCTTCTCTGAATGCTGCCTGACCAGTCTTCGCGTACAAAGACAGGCTAGCAGACACACGTCATCACCATCCACACCACTCCGCACCACCACCCCCCTACCTCTGTGTAGAACACCTTATGCTCCACCACGTTAAGGTCCATTGTGAAGAGCCTGGGCTGCAACGTGGTACAGAACGTGTTCCCCTCCATCAGGCCAATCTGTGCGTTGGCAGGCTGGTGTCGGAGCAGGTGCTTCTTAGGGGGGACCATATCCTGCAGGACCTGGGGAAGCCAAGGAGGAGGCACCACTCACCAGCTGCCCCTTGAGACACAAACACTTTTTAAAAATGTGAAAACCATGTTTGAGATCCAAAGTTATTACAGATATCTTCTCATTAGGGAACGGGAGATACATTTCATGTGCAAAACCTCGGTCGTGGAGAGGCATGTAAGATGTTAGTTCCTAAAGGTACAGCGTAACCTCTCTCTCTTTAAAAATTAAAAAAAAAAAAAATCCAAAACAAAAGACAAAACCACAACAAAACAAGAATAAAACTACCAGACTGTGCTATAGCCTCAGGAATGCTACCCTCTACTCTCTTGAAGTACACTGTTTTTTGCAAATCTCAAGTCATAAAGAGCAGGCACAACGGTAGAGCTAGCCCTCTGTGTCTGTGGTTCTGCATCCTCAGATGCTACCAAGCAAGGAGAAAACATACTTGAGGAAAAAATAAAAAATAACGTGACAAGAAAAAACAAACTATTAAAGTGTAACTATTTACATAGCATTTACATTGTATTAGGTATTATAAGTAATCTAGAACTAATTTAAAGTATATGGGAGATTATACAAATTTTCATGTACCCATAAAAATTTAAGGATAGGCACGGTGGCTCACGCCTGTAATCCCAACACTTTGGGAAGCTGAAATGGGAGGACTGCTCGACCCCAGGAGTTCAAGGCCAGACTGGGCAACATAGTGAGAGCCCATCTTTATAAAAAAAAATAGCTGGAAAAAAATTTTTTAATTACAAAGAAGAAAATGACATTTTGGGCTGGATGATAATTTCCTTAAAGAAAAGAAATAATTTTAAAAGTTAAAAAAAATAGGCTGGGCGCAGTGGCTCATGCCTGTAATCCCAGCACTTTGGGAGGCCAAAGCAGGCGGATCATGAGGTCAGAAGACCGAGACCACCCTAGCTAACACTGTGAAACCCCATCTCTACTAAAAATACAAAAAATTAGCCGGGTGTGGTGGTGGGCACCTGTAGTCCCAGCTACTTGGGAGGCTGAGGCAGGAGAATGGCGTGAACCTGGGAGGCAGAGCTTGCAGTGAGCCAAGATCATGCCACTGCACTCCAGCCTGAGCAACAGCGAGACTCTGTCTCAAAATAAATAATTAAATAAATAAATAAAAGTTAAAAAAAAATAAAAAATAAACTAGCCAGGCGTGGTGGTGTGTGTCTGTAGTCCCAGCTACTTAGGAGGCTGAGGCAGGAGGATCACTTGAGCCCAGGAGTTCCAGGCTGCAGTGAGCTAGGATTGCACTCCAGCCTGGGCAACAGAGTGAGACTGTCTCAAAAAAAAAATGAAAATAAAAAAGCTTTAAAAAAGAAAAAATAAATCAATAAATAAAGTACACAGAATATGTGCATAAGTTATATACAAATATCACACCATTTTACATCAGATATTTGAGCATCCCAGATTTTGGTACCCACGCAGGGTCCTGGAACCAAGGCCCCACAGATACCAAGACACAAAATTATAAACGGAGTATCACCTCAACTCAAATTTAAAAAAAAGGCTCAAAAGTTTTGTTGAAATTACCTTGGTTCTGGTGACAGAAATCTCACCTCTTTGTGGGGTTCCATGATCACCGTGACACTCTTCCCAGTGACCTGGGCCAACACCTGCAGCGAATGCATGGCCTGCTTCCTCACAGTGGAGTTTGGAGAGGTGACTTCTCGAACCAAGTCGTGTGTCACATGGTGGAAAGACTTTTCCTGGGCGGCCACGATCTCTTCGGCTCTCTCCTCGTCTTTTAAAGGCGTTGCGCACCGCATCAGAAGCTGCTCCAGCGTGGTCTTTGCCATAGCGACTGCCCCATTGGAAACCTGCAAGTCAGGGATGTCTTAGAATGAAAGCAGGGCGATGCCACCCACTGCAACTGCCGTCTCCTGCACACCTGTCTGCCATAAAGACTGTCACTGGGGTCCATGCCCTTCTCGCCAGCTGCTTTAATGAGGTGACTTCACGGCACCCACTTGGTGCTTTAGTCCCTAAGTCACCTAATCAGAAAATGTGGATCCAAATGTGACCCCTGCATTCACCAGATAAGCTGGCAATGCCCATCATGTTCTACTGGTGTGAGTCATATCTGCATAGGTTTAAGAATGCAGCTCCTCCGGAAACAGCACATGAGAAGCAGAATTCCCCTTTTCAGACACACTGTGGTAAACACTGTGGCCTGTAACTGTTCTTTATCAAAGCAAACAGGTATTTAGATACCCACAGAAGGCCTATGGGAGCTCTGAGCTGTCCTTTTAGTGAAGATGCTGAAATGAAATCTGAGTATCAAAGTCACCATGCTGCTAGGAGAGCATATTTGCAGAAGGATCTTATAGTATTCTTCAGGAAACCACCATTTCAAAAACAGCATGGTTAGGTTTGGGGCCACCCATCACCTACCTCTCCAGTTAAGTCCATCATGACAAAGAGAAGTGCTTTCAGGAATGTCTGCTGGTTCTGGAGAACCCAAGTGAGAGGCAGCCGCTCCATGAGAAACTTAATAGACACCACACCCCCCAGCTTTGCATACCACGCCTGTTCATAACAACATGCACACAGGCGCTCCACGATGTAAGAAAACAGGGGCAGCTGGCAGGCCTGGAGAGGAAAATGAACAAACCACAACACGTTACTGCAATTCTTGTTTTTTTTGAGACAGAGTTTCGCTCTTATTGCCCAGGCCGGAGTGCAATGGTGTGATCTCGGCTCACCGCAACCTCCATCTCCCAGGTTCAAGTGATTCTCCTGCCTTAGCCTCCCGAGTAGCTGGGATTACAGGCATGCGCCACCACGCCTGGCTAATTTTTTTTATTTTTAGTAGAGACGGGGTTTCTCCATGTTGGTCAGGCTGGTCTCGAACTCCCAACCTCAGGTGAGCCGCCCGCCTTGGCCTCTCAAAGTGCTGGGATTACAGGCGTGAGCCACTGCGTCTGGCCGCAATTCTTAAACTATCAGTTTCTAGAAGGACCACTCTCAGGTACAGACACCCTCCAAATCAGAAGACACTCCTCAACCCTTCCTTACCCTCTCCTTGGAGCCCAGGATGATACTTGCAACATCAAATATCACAGCTAGGGCCACCTCCCCGATTTTGCAAAGCTCCTTTTCTTCATATGCCATACAAATAGCAATTGCATCAATGAGAACCAAAGGATCCATTCCTTTCGAGCCATTTTCTTCACTGTGAAACATGGCTGTGCTGGGCTGGCTGCCCACCTGGTAGCAAGGCAGCAAGAAAGGGCCTAAAAGGAGAGATGGGAAGGCACGTGAGAACAGTCTTGTCCCTCAAACTGCAGAACTCCCCAATGTTTTCCTTGAAGTTAGAAACTCCATAAAAAGCAGGGCACGGCGGCTCACACCCGTAATCCCAGCACTCTGGGAGGCCGAGGCAGGAGGATCACTTGACATAGAAGTTTGAGACCAGCCTAGTCCAACATGGTGAAACCCCATCTCTACTAAAAATACAAAAATTAGCCAGGCATGGTGGCAGGCGCCTGTAATCCCAGCTACTCAGGAGGCTGAGGCGGGAGAATCACTTGAACCCAGGAGACGGAGGTTGCAGATCACACCACTGCACTCCAGCCTGGCCGCCAGAGTGAGACTCCGTCTCAAAAAAAAAATAAATTAAAAAAAAAAGAAACTCCATAAAAAGCCACCACTGAGATTTCAAGCCAACTTCTGTTAAACTGCAATTATGTGTAAATTAAGTGGTCTGATATGCCTTTAGGCTGTATTTTTCTGAACGTTTTCTATGATACACTGTGTTATTTTCATGTATCTCAATCATAACTCAAAAATATATTAGTTCAAAATGAGAACCACAGTGGCTCATGCCACTTTGCCACTTTCATAATCTTTTACAATTAAATAAGCCCAGTACTTTGGGAAGCCAAGGCAGGGGAATCACTTGAGGCCAGGAGTTCAAGACCAGCCTGAGCAACATAATGAGATGCATCTCCATAAAAATTTTTTTAAAAATTAGCTGGGCGTGGGCTGGGTGTGGTGGCTCACACCTGTTATCCCAGCACTTTGGGAGGCCGAGGCGGGTGGATCATGAGGTCAGGAGTATGAGACCAGCCTGACCAATGTGGTGAAACCCCGTCTCTACTAAAAATACCAAAAAAATTACCCGGGCGTGGTGGTAGGTGCCTGTAATCCCAGCTACTCAGGAGGGGTGAGGGAGGAGAATCACTTCAACCCGGGAGGCAGAGGTTGCAGTGAGCTGAGATCGCACCACTGCACTCCAGCCTGGGCGACAGAGCAAGACCCCGTCTGAAAAAAAAAAAAAAATTAGCCGGGCGTGGTGTTACATGCCTGTAGTCCCAGCTACTCAAGAGGATGAGGCAGGAGGATCACTTGAGCTCAGCAGGTAGAGGCTGCAGTGAGCCATGACCACGCCACTGCACTCCAGCCTGGGCAACAAAGTGAGACTCTGTATCTAAAAAGCAAAACAAAACAAAAATTAAAAAAAAAATAAAGAAAACCACAATGGGGTAACATTTTTTAAAAAAATTATTAAATAGGCCAAGGGGCAGAATATGGGAATGACCATGGGTTATGCTCCGGATATTCCTAACATACAACAACAAAAAGCAACGGCATCCAGCTATGGCAGAGAACAGTCGGCCACAGCATTATTAGGTAATGCCTCGGAGGTACCCAGGTCCAAGGTGGAAGTTACTGAGAAGCTTAGTTTTGCCAGAAAGACAATGTTAACAAAGAACAAACACTGAGAAACAATCAAAGTGCTAAATTGTACAGTATTGACCCGTCAGGCCAAGAAAAGTTAAAGGGGAAAATTCTATGTGCTCTGCTGGTTGATCTTAAGGGTGAGGGGCTTTGAGGACACCAACTGGGCAGTGCTACTCCAGTGCGGTCTGCAGACGAACTGTGACTGGTCTGGGAGGAGATGCTGAAATTGACAGTAGGTTTTCAGAAACTTATGTAGCAACTGGCAGTGGCATGACATTTTTTTTGTCTTTTTTTTTCTTTTTGAGACGGAGTTTCGCTCTTGTTGCCCAGGCTGGAACAATGGCACGATCTCTGCTCACCACAACCTCCGCCTCCCAGGTTCAAGCGATTCTCCTGCCTCAGCCTCCCGAGTAGCTGGGATTACAGGCATGCACCACCATGCCCAGCTAATTTGGTATTTTTAGTAGAGACGGGATTTCTCCATGTTGGTCAGGCTGGTTTCGAACTCCCGACCTCAGGTGATCCGCCCACCTCGGCCTCCCAAAGTGCTGGGATTATAGGCGTGAGCCACCGTGCCTGGCCATTTTTATTGTCTTTTACAAAGACATCACCTACAATGGATCGGAAATAAAAGTGAACAAATACAAGTGGCCCTTCACCACCAAGAGTGTGAGAGCCACTGAAACGGAGGTGAGCAGCCGTTCCAGGCAGGAGGAACAGCAGAATGAGGATCCTGGGAGCAGAAACGGGCATCGCAGGGGAGACTGCGAGGCATGGGTTGGAGAGCAGGGAGCAGGTGATGGAGAAGTTTCTGGAGGGCAAGACTGGCCTTGGAAAACACAGCCAGGCAGAGGAAGGTGAGCAGTGAGTATGAACACAAACTGTCTGTTTCACAGGCAGCTTGTCCCAAAGCACTTGGACACAGAAGTATTATTAAATTGGGTCTATCTTACAAACAAAACTTGGTAGGTAGTAACTTTCAAGCTGATATAGTGCCCACCACTGAAATACCAATTATCAATGTCGTAAATGGAAAATTGGAAAATAAAAGCCGAAAATCAATCAGCCAAACTCAGCTTTTTCTAGAACAACAAAATGTCCTGAGCAAGTTTTTAAAGCACCTATAAAAGTCAAAGAACCAATCCCGTGCCCCACCGTGCCCCCGTGCTCACCACACTGCTGGGCGACTGCCACCATCGTATAGTGGCGGATCAAGCTGGCGACAAAGGGCAGGGCGCTGGGCCGCAGGTCCTTAATGACAGCAGACATGAAGGCGCCTGTCAGGGCCTGCTCAAAAGTCTTCCGGGCTGGAGTGTCCTGGGCTTTGTAGCGATGTGAGATGATAACATTGGGGATGGTCTTTTCTGTAAAGCTGAAAGGCAAAATCAGATCTGGTGTCACGACACCCAACTCCTGAGCTGATGACTCCACTAGGACTTCTTTTCAAATTTTTAATCTGCTTGCTTCCCTCTTATTCAGACAGGCCTGGGTAATTTATCTGCTTTAATTTCAGCAACACCTGGATGGAGTCTCGCTCTGTCACCCAGGCTGGGGTGCAATGGCGCGATCCTGGCTCACTGCAACCTCTACCTCCCAGGTTCATGCGATTCTCCTGCCTCAGCCTCCCAAGTAGCTGGGATTACAGGTGCCCACCACCACGCCCAGCTAATTTTTTTTGTATTTTTAGTAGAGATGGGACTTCACCATATTGGCCAGGCTGGTCTCGATGGTCTTGAACTCCTGACCTCAGGTGACCCACCCCCGCCTCAGCCTCCCAAAGTGCTGGGATTACAGCACGTTTTTTCAGGCTGTAAGTTTCCCTCTGAGTGTCACTTTAGCTGCATCCCATTTAGATTTGGTCACGAATTATCATTTTCTTGGCTCTTTTTCCTTCCCTCATCCTCAATCTTCCATGGAGGAACTTTCTGTCTGAATGAACATCCTTTAGAATGTTCTTTGCTGAAGATGTGCTGGTGGCAGATTTCTGTTTTTATCTGAAAACATCTTTATTTCATCCTTATTCATGGGTCATACTGCACCAGATATATGACTCTAAGTTGGCAATTCTTTTTTCAAACTAAAGGTTTATTCCACAGTTCAGTGGCTTTCACAGCTTCCAAGTGATCATTCATTTGAATGTCATCTTTTTGTTCTGCCATCTTTTAAGATTTTCCCTTTGTTTCTGATTTGTAGTTGTTTCACTATAGTTTGTCTCTGTGGATTTCTTTTTATTTATCCTGCTTTGGATTCACTCAACATCTCGGATCTGCACACTGTTTAATTTTTTCATCAGTTCTGGGAAATTCTCAGTCATTATGTCTCTCTGCTCTTTTTGAGGGGTTAAAAGTAAATGATGCTACTTCCCTCTACTCTTCATGTCTCTTACTCTCTCTTGAATTTTCCATCTTTTCTCTCTCTGCATGTGTTCTGGATAAGTATTCGACAACTTCTTAAAGGTTCTCTCTAAGTTTTTGGGCAATTTTTATAGGTTTCTGTTTCTTGGAGGTATTTTCCAGTTTGTCTTTCATTAATTTAAACATTCTAAGCATAGTTACAACCTAGTTCTGATAATCCTAACACCTGAAGCCTGTGTGGGTCTATTTCTGCCTTCCATTGATTCTGCTGGCTCTTACTCATGTTGCTTTACTTCCTTGTGCATTTGGTTACCTTGACTCCTCTCTCTTCAATGTCCTTTAAACAACTGAGCACCTACTATATACTCAGCATCACTTCTGATGCAGTGAAGAATGTGAAAATATATAGGAAAAATCCATCCCCTGAAACTTACAATGCAGAAAAATGGTATGTGTGTGTTACCTCAAAAGATCATTACATTAAGGTCATGCACAGTCTCAAGAGGTAAGAGCAAGATACAGACATCACATGAGAAATATCTGGAGAAAGATCACTGTGAAATGAAAATGCAGAGGGTCCACTGCATGCCTTTCAGGCGCCAGCTGCTGTGGACAGAATGGTGAGACAAAGGGAGGGAGAAGGGACATGACCCTTGATTTCTTCACACTTACAAACTAATGGAGGAGGTGACAAGACACAATAAAGGCAGGCGACAACTGTGATCCCTTCTAATTCTCAAGCACCCAGTTCTCCTTTCCATTTTCTCTAAGGCCCCAACAAGAAGGAGTAGGTAGATAATATGGCATCTGCTGGACTTCAAGGAGCCTGCTCCTAGCACCAGGAAACCTGGGAGGCCCTCTGCAGCCCCAATTCCTAAAACAGGATCCACCCAACCACACAGAAGGAAGTGGCCGACATACTTGGGGTGTGCCAGGAGCTGGTAGAGTGCGTGCTTGTTGTCCTCCAGGCTCATCATGGCCACCAGGAAGCATTTGATCACTTCCCACGCCTGCCTCCGGTAGTAGGGCTCAGTGTTGGCGCTTTTCAGGCAGTCCAGAGCAGTTTCAATGGCCTACAACCAAGACACAAAGAAACTACAGTTTGTGCTGAAATTACATGATTGTGAAAAGCTTTCACTGAAAGCATCTGCAGCACCCAGAAGAATCTTTTTTTTTTTTTGAGACGGAGTCTCGCTCTGTCGCCTGGGCTGGAGTGCAGTGGCGCGTATCTCAGGTCACTGCAAGCTCTGCCTCCCGGGTTCACGCCATTCTCCTGCTTCAGCCTCCCAAGTAGCTGGGACTACAGGTGCCCGCCACCACGCCCAGCTAAGTTTTTTGTATTTTTAGTAGAGTCGGGGTTTCACTGTGTTAGCCAGGATGGTCTCGATCTCCTGACCTCGTGATCTGCCCGCCTCGGCCTCCCAAAGTGCTGGGATAACAGGCATGAGCCACCGCGCCCAGCCACACCCAGAAGAACCTTTTTTTTTTTTTTTTTTGAGACGGAGTCTTGCTCTGTCGCCCAGGCTGGAGTGCAGTGGTGCCATCTCCGCTCACTGCAAGCTCTGCCTCCCGGGTTCACGCCATTCTCCTGCCTCAGCCTCCCGAGTAGCTGGGACCACAGGTGCCAGCCACCACACCCGGCTAATTTTTTTTGTATTTTTAGTAGAGACGGGGTTTCACTGTGTTAGCCAGGATGGTCTCAATCACCCAGAAGAATCTTAATGCACATTTCTAGACAGGCGCCTTAACCAACTAAGCCACGGCACCAGTCTCATGCATATTTTCTTTTGAAGAGAGCACAGTGGGTACACACTTTACAGCTTTAATACAATACAGCTTTAATACAGCTTTAATAGGTATTCACCTGGTGAAGCTTCCAAAAGAGGCGGTGGAAGTATTACAAAACAAGGAATTGCACAGTTCAAATTAAAATGCCAAGATGGAGTTTAACAATTTCATGTTCAAATAGCCAATGGCAGATTACAGGAACTAAGTGAGCTCGGAGAGCCTCTTGTGGAAGATTTGCTGGGTTAAACCAGATTCTGCCTCACCTACATGCTCTTCAAGATCCTAACAAGAATAATAATGAACTTTCTGCAAAGCAGACTTTCCTGTGCCTAGGTTCAAAACTGAAAGATGGCTTTCTTAAGCTTTTACTAAACTCATTCTTTAAGAAAGAAAAAGGTTGACATCATTTTTTTCAGAAAGCCTACATAGCTACATGCACACATTTTTATTCTATTCATTCTCATGGGGTTGACTGAGATAGTGGCGAAGACACAACCACACACAAAAGTAATCTGAAGCCTTTAACAGCCAAGACATTCACCTTAACAATAATTATGTACATATAAATCAAATAACTAATCTTTGTTAAAAATTTACCCAGGCCCTGTGTGAGGAACCAGGAGAGGGTGATGACAGGGACAGAGGCCCTCCCCACCAGCCCCTGCCAGGCTTAGAGACACGCAGTGCACACAAGCATGACAACAGCTCCTCCCCGGATGAACCCCAGCTTGAGTGTCCGTGCTCTTCGAGGGTATTGCGGAACTGCATGTGATCTGATCAGTAGCAGTTGTAAATGGTGGTACTTTCTAAAATTTTATTTTTCAGAATCAATATAACATATGAGCCAATTACCTGCCAAAAAGAATCAAGGACTGCCAAGTGTGCCAAAAGCAGAATGGTTTAATGGAAACTCACTGGCACTTGGCTTAGCCACGCTCATCTTTCCCTTTACCTCATGGGCTCCTTAGCTATGAGCTATACCAGGTGTGCTGCAGCCAGTGCCGGCAGGATGGCGTCCTGCTCAGAAAGAATGCCTTGACAGGCACCATGGTGAGCCTCTGTAAGGGGGCCCAGACCTTTACGATCCTACCTCTGCAAAACCTGATTTCTTCCAGACTTCAGCTGCTTTGGGGCAAAACTACTTCTAAAGGGAATTTTTTGGGGGTGGGGGGAGCTTTTTGTCTATACAGAGTCAAATAAAATACGCAAAAGACAGAATTTTAGCCATCCAATTCTCTTAGGAGAGTAGCATTCATTTGGAAAGTATGTGGATGAAGGTTTGGGTTAGAAGCTGAGACTGCACCCACCCTGAGGCTGGAGAGGGAACAGTGCTTCATAAGGCAGGAGTTGGGGAGGGCTGGGGATGAGGCATAGGCTTGAGGAAGTTGCGGGGGACAGGCTGACTGAGATGATGACAGAAAACAACTCCAGAGTGACGCTTATCTGTACCAGCTTCTCCCTCCCCAATGTTTACTTATGGACACAGAAGCCACTACATGGGCACACGTCTTCTACAAAGGTAAACACACCCAGTACTACACAATGATGCAACAGGGCAGGGAGGAGTTAGCCAGAGCAAAGGGAGGGCCTGGAGCAGTTCCAGGCCACACGATGCTGGCTGAAGATCAGATCTGCAAGAGGCTCAGGACCCCAGCAGGCAGCCAGCTTACTGAAATGCCCAACTCACGTGGATCCGCTCAAACATTACGATAATATCCTTAAAAAAATACCCAATACACAACAGCTAGATGATGTCCTGCAAAGACATGGAAACAAATGCTGCCACCATGTGGGGAAGGACTGGTGACAGAGTCAGAGGGAAAAGCCAACGTGACGATGGAATGATGCTGACACAGAACTAGGACAGGGAGCAGAAAAGTCAGCAGGGCAGGGAGGAGAGACGGTGGGTGTTCAACACAGACAGGGCAAAGGCAGCAGGCAGGACACTCCAGCAGGGTGCGGGGGCACTGTCTGCTTTTTACACAGTAAAAACGAGGATCTCTAAAGGGCCTAACAGAGACCCAGGAGCTGTTGGCAGTGGGATGAGAGCCAGGAATGAGACAGTGCGAGCTGCGTTTGGATAGAGAATGGGAGAAAGCGAGGCACTGCGTGTGGCTGCGAAGACAGACAGGCATGGACTCAACTCAGGTTCTCAGTAAGCCTGCCAGGCATCAGAATGGAAGGAGTTCACGGCGGGATGGGCTGGCATCTCCTCTTGGTCACCAGGAGAGGGGGCTGCTCCAGAGTACCAAGTTCTCAGGTGACACCCCTCCACTGGTCTCCTGGCATTAGGAAAGCCCCTGTGCCAACCAGGCCGATCACCTGATACAACTGGTTCTACTCAGAGATTGCCTAAGACACAGGTCTAATTAACATTTCACATAGACTGAAACATAGTATCTTCACAAGGCTTAAAACGAAACGACATTGTCACAGAGCTTACCTTCTCCATGGGGAGCTGGAGAGAAGCTTTGCAGTCGGAAAACTCCACAGTGATGCTGGGGCCCTGAACCTCGGTCACAACGTAGTGCAGCTTCTGCGACTCCTTCAGCATCTTCCTGTTACTGCCGCCAAACTTACCGAGCACACGGTAGGCCACGTGGGAGATGCTGTCAGCAGGGTTGCGTAAGGTGCGCCACAGAGCCTGAAAATCAGCGTGCTTTCATTAAGGTCCTCTTAAGGTAATGCCTTCACGAGGTTCGGATCAAAACTCAAAAGGGAGGCCAGGCGTAGTGGCTCATGCCTGTAATCCCAGAACTTTGGGAGGCTAAGGCGGGTAGATCACCTGACGTCAGGAGTTCAAGACCAGCCTGGTCAACAGGGCAAAACCCCACCTCTACTAAATATACAAAAATTAGCCAGGCGTGGTGGCAGGCTGTTGTAATCCCAGCTATTTGGGATGCTGAGGTGGGAGAATCACTTGAACCCAGAAGGCGAAGGTTGTAGTGAGCTGAGATCACACCACTGCACTCCAGCCCGGGTGACAAGGGCGAGACTCCATGTCAAAAAAAACCCTCAAAGTGATGGAACACTGCTTGGCAACAATCCTTCCTCCCACCTCTGTTACCCAAACACACCGTTCTCCCTTCTTTGGAGAAACCAATGTTATTAGTCTTGCATGTTCTTCCAAGGAAGTTTTATGTCTTTATAAAGAAAGTACCTGTGTAAACATAAATGTTCATCCATGCTCCTGGAATATAAATAGCAGCATATTATAAGTGCTGCAGAGCTCCAAAACAAGAAAACTAAGCAGTATCTTGTTTAGGCACATGCTGCTCACGCCTGTAATCCCAGCACTTTGGGAGGCTGAGGTGGGCGGATCACCTGAAGTCGGTAGTTCGAGACCAGCCTGACCAACATGGAGTAACCCCATCTACTAAAAACACAAAATTAGCTGGGCGTGGTGGCACATGCCTGTAATCCCAGCTACTGGGGAGGCTGAGGCAGAAGAATCACTTGAACCCAGGAGGCGGAGGTTTTGGTGAGCCAAGATTGCGCCACTGCACTCCAGCCTGGGCAACAAGAGCGAAACTTCATCTCAAAAAAAAAAATGGGTGGGGAGGAGCACGCAGGTGGATGCGACTTAGCAGTGAGGTTCCAGTCCTGGGTGGGATGGCAACTTCTCAGGTTTTTAAGTCTATTTATTAGGCTTTATAACTTACAAACATGACATAAATTGTCTCATACACTTCAAATCTTACATTAGAAAGGGTGGCAAAGGAAAAACACAGATCACGAAGGCACCTCCATTACAGGACTATGGAAAAGAATTAAGTTAATGTGGACTCCGCATTTAAGAAATATCCGCACTCAACTGTCGCAAAAAACTGTAAATTTCCCCCCATTTTTTGTCTGAATTATCAGAGGTCCTAAAAATTACTACAGGTCACTATGTAAGTCTATTTTCTTTTCTTTTTTTTTTTTTTGGAGACGGAGTCTCGCTCTGTCAACCAGGCTGGAGTGCAGTGGTGCAATCTCGGCTCACTGCAACCACTACTTCCCAGGTCCAAGCAAGCAATCCTCCCACCTCAGCCTCCTGAGCAGCTAAGATTACAGGCATGCACCACCATGCCCAGCTAATTTTTTTTAGTGCAGATAGGGTTTCACCTTGTTGGCCAGGCTGGTCTTGAACTCCTCACCTCCAGTGATCCACCCGCCTCAGCCTCCCAAAGTGCTGGGATTACAGGCGTGAGCCACCGCACCCGGCCATAAATCTATTTTCTTAAATCACCTTCCATTTAACAATGCCAAATATTCATGTCTAGCAATACTCCTTAACATAAAATCTTGGTACTTTTCTCTAAACCAAGCAAAATTCCAATTTCTCTTACGTTCCCGTAGATTCAAACAGGCTTCTTAATAATTGTCAGAAAAGTAGTCTAAGACCTCTCACCTCATCTACCCTCCACCAGGCCCACCCAACCCTTGGGTGTCCTCAGGAGGGGGCAGCCCTGGGAACAAGCATGCCCTCCTGCTGTGCTCGCATGGCCTTAGCTGGTTGATGGGACTGGGAGAGGCTGACCCTGTGCCATTCATCTGGAGGCCTGTGGTGGTTCCTGTGGCCTTGAGCCTGTGTGTGTCTCTTTTGGGCTATCTGCCTCATGGATGGTAAGAAGGCCTAAGAACCACCTCCTCCTCCTCTCCCACAAGCTGCTCATGCACCCTGGGTCAGCCGCAGGGTTTGCCTTGTAGAACCAATACTACTGTTCTAAAGGCAGGCTCTCATCAATCCTCCAGGTGACCAGCAGGGACTCTGACCCACGGCCTATGCCATCTTTATCTTTTGGTTTTTTTTGAAACAGGGTCTTGTTCTGTCACTCAGCTTGCAGTGCAGTGGTTCAATCATGTCTCACTGTAGCCTCAACCTCTTGAGTTCAACGGATTCTTCCACCTCAAACTCGTGAGTAGCTGGGACTACAGGCATGTACCACCACATCCAGCTAATTTTCTGTATTTTTAGTAGAGATGGGATTTCACCATGTTGCCTAGGCTGATCTGGAACTCCTAGGCTCAAGCAATGCTCCTGCCTCGGCCTCCCAAAGTGCTGGGATTACAGGTGTGAGCCACCACACCTGGCCCCTACGCCATCTTCTTCCAGCCTAGATGAAGCCCAAGATCTAAATCTCAGGACAGGGAGGGAAAATATCCCAACCTCAAACTCAGTCCTAGCTGCAGTCTCCAATCTAATTTGAACAGAGACTCCTAGGAGTAACTGAGCCTCCATCATCTAAAGCTCATACTCTGACTCCTATCTGGGGCCAACTACCTGCTATTAAAGGGGCAGATGCTTTGAGACACACACCCTAACCCTCCAACAATTACCAACCAGATCACAAATCAGTAACAACAGCAAAATATGTAGGAAAAACTAACTTTAACATATCAACCTTTTTTTCTTTTTTTTTTTTTTTTGAGACAGTTTAAGCGATTCTCCTGCTCAGCCTCCTGAGTAGCTGGGATTACAGGGGGCTTGCTACCATGCCTGGCTAATTTTTGTATTTTTAGTAGAGACAGGGTTTCGCCATGTTGGCCAGGCTGGTTTCAAACTCCAGGACTCAAGTGATCTGCCTGTCTCAGCCTCCCATAGTGCTGGGATTACAGGCGTGAGCCACAGTGCCTGGCCAACATATGAACTTTAATAAACAAATATACAAGTGTTTTCAAAACAACCTCCTTTATTATCTGCTTCTTTTTCCCTTTGGGTAGGGTGGAGCAAACACCTATATCTTTCCTTTAGAGTCAATATCCCTTTACTATGCAACTGAAGATCTTTCCTGGATAGAGAGGTTCTCACTGGAAGCAATGGTGGCCGTATAGTAACCATAACACCTGCCTTAATCAGTCATCAACTTATTAAGAATATAACCCTCGCCAGGCACGGTGACTCGCGGCTGTAATCCCAGCACTTTGGGAGGCTGAGGTGGGCGGATCATGAGGTCAGGAGTTTGAGACCAGCCTGGCCAATATGGTGAAACCCCATCTCTACTAAAATACAAAAATTAGCCAGGCATGGTGGTACGCGTCTGTAGTCCCAGCTACTCAGGAGGCTGAGACAGAAGAATTGCTTGAACCCGGGAGGCGGAGGTTGCAGTGAGCCGAGATCGCGCCTCTGCACTCCAGCCTGGGAGACAGAGCAAGACTCTATCACAAAAAAAAAAAAAAAAAAAAAGAATATAACCCTCGTGAAGGCTCTCTGAAAAACAGGCAAGGCTGCAAAATAATGTCCATTCAGTACCAACAGTATTTCTTTACACATTTCCTCTTTTTTTTTTTTTTGAGACAGGGTCTGATTTTGTCACCCAGGCTGGAGTACAGCAGTGTGATCATGCCTCGCTGCAGCCTCAACCTCCCTGGGCTCAGGTGATCCCCCTGCCTCAGCCTCAAGTAGCTGGGATTACAGGTGTCGGCCACCATGCTTGGCTAATTTTTGTATTTTTTGTAGAGATGGGTTTTCACCATGTTGCCCAGGCTGGTCTCCAACTCCTGGGCTCAAGTGATCCACCCTCCTCGGCCTCCCAAAGTGCTGGGATCACAGTCAGGAGACACCGTGCCCGGCCTTCTTTACATATTTCAATCCACCAGAAGACTCACGAAGATGAATTAAACAGAGAGCTGCACTGGTCCATCTTGCAGAGCCCACTCTTGAGTACAGAGAACCCAATGACGGCCCACTGCTTCCAGGGAAGCAGCCAGCTAACAACCTCACTAAAATCCTACCTGCATGAGCTCTGCGCGCACCGGCTGGATGTGGTCGTAGAGGAAGTCGGGCTGCAGGTTGTCCACACACAGCTCCAGCGTCCTGAGGCCTTGGCTGACCAATGTCTGAGACCCATTGAGTGCAGACACCAAGGGATCCATAAGCATGGGCAGGTACGGCAAAAGCGAGCTCAGCCGCACAGGGACGGTGAGACACAGCTCCACAAAGAGGTCCTTCATGTGCTGCTTGTGCAGGCCACTCTGAAGCATGTTCAGCCCTAGGGAAGGGGGTGCAGCTATCAGAGAGGGAAGACGCTCCCCAGACTCGGGCCCAGGTGAAACACACAAAAGAACTGCCCCTCCTTCTCTTGTGCACATCAGCACAACTGCAGGGAGACCTCTGTGCCCTTAGACTCCACCCTGTTACATCTGTCCAATAATTGCACTCATGACCCCTTCTGAGTGGTAACAGTAGGCCGTATGTAACTGTTATAAATTATAATTTAAATTATAATCATAGTACTATATCCTTTTAATATCATAAATTATTTTTTAATTATGTTGTACTATCAGACTTTAGTAAACCACAGTTGAGGTCTATTCTCTAAACAGTTTTTAAAACTAATTTTTTTGTATTATAAATGGCGAGGAGCCTCTTTCTGATAAAGTCCCCCTCCCCACCACTCACGAGGACAGTTAAGGATTTACTGACCCCATTCCTGAGACAGTGCCACTGAGAGCTGAGGCTGGCTAGAAAGAGAAAGGCGTGTGGCAGTGGACCCAAGAAAAGGCACGTCCTGCACGGCACAGGAAGGCAGGATGAAGGACGAGAACTCAGGGAGAAGAGAAGCCATCAGGGATGGCCTCACGGGGCAGCAGAACCAGGTCCCAAATCCAAAGGATGAGGAGGATAGAGGAGGGCAAGGGGCTGAGTTCCCAGCACAGGGTCAGCTTGAATGAGACCGGGAGGGAGGAACACCCCTTGGGGGACAGCTGAGAGCCCAGGAAATCAGACTGTGTGAACAGGGGCTCCAGCAGGGATTAACTAGAGACAGGGTTAAATCCGGACATGGAGCCAGGTTATGGTCCACTCCCATGGCAGATTCATCACCATTTCAGTCAACAGTAAAGGATGTCCCTGCTGCCTCCTGGGTAGCCTATGTCACTTCTCTAAGGAAGTTAAGGAAATACATGAGAAGGGTCAATCCCTTGCCAAGAGCTCACCATACCAAGAAGTGTAATGAATTCCTGGGACAGTGTTTCCAATCAGCACACACCCCAAAAGCATTCAATGAACCCAGATCCCTGTTAACTATGTACCTTGAGAGCATTCCTAATTATACAGGAATTACAGGATTCTGGCTATGTAAATCAGAAGCTAAATGAAAATATAAACTAACTGTAAGTCAACTCTGTCTCAACTTTGTCACCTGCTTTTTCTTTTTTTGTTCTGATTCTCTTTCAGTCTAGGGATCTCTGATCTTACTAAACCACTAGAAATCATTTTCTAGACTTGCTTACCAAACACTATAAAAATGCAACCAAGCCCTAGCCAGGACAACTAACACCTAAATCCCATTCAATGCTGAGGAGGGAGGGGAAGGGCCCATCCCTGAAGGCAGCGCCCTTCAAAGTCCCAGTAGATGACCAGGGCCAGGGGAGGGGGGCAGGGGGGCGGCGGATGTGCCACATCCCATCCCACCAACCATGACACTCACCAGTTACAGAGGATGAAACCCAGCAATCAGGATGGCTAGACACATGACTACATGACACACAAGACTAAAAGGCAACCAAAGTCACTGCTCTGACCTTGCAGGAGGTTTGGAAGGAGAGGCAAGAACTCCTGATACAAGAGATCGTGGCTACCTCCACCAATAGAGCGAAACAGCGCCCGTAGCAGCAAGAAGTAGTTGTAGGGTTCCTTGGCAGTCTGCGCGAGCTCCATAGAGCTGTTCACAATCTTGTGCAAGTGAGGCTGCGGGGTGGAGAAGACGCAGATTAGTGGCATCTAAATGAGGAGGGTCTATACCCTCCAGACTCTAAAGTGTCACTGTAATCCGACAGCAATGGAAGGCAATTCTGATGTGTTTACTCCAAAGGGAAAAAACCAAACAAGCATATTCCAATCTTTATTTAACTCAAAATAGTTTATCTTAAAGTATATGTTGGTATCTGTAACAAATGAAATGCAAAAATAACCTACAGGGGCCAGGCAAGGTGGCTCCGGCCTGTAATCCCAGCACTTTGGGAGGCCAAGGCAGGCAGATTACCTCAGATTAGGAGTACGAGATCAGCCTGGCCAACATGGTGAAACCCCGTCTCTACTAAAAATACAAAATTAGCCAGCTGTGGTGGCACACGCTGGTAATCCCAGCTATTAGGGAGGCTGAGGCAAGAGAATTGCTTGAGCCCAGGAGGCAGAGGTTGCAGTGAGCCGAGATGGCACCATCACACTCCAGCCTGGACAACAAGAGTGAAATTCGGTCTCAAAAAAAAAAGTAACCTACAGGAACTGAAATTGTACTACCAATCAAATAAGATGTATGCAAAGTGTAAAAAAATCTCAAAAGACATTGAAGACTATAGCGTTTTGGAAGACTTAATTGGAAAATATTTTTGTATAAATCTTTCTTTTAAAAAAACCACTCTACTAGATCATACTAGCTTTAATCAAAATTTTAAACCATATTAACTTTTTATTTTGTTTTGTCAAATCCTGGTTTTGATATGTCACATGCTAAGTTTAACATGAAAATTTTTTGCATGTGTATTTAAATAATTATAAATTCTTGGTATAGTCACTGATATGGTTCCAAATTTATTATGGTATATGGCAGAATATATTTATTTATTTATTTTACAAAACTGTATGTATTATTCTGGACAAAAAGTTCTATGAAAATTGTTCCTTGAATACTTTTCTTAAACATTCCAACATTCTTTTTCTGTCTTTTTTTTTTTTTTTTTTTTTTTTTTTTTGAGACAGGGTCTCACTCTGTCTCCCAGGCTGGAGTATAGTCAGTGGCACAATCTTGGCTCACTGTGACCTCCGCCTCCCAGGTTCAAGCAATTCTCCTGTCTCAGCCTCCTGAGTAGCTGAGATTACAGGCATGAGCCACCATGCCCAGCCACATTCCAACATTCGATTTGTCCCGATAGGTTTTATTCTGGGCTTTTTTGCTGTTGTTCTGCATAGTCATATCTAATGCTGGCAAAAAAATGAATTATTTGAGGATAATGAATTATATGAGGACACAGATTATAATTATTTTATATCTTTAAATTTAAAAATAAGTATTTTCCCTTCTGTTTTGGAGACAGGATCTCACTCGGTCACCTAAGCTGAAGTGCACTGCAGCCTCAACCTCCTGGCTCATTCAAACGATCCTCTCTCTTCGGCTTCCTGAGTAGCTGGGACTACAGGTGCACACCACCACATCCAGCTAATTTTTTTTTAAATTATTTTGTAGAGATAGGGTCTCACTATGCTGCCCAGGCTGGTCTTGAACTCTTGGGCTCAAGCAATCCTCCTGCCTCAGCCTCCGGAAGTGCTAGAATTATAAGATTATAGGTGTAAGCTACCACGCCTGACTAGTACTCTCCTATATTAACACAAAAGTTAAGGTTGTTGATAAGTAATTACTATAGAACTGTGAAAAGAAAACAAGGAAAGCACAGGTTACTGGAGCTCTGTGTCACCATCTGTGCAATTACTCCAAATGCACACATCTTATTTACATCTTCAGATTTTCCCAAGAAAGCATCTCTTTTGACATATTCAATTTTCTATAGAAATTAAGATATTTTGCCACAAGAGGGAGTGCATTTTTATAAGGTTTTTATTCTACCACCTGCTGCTTTTAGTAATATAACTATGGATGGGTTTTACCCATTTGCTAGACTCAAATAACAGATGAGATCCAATTACATAGGATTAGTCATCCATAAAAATGTATGATGGGACATCTTCTCTAAGATGTTCTTAATAAAGAAGCACAGACTGATCAGAATTTTTTATTTAAAGGGGAAAAAGAAAGAAATAGTCCTGAAATGTGTCATTTACATATTGCCAAGACTGTTAACACAGAGAAAACACAAAACCTGAGTGAAGGCCAGGTGCAGTGGCTCACACCTGTAATCCCAGCACTTTGAGAGGCCAAGGCAGACGATCACCTGAGGTCAGGAGTTTGAGACCAGCTTGGCCAACATGGTGAAACCCCATCTCCACTAAAAATACAAAAATTAGCCAAACGTGGTGGCATGCACCTATAATCCCAGTTACTGGCGAAGCTGAGGCAGGAGAATTGCTTGACCCGGGAGGCAGAGGTTGCAGTGAGCCAAGATCACTCCACTGCACTCCAGCCTGGGTGACAGACTCAAAAAAAAAACCCAAAAAAACAAAAAAAGCAAAAACAAAACCTGAGTGAAGTGGACAACTGTTGATGTAACTGTAACCGCAGAACCAGTTCAAACTGGTTCAGCTTCGTCTGAGTTGATTTCAGTTGCAACAGACCCCAAGACTGCAAGTAGCAAACATGCGCAGGTGAACAAGGCACACGGGATTAGTGACTCTGGGGCGGGCTGGAAGGAAAAGTTAACCACAGATGGAACCCAAGTACCTGGACCAAGCAACGAGGACCAAATTAAGAACAAGGGAGCCCTGTTTTGTTGCAATAGGAACTTAAGAGCAAAAGACCCAGCACTGCCTCACTGCAGAGCTCAATCAAATCATGCCTCACTGCATTTTTCCGTCTCCCTCACAGTTACTCTTCCTATAAAACCCACCACAAGACCCCAGCTCTGGGAGAACGGAGTCTCCTGTCTCCTTGTCAAACAACCTTGCAATAAAGATGTTTTTTTTTCCCTGAAAAGCTGGTACCATTGTATTGGCTTCAGTGTGCATCCAGGAGTGAGACCACTGCTTGGTAACAATCGGCACTGTCACACCATATTTGAGAGGTAGGTGAAGACATTTTTTTCCTTCTAATAAGTTCGTTTGCATCACTGAAATTTTTAAAAATAGAACCATCTGCTCCTATTTGTGTAATCCAAAAAAAGAAAATAGGTTTAAAAAAGAAAATCAGTGGTGTCAATACTAATACCACCACACTTGCTTACCGTAAGAGTTCTGGATTTTTCATTTTAAGTTACTAGATAGACAAATTAGTTACTGCTTAGACATACACGGAATGATTTTCACACTTGGCCCTTATTTGTTGCAAATATTTACTACTTCGAAGAGTACTTTATAAATATAAAGAGTCACTATAGTTTGTTTAAAAGTGAAAATAAGAATTAAAAAAAAAAAAAGCCAGGCACACTCACAGTGGTGAGTGCCTATAGTCCCAAAAACTGGGGAGATCAAGGCAGGTGGATTGCTTGAGTCCAGAACGCTGACCAGCCTGGACACCACCGTGAGGCCCTGTCTCTAACAACAATAAAAAACCCTGAACAGAAGCACTACTTAGATTAAATGGACTTTACCTTCAGCATTTGTTCATTTTCAGCTGCAAAGAGGGAGACAGAGCCAAAGACCAGCTTGAACAGCTTGAGGTACAGGTTGGAGAGCTCCACGTTGGAGCCCATTTCTGGCAGGCGATCAAGGAGATATTCCACCAGAATCGTAGCAAACAGAGCAGAGGTAGTAGGATTTGCCAAGAAGGAATTGGCAACAATCTGTCAATACAAGAAACACATGTGAAAAATTAATCCCTTCCCCAAAGCAGTTTTAAGACAAAGTAGTAAGCTTTCAAAAAACATAAAACCAAGCCTGTATCACACATTCCAAGAAATTTAATTATCCACCAAAGGAAAAAAATGAAACGGGTTTACTGAGCACTGAGCAGGGCAGTTCACTTCAATGATGTAATCTGTTATTTCATCCTCATCATCAAATACATTTAATGCATTTTTTTTTTTTTTTGAGATTTTGAGATGGGGGTCTCGCTCTGTCACCCAGGCTGGAGTGCAGCGGTGCGATCTCAGCTCACTGCAGCCTCAACCTCCTGGGCTCAAACAATCCTCCTGCCTCAACCTCCCAAGTAACTAAGACTACAGGTGTGTGCCACCACACCCAGCTAATTTTTGTATTTTTTGTAGAGATGGGTTTCACCATTGTTGCCCAGGCTGATCTCAAACTCCTGGGCTCAAGCAATCCCCGGCCTCCTAAAGTGCTGGGATTACAGGCATGAGCCATTGCACCTGGCCCACATATTTATTTCTACTAACGAAAGGAACTGATCCAAAGCATTTGAATCTTTTAAGAATTGTTTCAAGACATTATGGCCTAATATTTCTTTAAATTTTGAGCTATAAGCACATCCTTGGCTACATTATTTTTAAAATCCTTGAAATAAATGAAAAAGTATTTAAGACATAAACAAAGAATTGTAATGTTCAAACAACATAAAAAAAGGAGTTTTATACCTGAAGAGCATAATTTTTTGAGATTCTCTCCACCATATAAGGGACCGTAGTTTGGAAGATTTCTTTGAACGTTAAGGGGTTCATCATTGTGAACACACCAGCGAAATGCTCCAATACCTCCTTCTCCTCTTTCATTCTCACAGTCTGGCAGTTGGCCACACGGATGTATGTCTGTCCATTTCCTGCTATCTGGACCTAATACAGGGGAAAAAAGCCGCCCACAGGCATTAAAACTGAACCTCTCTGAATATGTTCCATTATGTAACCAGATCAGCTGCATACTTAAAATAGAGCACTTAAATTAGATAACAAATGTCCCCCTCCAAAACCTTTTAAATTCTCCTTTCTCACCTTAATTTTGGCAAAGAATTAAAAAAAAAAAACCTCTAGGTGTTCAGACCATGAAAAAAATTATTAAACTTAAGTCTTATATTTTTATTGCATTCCGTTTACACTATCTGCCCCTCAAAAATGCACAGACTCTTATAAATAAGAATTCCCACATAAACGCAGTGCTATGTTGTGGAACAAAACACATCTGGGTATACAAATACTGTGGACCATCCAAATACTAACAGCTCTCACTGCCACCCCACCACTATGACCTCTAATACTAAGAGGTACTTTCCATATGCGAAAGCCTGGCTGGAGGGCACTTCCTTACCTGATAAATATCTAAAGCTTGCATTGCATATTTCACAAGTTTGATGTAAATCTGTGTCTCTTTGGGTTGTAACTGCTTGTTGGGAATGAACTGAGCTTCTGGAAAAGAGAAAGTATATTAAGTTAACTTGAATAAAACTCACTTTATGAAAACTATTGTTTGTCTACATAACTGAAGAGCAGAATTACCACCAGGTGCTTTGCATGATGTTATGCCCCACGTGATTGTCTTGACACCACACACCAAGGTTTTGACCAAACTTCGACAGTCTGTGACTTGGAATGTCTGCTTGTCTTCCTTGTCCTTTTCTCCTTGCTTCTCGAAGGGAGGCACGGGGGCCGGGGTCACAGGGGTGGCAGGTGGGGGTGGGGGCGGGGGTGGAGGTGGGGCAGGGACAGGGGCTGGGGAGGGAGCAGGGCCAGGAGCTGCAGGGGCAGTGGGCACCCCAGGCAGAGCTGCTTCCACGGCTCCAAGTTCTGACTGAGGCTTACACTTCTTAAAAATGGCAGAGAGCTGGTACCGAGCAATTGTGTGGAATTTGAGAACGAAAACCTAACGGGAAGAGAAATTCAAGAGGGAAGACAGAATTATTCTTCTTCAACAGGCCAAATACTGCTCAGATCACAGTAAAATAAGATGGGACTGACACCAGCTGCTCAAGTCATGCTGCTTTTCTATGAGGTTGGTGTCAAAGGAATTGCAGTTTTTGCCATTACTTCTGATGAAACTGCAGTTACTTTCGCACCAACCCAACAAAACTGGTGGAAGGCTGGTAACATCTGGGCACCTCCTTTGTGCCACGTGTAAAGGAAAAGGTGCCGATTTACTCCCAATACCATATCCGTTTTGCATGTGCAGAGTCTGGCTCAGGAAGGCTGAGTGACTGGCCTGACAAGCAGGGCCTGGATTTCATCCAGGACTACAGGCCTCGTCCCAACAGGGCCCCGCCACCACCCCTGGGGCTCAGGAATCACATCCCTCACACTCTGGGTGTCTCCCCAGAGAGGTCCACAGCCAGTCTAGCACTTGGGTACTATGCCCCCAGAAAATAACTCTCCTAATTACTTGCCAGGAAGTGTGCTAAGAGCTTTCAAGCGCTGCCTGATTTAACTCCCACAGCGATCCTATGAGGCAGATATCATCACCCCAAGTGAAAAGATGAAAAAACTGGTGCACAGAAGTGAAGCATCTGGGGAGCCTGGGTCTGAACCTAGGTGGTCTAACTCCTGGGATCAAGCCTAGCGATCAAGCCGCCCCTACAGCACTGGTTCAAGTTTGGCCACAAGTCCGGCATGGTGGCTCACGCCTGTAATCCCAGCACTTTGGGAGGCTGAGGCAGGAGGATCACTTGAGGCCAGGAGTTCGAGACCAGCCTGGTCAACATGGGAAAACCCTGTCTCTACTAAAATACAAAATGTTAGTTGGGCATGATGGTGCATGCCTATAATCCCAGCTACCTGGGAGGCTGAGGCATGAGAATCACTTGAACCCAGGAGGCAGAGGTTGCAGTGAGCTGAGATCACGCCACTGCACTTCAGCCTAGGCAACAGAACAAGGATCTGTCTCAAAAAAAAAAAAAAAAAAAAAATTTAGCCACAAACAGGATAGAGTGCAGGATGGATGATACTCTCAGAAGAGCTGGTACCTCCAGCATCCGCATCAGGACGTCTCTCCCATTGCCACTCTCCTGCTCGCTCTTGGAACGGATGCAGTCCACCAGGTTCAGCAGGAGCTTGCAGGACATGGTCTGGATGCTGCTGGGCAGGGACTCATCGTCGATGTTCTTGGCGAAGAGCTGGACGGCGAGGGAGAGGTCGCTGAGGGGCAGGTGCTGGCGGACATGGTGCACGAGGTCGGCCAGCGTGCTGTAGGCGAGGGGCCTGCGGGCAGAGACCTCGACTAGTGCTCATTCCCACGTGGCCATGCCTGCTGCAGCAGGCCACCAAGGATATCACCATCTGCCCCAGGAACACCACCCCTGGGTCGGCACACTTACATGGCCCATTTTCACCACATTACTCTCTCCCAGATACATGACAGAAGAGGGCTCAAGTTTTGTACTGATACCTCCATCTTTACCTTCCAAGCTAAAAGGTTAACTTTGTGCACGTCATAAAGTTACTAATAGATGCTGGCACATACAGCTAAGCCAAGGAGGAATATTACCAGCTTGATCATGCACTGAATGGGTTTTGTTGCTCAAAAATAAATAGGACGGGTCAATCAATCTTTATATATGATGACCACTTTACAGAGACACAGTAAGAATTTTCAGGCTACTAGTTTTTTCCCTCACTAAACACAAGGACACCTGTCATGTGCCAGATCCTGGGCCTGCCAGGGACACCCCAGTGACCCAAGTAGAGCCCCAGTCCTCAGGAAGCTTACTTACAGCAGAGAACACACAAGTAAAGAAATAAGCTACACAAGTTAGTAAGTGCTAGCGGGGATGTGAAAAGGGCACATGAGAAAGATGAGTGGGGCAAGCTATTCTTAAACAGGGTTCCAGGGACAGTTCCTTTGAGGTGGCACTGAAGTTGAGATCTTAAGGACAAAAAGGGGCCATAAGGCAAAAATCCAGGGAAATTTCCAGATGGAAGAAACAGGAAAGATAAAGGCCCAGAGGTGGTAACTGCCTGAAGTAGCCAAGAAGCTATAGGGGCCAGTGTGGCTGCAGCACATCAGGGAGGGCAGCTGTAGGGGCCAGCATGGCTACAGCAGGTCAGAGAGGGGAGCTATAGGGGCCAGCATGGCTGAAGCAGGTCAGGGAGGGGAGCTGTAGGGGCCAGCATGGCTGAAGCAGGTCAGGGATGGGGGCTGTAGGGGGCGGCGTGCTGCAGCAGATTGGAGAGGGGAGCTGCAGGGGCCAGTGTGGCTGCAACAAGTCAGAGAGGAAGGACCAACACAAGATGTAGAACAGGTGGACAGAGCCAAATCACGCAGAGACTCAAATGCTATGGTCAAGAGTTTGGGTTTTCTCTAAGAACTACAGAAAGCCACTGGAGGGCTTCGAGCAGGAGTAACATAATCTAACGTCCAATTCTAGGCAAGTTCAACCCCAAGTTACAAAAAATGTCTTAATATTTTATAACATTGTCTATAGAAAACAGTGAGAAAACTGCATCATATTCAAAGGAACCTAAACATTTTTTAAAAGATCCATCACGCCTTCCTTATTGGAAGTAAAATATGACAAACATTGATTCATTTTATAATGTAAAGATGATTAAATGTTAATTTTCTGCTTTAGAAATAGTAACCATTATCACTACTTTTTTTTTTTTGAGACAGAGTTTCACTCTTATTGCCCAGGCTGGATTGCAATGGCATGATCTCAGCTCACTGCAACCTCTACCTCCTGGGTTCAAGCGATTCCCCTGCCTCAGCCTCCCGACTAGTTGGGATTACAGGCACGCGCCACCACGCCTGGCTAATTTTGTATTTTTAGTAGAGAAGGGGTTTCTTCATGTTGGTCAGGCTGGTCTCAAACTCCCGACCTCAGGTGATCTGCCCGCCTCGGCCTCCCAAAGTGCTGGGATTACAGGCGTGAGCCACCGTGCCTGGCCACAACTACTTTTTTTTTTTTTTTAAGTGTAAGAAACAAAGATTATACGGACATACATTAAGATATTAGCAACATTACTCCATCTCCCTGTGCAGGACCAGAAGGTTTTCTTCCCTTCTATCTTCCTGGTAGGTTATAAAAAAAAATTTCTTTTTAACAAAAAAAGATGCATTATACAAAAAGCAAAAAACAATAATAAAGTCAGATAAAGTTTTACCTAAAATTAAATCAAGATGATTACTCTGATTTCTTCCTTTAAGCTAGAGCACAAAAAGTAATCTAAGGGCTTTCCAAAAATCCTGCAATTCTTGGCTGGGCACAGTACCTCACGCCTGTAATCCCAGCACTGTGGGAGGCTGAGGCAGGCAGATCACCTGAGGTCAGGAGTTCAAGACCAGCCTGGCCAACATGGCGAAACCCCATCTCTACTAAAAATACAAAAATTAGCCAGGCATGGTGGTAGGCACCTGTAATCCCAGCTACTCGGGCAGCTGAGGCAGGGAGAATTGCTTGAACCCAGGAGGCAGAGTTGCAGTGAGCCAAGATTGCACTGCTATACTCCAGCCCGGGTGACAGAGTGAGACTCGGCCTCAAAATAAATAAATAAATAAATAAATAAATAAATAAATAAATAAATAAAACAAAAACAAAAATCCTGCACTTGCTAACCTAACAGGTGTGTCAAGGCTCAACAGCCGGTGTTCATTGAAACACTTGTAACATGAAGTGCCAGTAACTGATGCTCCTGGCATTTAACCAACCAGATATCACTGGTTTAATCTCATACCTTAGAGTCTCTCTGGCAGTATATCCTGAGCCAATTAGTATGGATTCATCAAACAGCTTGTCCATGCAAGGAATGAACTCTAGAAGACAAACATCCATTGCACAGATCACTAACAAAACCAATTACACACATTAAATTACTTTACAGTGCTTTCGAAGTAGCCAGCCCGCCAGTCTGATATGCAATCCAGACCTGAAAAGGGACAGAGAGGAGACCAGAAAGGCACAAGTGCTATTTCAGTCTAACATAGCAGCTCTGCTGGGCCACACCAGCCACCTGCTGTCAAAGATGCAGTCAGGGTCACGTTCAGGGTCAGAGATCAAATTAAGAATAAATCAGCTTGGTGTCCCCTGGCAGAGATCCCACCTCTGATACTTAACTGTGGGCACATCCCACCATCCTTAAACATTGTCACCACCCTCCCAACCAGTTTGGACAAGGGAACAGGATCTCCTAAATGCCCCTTTACTACCCTGAAGCATATTGAGAAGACCTAACGATGTTTCTCTATGTAAATTACAAAGGTCCAGGCGTTTTTACAATGTTCTCACAGGCATGAGTCCCAGGTTACGGTTCTGCATTCCCTGGATGATGCTCATCAGAATCCCCACCGGGGTTCCTCTCTTGCTCTATTCCTGCAGGTGGAACCACCCCTAAACTTACTCTCTGCGTCCTTGCAGGCCTGAACCTAACCAGGGTTCTATAGAAACAACCGGTCACCACTCAGGGACAATTCAGGCTTCTGAGGATGTGCAGATGGGGCAGCGACAGCATGTCCACACTTCCCCTGGGGAGTTCTATTAATACAATCATCCCAAAGGGTGTTCAGGTTCTGGAATAAGCCTGACATAAAGCCAGCTGCAGTAAGTCAAATAAAGTACATTTCCCACCAGCTCGTAGCTATTGAGGGTCAAAGGCATAAAAGAAATGCAGACACTGAAATGTGCAAGATGCACATCTCTAGGTAACTGCACAGCCAGGCAGCACACGGAGGAACAGCCAAATGGAAACAGCCACAAGCAGGCCCCTCTGAGGTCAGAGGATGCAACAGGCCAGGCAGGCTGCAGTGAAGTGGCCAAGATGAAGGAGGCACAGAGGGATGCAAAGGGCTCAGCCGTGACATGGAGAACTGGCTGGGGAGGTGGGAACACCTCCAGCAGAGGGAGGAGTGATAGGAGATGAAATTGCGTGACCACTACTTTCCAGATCCTTTCCATGACCCAGAACCAGAATCTCTAGGAAAATGCTGAACTTGTTAAAATGGCAGGTTTTCTCAAACCACTGGCTCTTCAGAATGAGTGAAAATGAGTTACCACTTGATAACGTTGCAGGTGCCAAAAAAGTAAGGTGAAGAGAAAATGTTGGTGGAAGTGGACGTTTTAACTGTAACACACAGTTAACATTTAACATGATTCTCTACATGTTTCTTTCCACCAAAACTTTGAGATGTGATGCTAATGTCTATTTAAGTCTCAGGAACTACTAAAAGGCTTCAAAATAAAGCATCCTATAATATCTTGTTAAAAACAAAATCAAGCCAACTAGTAAACGGAGTTTTAAAAAAGGGAAGACTAAAAGCTGAACCCCGAAAGTCTAATGTGATCAACCCCTGCAGGGCAGCAGCTTGGGAAGCCAGCAATTCTGGCTAGCAGCTGTGAACACTGATTAAAACCAAGCTTTATGCCTTCAGAAGGGGCTAGCTTGTACAGTAACGGGAAGGAGGTGACCTGGTAAGCATGAAAAGTATTTTTTTTTTTTTTTTTTTTTTTTTTGAGACAGAGTCTTGCTCTGTCGCCCAGGCTGGAGTACAGTGGCGCCATCTTGGCTCACTGCAAACTCTGCCTTCCTGGGTTCACACCATTCTCCTGCCTCAGCCTCCCAAGCAGCTGGGACTACAGGTGCCCGCCACCACGCCTGGCTAATTTTTTGTATTTTTAGTAGAGACGGTGTTTCACCGTGTCAGCCAGGATGGTCAGGATCTCCTGACCTCGTGATCCGCTCGCCTCGGCCTCCCTAAGTGCTGGGATTACAGACGTGAGCCACCACACCCAGCTGAATCTGTCAGCAGATCTACAAGAATCCTTGTGCTACAAAGGTCCCCAACACACCTCCAAAATTCTTACTCATGGCAGGAGTACTGGAAAGAGGTTGGGTGCAGTGGCTCACACCAGTAGTCCCAGCACTTTGGAAGGCTGAGGCAGGCACATCACTTGAGGTCAGGAGTTCGAGACCAGCCTGGCCAACATGGTGAAATCCCATCTCTACTAAAAATAAAAAAATTAACCGGGCGTGGTGGTGGATGCCTGTAATTTCTGCTACTTGGGAGGCTGAGGCACGAGAACCGTGCCCGGCTAAGATCTGATGGTTTTAAAAAGGGGAGTTTCCCTGCACAAGCTCTCTCTTTGCGGGCCACCATCCACGTAAGATGTGACTTGCTCGTCCTTGCCTTCTGCCATGACTGTGAGGCCTCCCCAGCCACGTGGAACTGTAAGTCCATAAAACCTCTTTTTCTTGTAAATTGCCCAGTCTCGGGTATGTCTTTATCAGCAGCGTGAAAACAGACTAATACAGGGAGGCAGAGAGGGAGAGAAAAGAGGGGAAAGAATGAACCCAAGACAGCAATGAAGGAAGCAAGGATACATGGAAACCTCACAGCACAACTATGGAATGTCAGCCGAGTCCCCAAAGATGGCCACAGGACTAGCATCAGCATTCAAGACAAGACAGGCTGGACGTACGGTTTCTCAGCTCTGTGGTGAGGATGTGTTTGGCAGCAATCAGAAGCTCCTTTCTGAGGTGTGCAGTCTCTGCTGGACAATTTGAAAGTAACTGGAGCATTCCTTTCACCATCTGCTGAGAATACTTAGTCACCAACTCCTGTAAGAACAGAGTGAGATGACACAGTTACAGGGATAGGAGAGTGTTAAGAAAAATTCAAATGTTATCAGCTTCTTAAAAATTCAGTAAGACCTTTGGGAGGCCGAGGTGGGTGGGTCACATGAGGTCAGGAGATCAAGACTAGCCTGGCCAACATGGTGAAACCCCATCTCTACTAAAAATACAAAAATTAGCTGGGTGTGATGGCACATGCCTGTAATCCCAGCTACTTGGGAGGCTGAGGCAGAACAATCACTTGAACCTGGGAGGAGAAGGTTGCAGTGAGGCAAGATCAAGCCACTGCACTCCAGCATGAAAGAGTGAGACTCGTCTCCAAAAAAAAAACCGTTAAGACTAAGCTTGACTCAAGTGACCCTCGACTTCCTGGGCTCACGCCATCCTCCCACCTCAGTAGCTGGGACTAAGGGTGCATACCACCATGCCTAATTTTCTTTTTTTTTTTTTTTTTTAGAAATGGGGGTCTTGCTATGTTACCCGAGCTGGCCTCCAACTCCTGGGCTCAAGCAATCCTCCCACCTGCTGGGATTATAGGCATGAGCCACCATGCCAGGCTTCTAAGATTTTTTTTAAGGTAATTACTTGTTTACTTAGTCATCCCATTAATGTAAGTTGTGAACAACAGTGGAGTCAACTTGAGCCAACTCAGAACAGGCTCTAACCACAATCTTCTTTTGCGGTGTCAGCAGAAGGCCACTCACCAAGATAACGCAAGCTGACTAAAATGTCAAGGGGTACCTAATTTGACTTTTTACACCAAATGTTCCATTTTCTTCATGTAAGCTATCATTATCTAATCATATGCATTAAAATTAAGGGGGAAAAGATTACAAATGCTTTCAAAAGTAGTTTTTATTCTAAACAATTCAGCTCTTTAATTTTTATTTTTCTGAAATAAAAGCCATACAAAAAGCATAAATTATAATCCAATTCCATTGATATAGATCAGTACTGAATTTATTCCATACTATAGAACAATCATATAAGAATTCTTTTCAAAAACACTAAAAGGAGATAAGGTATTTTTTCCTTCAAGTTCTCATGATTTAAATAAGAACACAACTATGCATGAAAAAATGAAACAAAAATCCACCATACAGTCTCCTCAGAAAAGCACCCAGAACTTCTTCATCAGTTTTACTGATAACGCCTTTTAAATTCCAATCTCTCTCACACCTAGCTGCCACAAC
Organism: Homo sapiens; assembly: GCF_000001405.40. Classification (NCBI taxonomy): domain Eukaryota; kingdom Metazoa; phylum Chordata; class Mammalia; order Primates; family Hominidae; genus Homo; species Homo sapiens. Next base: position 98,902,170 of record NC_000007.14, on the reverse strand, counting down.
ACACAACTTCTAACAGCAGCAAAAGTCAATGAACCAAATATGTCCATACAAAAATCTGCATGTAAATGTGCATAGTTGCTTTATTAATAATGGCCAAAAATGAAACAGGCAAATCCGTAAAGACAGAAAGTACAATCGTGGTTGCCAAGAGCACATAGTCAAGGAAGGCTGCTGATGGGACAGGGTTTCTTTTTGGGATGATGACGTTATTCTAAAATTGGATGGTGGTAATGGTACAAATCTGTGGCTAAACTAAAAACCACTTAATTGTACACTTAAAGAGGGGGAACTTTATGATACATAAACTATATCTCAATAACGCTGTTTTTAGGCCTGGCTCATGCCGGTAATCCCAGCACCATGGGAGGCTGAGGTGGGCAGATCACTTGAGGCCAGGGGTTCAAGACCAGCCTGGGCAACATGGCCAAACCTCACCTCTACAAAAAATACAAATATTAGCCAGGCATGGTAGTGCATGCCTGTAATCCTAGCTACTCGAGTGGCTGAGGCACAAGAATAGCTTGAACCAGTGAGGCAGAGGCTACAGTGAGTTGAGATTGTGCCACTGCACTCCACCCTGGGCAACAGAGTGAGATTCTATCTCAAAAAATAGTAAGTAAATAATAAAGCTGTTTTCAAAAACATTAGAAATAATCTGAATACTCATCAGTTGGTGAATGGATAAACACACACCATGATACATCCACACAATGGGATTCTACTGCTGTGGATTGAGCTGCATCCCCTTAAAATTCCCATGTGAAAGCCCTAACTCCATATGTGACTGTATCTGGACACAGAGTCTTCAGGAGGGGATGAAAGTTCAGTGAGGTCATACGGCTGCAGCCGTTATCTGGCAGGACGGTGGCCGTGTAAGAGGAGGAGAGAACTCTCCCTCTCTGTTCGCCATTGTGAGGACACAGCAGAAGGCAGCTGTCTGCAAGGCAGGAAGAAAGCCCTCACCAGAAACCAGAACCTTGATCTCAGACTTCCAGCCTCCAGAACTGTGAGACAATTGCTACCGTGTAAGCAACCTAGCCTATGGGATTTTTTGTTAAGGCTGCCAAGCAAAGACAACTACACAGCAATAAAAAGTAATCAGTAAAACAAGGTCCTATCTCCACATTACTGCTAAGTGAAAGAAGCCAGACTCAAAAGGTTGCAGAGACTAGACACTGGACATTTCCATTTAGATGACATTCTAGAAAGGACAAAACTATGGGGACCAAATAAATCGGTGTGTATGCCAAGGAATGGAGGTGGTGGGAAGAAACTGACAACAAATATATAACAATGGAATTTTGGAGGTTGATGGAAATGTACCGTATTTTGATGTGTTAGTAATGATTACCAATATTTGTCAATTCCTAGAACTGTACACCCACAAAAGGTGAATTTTATTGTATGTAAACTATCTCAATAAACCTGACATAAAAGTCAATGACCTTACCTGGTAAATCCTGATAATGTAAGCTAAAAATGACAATGTTTTAATCTGAGCAGCAATGAAGTCAGCATACAACTCCTTGTTGTAAAGCTTATGTTGCCTGAATAAGAAGAGAACAAAAATATTACCTCTCAATTATGAGTGATGTTAGTATTAATTAAAAGCCTGTAACCATTACTAAACCCAAAAGATTGATTTCCACACAGACCCAAACAACACAGCAACAATAGCAAAGGTGTCTACACCTTTCGTGCAATTCCAAATAACATAAAAGTTTTAAGGAAACACACCAACCAGTTCTCCAGCCCATTCCATAGCAGTTACAATGTGAATCCCACAAAGCCAGTGCCAGGCCGTTCTACTCAATCCGCAGAAAGAATTCGAGTAACATCTGCTCAGTGCAAGACCCCAACTAGGGCCGTGGCGATGGCCAAAGAAGATTCCTCCTCAGATGCTGCCCTCAAATGACACAGCCAGACGGGCTCCAAGTCAGGAGGGTGCATGAAGACAGTCTCAGGAGGAACGTCCTTAGGTTTGAGAAAAGGCTTCACCGAGAGGCTTCAAAGGATGAACACAGCCTATCTGGAGATGAAGGCTGATGGGGAACTGAGGGTGTAAAGAACATTCTAGCACTCAAGCTGAACAATCAGCAAGAACAAAGTCTTGAAGGTGAGCAAGGCTTGGACATGCCATAGCTGTCATTGAGCACGGTAATGCCTGACGACATTTTTAATTTACAACGCACCAGAATACGAGCTATTATCTCATCTTTCCAAATTAAGAACGAAAATAGCTACAACTGTCATCCCTGAAACACAGGTGCAGAAAGTCAACAGTGCATATAATTTTACCAAAATTTTATCACTCATAATTTTCATGTCTTAAGAATGACAACAGCAAGTGTATTTTTACTTGGAATCCAGGCACTGTGGCAGCCGGCTACAGTGACGCCTCACCTCGCTTGTGCAGACACCTGAATGGCAATGGTGTTCATGATCAAGGGCACAAACTCAGCAACAACATTGTGGATGTTCAGTTTGTAGAGCTAAAAGCAAACATACCAGATTTTCATACATTGACACTCTGCTATGGCGACAAAATCTGGCATACCGAAGAATCATCACATTATTTAGCATGTGTGTATTATACACATCTTTTGGCCCCAGATGCCAATTTTCTTATAAGAAGCCCAAAACCCAAGAGACTAATGAGCAATACACATACCTGATACATTAAAACAACAATAATGGGCAATTCTGCCAACACTTTCAGAGAAAGTGATCCCCTCGGAATGATGGAATGCTGGAAGACAGAAATGGGTAGGACCCGGGTTACCATTGTGGCATTTAAAATAGCCCCCACCAGTGCCCACTGAGCATCACCCACTGAAAGAGAGAGAACGGAAAACAGTGACACCTCTTTGTAAATATTTGTGATGAAAGATCCAAACTGATGAAAGATCCAAACTATGTTGAAAACAAAGTATGCAGAACTATCATTTAATACAATTCAATATGAAGGTTTTCTTTTTTTTTGAGATGGAGTCTTGCTCTTGTCACCAGGCTGGAATGCAGTGGTGCGATCTTGGCTCACTACAGCCTCCACCTCCTGGGTTCAAGCCATTCTCCTGCCTCAGCCTCCTGAGTAGCTGGGATTACAGGCATGAACCACCACGTCCAGCTAATTTTTGTGTTTTTTAGTAGAGATGCGGTTTTGCCATGTTGGCCAGGCTGGTCTCAAACTCCTGACCTCAGGTGATCTGCCCACCTTGGTCTCCCGAAGTGCTGGGATTACAGGTGTGTGCTACCGTGCCCGGCCTAAAGGTTTGCATATTTTTCTACATAATCATTTGTAAAAAGTTCAGGAAACTATGTCCAAACTTGGAGATTCAAATCATCTGAGAAATTTTTAAAATGAATGCCTATGACTTCACTTATTTAAAAGAACAGCACAAAGTACAATTTACTCAGCAGTTTTATTCAAAGATATTTATAAACAGAAAATGCTTACAATATACAAAAGTTCAACAGTCCTAATATATAAGGACTCATGAAACAAGGAAAATGTCAGGCTCAAAATACAGATGGGCAATGGATATCAACAGACAAGGAAAAAAGAAAATACAAAGGAATGATACTCAGAAAACAAATTTCTAACTAAGAACAACAAAAGGAGGAAAGCGTTACTCAAAGTTTCTTGTTCATCCTAGCACAACTGAAACACTCTGCACAACCATTTCAGAAAAACAAACATGGATAATAATTCAATCACAAAAATTGTCATAGTAAGTGCTCAAAACATGTTACCTATGTGGCAGACACCACAAATATACGATACATTACCTGCGGACCATGCCAGCATTACCTTCACAAAGTCCGTGAGACAGGTTTTTCAGATAATGAGAGGAAAAATAAGGTCAGAACGCAGGTTCATTAACTTTCTTGGAGTCAGAAAACCCCAGTGGGGCCAGGACATTGTACTGGAGCTCTCTGTCCTAGAGCCCACACTCTCAGTCACTGAGCTATATGCTTTTATCTATAGTTTAAGGGACTTTATTAATGTCAAAAGACTCAAAGCTAAGGGACAGAACAGACACCCCACACCTGGTCTGCTGCTCTTCCCAGCAGGGTGATTCTGGGTTTCAACAACAACCTTATCTTTCTAGCCTGGCATCAATGACACCCAAAAGGTCACTTTCACCCCTCCCAGGCTGCAGAGAAGGACCAGTGATGCTTTGCCAGGCACACACGTTTGTCTTAAATGCCTCCAAGTATTTAAGAGAAAAAAAAATGGTTTAACAGGCCAGTATCCGAAACTACAGGAGCCACGGGTAGAAATAACTCAGCGAAACACTTACTGTTCGAGTCTCACTGTCCTCACGCTCCGGGTTGACTTTCACAGCAATCGTTGTTATCATACCAACCATTTCTGGGGGAGGCACTGTGTTCTCGGGGATCACTTGAGGGTTCTCAAAGTAGCGGTTCTACATAAAAGTCATAAAAATATTTTTTCCTAAAGTCAAACCCAATATTCATTCAAAAACAAAACAAAACAAAACAAAACAAAAAGACGCTTGACTCTTTGGTGGAAAAAAACAGTATGTTCTACATTTTTATGCTGCACCAACTCCACAGTATTTAGGCTCAGCCATTCATTTTCCAATGCCCCTTAAAGCCTAAACCAACACACACTAGACGTTTACTCTTCCCACAGGACCATAAAGATAACACGACAGGGACCATGTTCTCCATCTTCAACAACAGAAGACAAAGCTTGCCTAAAAGTATTTTCTACTCTTTTTGCCCTGGCTAATAAATGATTAAATACAAACCCTATTACATTCCTACCACAGTGAGGCAGGAAAGAAAGCACTCCATCCCTTCTGGGAAGAAACTACGAGCTGGCAGTCCCCACTGATTAATTTTTCACTCTCTAAATAGACATCAAAGAGGGAACAAGCAAAACACAGGACATTTTTTCTTCTTTCTTGAGACAGAGTCTCGCTCTGTTGCCCAGGCTGGAGTGCAGTGGTACGATCTTGGCTCACTGCAACTTCCACCTCCCGGGTTCAAGTGATTCTCCCGCCTCAGCCTCCCAAGTAGCTGAGATTACTAGCGCGCACCACCATGCTTGGCTAATTTTTGTATTTTTAGTAGAGACGGGGTTTCACCACGTTGGCCAAGCTGGTCTCGAACTCCCAGCATCAGGTGATCCACCCACCTGGGCCTCCCAAAGTACTGGGATTGCAGGGGTGAGCCACTGCCCCTGGCCAAAACACAGGACATTTTTAAAAGCCAGGACCTCACTGCCAACCTTCGCTCTCAGTGGATTTGGGGTTTCACGTTCAACAAGGCAGCTGCCTATGAAAAGCAGCGCTCGGGCTTTGACAGGAGGGCAGGTGGCAGGACTTGACAACTCAAAGTCACTAATTTTAAGTTTTATACATTCTCCCCAGACTGAAATCCTTTAAATGCCAAAAAGAGTCAATTTTATCCTATATCAATTTAAAAACTTTTTAAAGATTAAAAAAGAAATCTTTAGGCTGGGTGCAGTGGCTCACGCCTGTAATCCCAGCACTCTGGGAGGCTGAGGTGGGTGGATCACCTGAGGTCAGGAGTTCAAGACCAGCCTCTACTAAAAATACAAAATTAGCTGGGTGGGTGCCGCACGCCTGTAATCCCAGCTACTTGGGAGGCTGAGGCAGGAGAATTGCTTGAACTCAGAAGGTGGAGGCTGCGGTGAGCAGAGATCACGCCACTATACTCCAGCCTGGGCAGACAGAGACCCCGTACCCCCGCACCCCCAGCCAAAAAAAAAGAAAGAATTATGATTCCCAGAAGAAGAGTCTGGAAGAAGCTATTCCAAACTGGCAAGAGTGTTTACTTCTAATAAGCAGGAAGGAGATGAGGAGATTTTCCTCCTCTACTCCACAAACCTGTATATTGTGGCACTGCTTATAAAGAGTTCTTAATGAGATCGAAAAAAAAGTTAGTAAAATTTAAAAAAAAACTGAAAATATACACCACCTCCCCAAAAAGTCTTCGAGCCTGTAAACTCAACCGTCTTTAAAATGCACAAAGTGAAAACCAAAAGCAAAACCTCCATGTCAATGGTTGCTTACCAGTAAATGAATTATGACAATTATTTTTCCAAAATTTCTACAATAAAAACATATTGCCTTTATGTACAAAAAAAGTACTTAAGTGAAACAGAAAAACTAAAAAAGCTACTTTTTTGAATGGCTGACTTATCAACCCAGTTTTTAACCATTGCTAAACATTCCCCATTCTAAAATAGTAAACCCTCCCCACACACTATTTCTGCAACCCAACTGTTCTAAAGTCTTTTTGGAATAAGGAAGTATAAACAAATGTAACTAATTAAAACCAAAGTAAAAACATACCACTACTTTTGGAAGCTCCTTGTAAATCTGTTTCACAAAATCCAGAAAATGATGAATCTAAAAAAAGCAGACACTTTCGTTATAGGAAGATATTCATAAACAGAAAATACCCATAATAAATAAGAAAAGTTGTAATTGTCTTACTACGTAAGAACTCATAAGAGAGGTAAGGAAAATGGTGGGCTCAAGATACAAATAGGCAATGGATGTAAACAAACAAAAAAATAAGTAAATATAAAGGACTGATAAACAGATAACAAGTTTCTGATTCAGGAAGAGCAAAGAGTTGAAAATTAAAATAAATGCCAGTTTTTGCCTTTCACAAAATAGTAATACACAATGCCTGATAGGATGGAACGAGAGAAAGACTCTCATATACTGTGGGGCCGTAAACCACTGAAACCTTCCTAGAAATCAGCTTAACACAGGAGCATTAACACTTCAATGCCTTTGCCTCGGTAATTCTCCTACAAAGCTAGTCTATGAAATAATTTGAACAGTAAACAAAGGTATTCCATAATAACCATTAAAATAAGAAATTTGAAATACCTTCAATATCCAGAAATAAGGACACCCATAAGAAAGAATACTATGTACCCATTAAAAAATAATTGTGGATGGGCACAGTGGCTCATGCCTACAATCCTGACACTTCGGGAGGCCAAGACTAGAGGATCACTTGAGGCCAGGAGTTTGAGACCAGCCTGGGCAACATAGACAGACTCTGTCTCTACAAAAATTTTTTTAAAAATTGTATACAGAATTTTTTATGACTGTGAAAATGCTTACACTTAACATGATCAAGCTATAAGATGTTATATACAGTATTACCACAATTATGTAGAAAATATACAAAAACATTAACGTGAGAAAAAGGAAAGAACAGGCCAGGCATGGCGGTTCATGCCTGTAATCCCAGCACTTTGGGAGGCTGAGGCAGGCGGATCACATGAGGTCAGGAGTTACAGACCAGCTTGGCAACATGGTGAAACCCCATCTCTACTAAAAATACAAAAAAAAAAAAAAAAAAAAAAAAACCATTAGCTGGGTGTGGTGGCATAAGCCTGTAGTCCCAGCTACTTGGGGAGGCTGAGACAGGAGAATCGCTTGAATCCGGGAGGCAGAGGTTGCAGTGAGCCAAGATTGCGCCACTGCACTCCAGCCTGAGCAACAGAGGAAGACTCATCTAAAAAAAAACAACAAAAGAAAAGAGAAAGGAAAGGAAAGAAAATCACCAAGACATAAAATCCTGTTTTTGAGATGGTAGGAATCCTATTTCATCTTTATGCTTTTAATTTCTATTTTAAGTTATTTAATTCAATAAATAATTTTTAATTTTAATAAATAATTTAATTTCTACCTTAAATCATCTATAACAGGCACTTATTTAGGTTATCACCAGAGAAGATATAATTATGGTAAATGTATACTTGCTGCTTACTGTATAGGTAGATGCCAATCACTGTGCTAATAACTTTAAACTTTATGTCTAATTCCTCAAATGACATTTTAAGGACATACTATGATTATTGTCACTTTACAGAAAAATCTCCAAAAGGTTACAAACTTAACCAATGTCACACAGCTACTGAATTGCAGAGGTGAGATTCAAACCCGGCTCTGGCTTCAGAGCCCACATCTTAATCCCTGTACAACATACAATGACTTGTACATCATACGCATAAATACCAGAACAGCCCAAATAACCTGTCAGTTTGGTCATTTAATACATTTCAACTACTGAACCAATTTAGCAAAGTATTGATAATAACATTTTTTTAAGTCACTGTTAAACTCATAAAGAATTGCCCCAAACTTAGGCTGTATTTCTACACTTGAAAACAGTATGTGTTCAGCCAACTTTGAGACAGCAAAAAATTTCACAGAAGGAACATGTTGACACACTTTATAAATGCTATAAGGATTTTAAACAACTTACTTCTTGTGTGATCGGTGGCCTGAACTGTTTGTGTAGCTCAATAATTATTCTTAGACAAATAAGAACATTTTCTTCATTTTCCGTCTAAAAAAAAGCATTTAATGAAAGTTATACTTCTGAAGACTCACTTTAAAGGCTAATTTTCTCAGCAGTTTCTGCACACACACTTTCCATCAACCAACTATTGGATTTGCTGAAAATTCATCAGCTCACAGAACACAGTTGTCCCAGACAGAAAGCTTCAGTGCACCACCAGAAGGGAATCCCACCAGCCAGCTCTGCATGAGTAACCTGGACAGGGGCTTCACTGGCCTTTGTGGAAAGTGGCACCAGGAGCTAAGGACTTCATGGCCCAAATGACACTTTCCATTGTTGGACAATATTGTGAAAAGACCAGGAAAGAATTATTGGGCAAGTGCCAAGGACTGGACCCTGTGCTAAGCACCTTACAAATGCTCTGTGAGGATGGGGTTCCATCTACATCTGACCTGTGAGGGCATGATATCTCAGGGGTTAAGCACTGTGGCTGACATGACACAGCAACAAAGCGCCCCAGCCAAGACAGAATCCAAGCTCATCTTTCCAATAGGCCCAGAAACACGACTGAAATCTAACTGCATCAAGATTAGGAGGGCTGGGCGAGGTGGCTCACGCCTGTAATCCGAGCACTTTGGGAGGCCAAAGCGGGTGGATCACAAGGTCAGGAGTTCAAGACAAGCCTGACCAACATGGCGAAACCCCATCTCTACTAAAAATACAAAAATCAGCTAGGCATGGTGGCAAGGGCCTGTAATCCCAGCTACTCGGGAGGTTGAGGCATGACAATCACTTGAACCCAGGAGGTGGAGGATGCAGTGAACCAAGATCACACCACTGCACTCCAGCCTGGGCCAAGACTTCATCTCAAAAAAGAAAAAAAAAAAGAAAGACTAAGAGAAGCAAGAAAACAATTTGGAGGTACCAGATGGATTCACCCCAAGGATGTGAGATACTCTTTATGAGCATGTACTAGGTGTGATGCGCCACACTGGAGATACACACGGAAAGAACAATGCAAGTGAGCCACTCACTGGGCGTCTGCGGGCCCGCACCCGGCTCACCATCCGCAACTGTTTCAAAGGTACCTACTATGTCTGGCCAATTCCTCAGTAACTCAAACAATGATTTTCAATTAAGTAATCTTTCTGAGTGGAGGAAATGGGGGAAAAGGGACATTAAGAAAAATTTTTACTCATGTGACTTGGAATTTGGGAGAAAGATAAAACAGTTGTATAATGCTGAAATTTACCATAAGAAAAATCAGTGAAAGTTTTACATACGGCTATACGACAAGAATTAATTCTCAAAACTTACCTCTAAAAAGCGAAACATCACAGACAAAACATTTTTTGTGTGAGGACGAAGATGTTCGTTGGTTGGTATTCTATGAATTATTTCAAGTACGAGCTTCCGCAGTTGCTGGCAAGAAAAAATAAATAAATGTAAGGATAAAAATACTTCCAAGGGTTCCAAATTAATTATCTCACACTCTGCAAGTGTCACACAGCTGTTTACACCCAGCACTAGGAATGAACCACCATCCTACAAAATGGACCCAGTTTTTCAAGCAGTCCTAGAAACTACTTAAATGTAACCCAAAGTAAGTACTGCAGATGATCATTTTCAGTATTTCTACAACTCTGTACCAAATCGACTAAGCCAATTTCTCCCCTTCCACGGCTTATCAGTAAGTCCAACGGACACTGGTGTACGAACATGGAGTTCATTGAAGATAAAAAGAGCAAAACACAAACTGAACATAGTTTGGGATCTCCCCTTACCATCTCGCATTAGCTCCCATAATGCTATCGCCAACTACCTTGGGCCCAAGGACTAGTTATATCATGAGCTGTACTAAGCTTCTGTGATTCTGTCTGTGGAGCTGACAACTAAAAGGTCAAATATGTAAGGTCTCACACTGGCATGATATAAAAATACTTTATTTACTAATAAGCTGGTATTATGGGAACGTTTTTTAAAAGTTATTTTTAAGAGCTACATGCTGGGCCGGGCGCGGTGGCTCACGCCTGTAATCCCAGCACTTTGGGAGGACGAGGTGGGCAGATCACGAGGTCAGGAGATCGAGACCATCCTGGCTAACATGGTGAAACCCTGTCTCTACTAAAAAAAATACAAAAAATTAGCTGGGTGTGGTGGCAGGCGCCTGTAGTCCCAGCTACTCGGGAGGCTGAGGCAGGAGAATGGTGTGAACCCGGGAGGCGGAGCTCGCAGTGAGCCGAGACTGCGCCACTGCACTTCAGCCTGGGAAACAGAGCGAGACTCCATCTCAAAAAAAAAAAAAAAAAGAGCTACATGCTGAAATATTTATAGAAAAAGTGGTAGGCCGGGCGCAGTGGCTCACGCCTGTAGTCTCGGCACTTTGGGAGGCCGAGGTGGGCGGATCACCTGAGGTCAGGAGTTCACGACCAGCCTGGCCAACATGGTCTCTATTAAAGTACAAAAACTAGCTGGGCATGGTGGCATGCACCTGTAATCCCAGCTGCTTGGGAGGCTGAGGCAGGAGAATTGTTTGAACCTGGGAGGCAGAGGTTGCAGTGAGCTGAGTTCGTGCCACTGCACTCCAGCCTGGGTGACAGAGCGAGACTCCGTCTCCCAAAAAAAAAAAAAAAAAAAAAAAATATATATATATGGACTATTTCTAAATGATCAAGGTAGGGAGGTATGAACAGTGTGTTGGGGGCGTGTCGATAAAACAAAATTGACCATAGCTATAAGAACTGACACTAGGCTAGGCGTAGTGGCTCACACCTGTAATACCAGAATTTTGGGAAGCTGAGGAAGGAGGATCTATTGAGCTCAAGAGTTCAAGACCAGCCTGGGCAACACAGCAAGACCCCCATTCTCTACAGAAAATTTTTTAAAAATTAGCCAGGCATTGTGGCGCACACCAGTAGTCCCAGCTACTGGGGAGACTGAGGTGGGAAGATCACCTGATCCCAAGAAGTCAAGGCTGCAGTGAGCTACGATTGGCACCACTGCACTCCAGACTGGGTGACAGAGTGAGACCTTGTCTTTTAAAAAAAAAAAAAAAAAAAAAAAAGAACTGACATTAATAAGACAGTAAGATTGGAGCTAGGCAATAGGTATGGGGGGTAGTCATTCCTTCTTCTGTATACATTTGCACTGGTCTATAGTAAACAGTGTACACACATGTCATCAGTTGGCAAATGTGAATAATTTAAATTGTAAAAGGGACGTCCTAGACAAAAATCAAACCAAGACATGTAACTGAGGAGGCAGCGGTCTTGAACAAAGTTATCCTTATGTGACAAAACCTCTTTCGTTTTTAAGTGGAACCGTAAGTTTTCTGAGTTAATTCGTAACTGGTCACAATCCCACAGCACCCTTGTCTTCTCATGTTATTTTTTTACATTACCTGTGCTGGTTTCTCCTGAAGAAACTGAACTTCTCCATCTTGGAGAAATGTAAGGAATCGAGGGATGATATGTTCTAGGAATGTAGAATACTGAGGAGATGACGTGACATTCTAATTGTGCAAAAATAAAAGACCCCATTCAGTTATGTGTATGTATTTTCATTTCAAATTTACACATTATAATAACTGCAAAGGAATATAAAACATTTTAGCCAAAAGCAAATTTGTGCTACTTGTATTATTTAGTAATAACATAATTTTAAATTAGGATGATTGTATTTCTGAAATCCAATTCAGGAAAACTAAATGCTAACTTTTCCTATTAAAATTAGAAATACCAATCCTTTGGGAAATGCTGAACCTGGAACCTGTACTAGCTTGTCTCTGCCACGATCTAAGTATGAAACCTCTATGAAGTTATTTAGCTTCTAGGTCTCAGTTTCTTGATCTGGAAAACAAAGAGCCTGAGCAAACCAATGTATTAGTTAGATGTATATTCATTATGTGCTAATTAGATGTATACTAATTATATTATAATCTAATCTAATCCATTATTGATCCTAGTACTGATTTTAAAAGTAGAATAGGAAGGGCTGGGCACTGTAGCTCATGCCGGTAATCCCACCACTTTGGGAGGCCGAGGCAGGAGGATCCCTTGAGCCCAGAAGTTCAAGACCAGCCTGGGCAACAGAGCAAGACTCCATCTCTACAAAAAATTTTTTTTAAAAAGCTGGGCATTGTGGCACGTGCCTATGCTGTGGTCTTAGCTACTCAGAGGGCTGAAGTAAAAGGATCACTTCAGACTGGGAGTTCAAGGCAGCAGTGAGCTATGATGATGCCACTGCACACCAGCCTAGGCAACAGCATGAGATCCTGTCTCTATTTTTTTTAAAAAAAAAAAAAAAAAGGAGAATAGGAAATAAAACTACAGCATGAAGATACTAGGGCAGTTTCTGGGTCCCACTTAGGAAGTAGAAACTTTGGACAGTTACCTAAACTCTGGGGATATTATTTCCCGCCTTCCTTATAGGACTATTGTGAAGACTGCATGAGTTAATATATGCAAAGTTTATGAAGTTTCTAACACTGCCTACAGGAAATGCTCGGAAGTGTTGTGTTGTTATTTACAGAGCACTTACATGTCAAATACTGTGCTGTGTACCTTTTAGTCTTTCTCATTTAGTCTGAGATGGGTATTATCTCTAAGATAGGTATTATCTCCATTTCACAGATAAGGAAAGAGGATCTAAGAGGTTAAGTTTTGAAAATGGGCACACTAGCTGGTCTGTAGTACCAGCTACTCAGGAGGCTGAAGTGGGAGGATCACTGGAGCCCAGGAATTCGAGGCCAGCCTGGGCAATATAGCAAGACCTCATATCAAAAAAAAAAAAAAAAAAAAAGTAAAGTTTTGGAAGTGGATTCAAATCAAGTATATCTAACACCCAAATCCTTTTTCTTGTTTAATGCTTCACTTATTCATTCAACAAATATTTTCTAAACTCCTATCATGTGCTCAAAAGGGATAAAATAATGAACAGAACACATAATATTCATGCCCTCAGAGATGGGGGAGGCAGCAGCAGAAGGAAGACAGATATCAAACAAAAAGACTAAGGATACAGAACCATGAGGGGGGATATGCCAACAACTAAGGGAACATATAACTGTGAGACATCATTTACTAAATGTAACCAAGGGCGGAGGACACCTTCCTGAAGTGACATTTACACTAAAACTTGAAAGGCAAGTAGGAGCTACCCATGAAAAGGTAGAAAAGAAGATTCTAAGAAAAGCACATGCAAAGGCACAAAATCAAGAGAAAGCACGAGTGTAAAAGGCATATCAACAGAGTTCAGCATGATGGAGAAGGAAGCATAAGAGAAAGGAGTTCAACTTTTAAGTTTTTTTTGAGACGGAGTCTCACTCTGTCGCCCAGGCTGGAGTGCAATGGCGTGATCTTGGCTCACTGCAAACTCTGCCTCCAGGATCCAAGTGATTCTCCTGCCTCAGCCTCTCGAGTAGCTGGGACTACAGGCATAAGCCACCACGCCTGGCTAACTTTTTTTTTTTAAGTGGAGATAGGGTTTCACCATGTTGGTCAGGCTGGTCTTGAATTCCTGATCTCAGGTGATCCACCTGCTTTGGCCTCCCAAAGTGCTGGAATTACAGGCATGAGCCGCCACATCTGGACTGGAGTTCAACTTTTTTTTTTTTTTGAGATGGAGTCTCGCTCTGTCACCCAGGCTGGAGTGCAGTGGCGTGATCTCGGCTCACTGCAAGCTCTGCCTCCTAGGTTCACGCCATTCTCCTGCCTCAGCCTCCCAAGTAGCTGGGACTACAGGCGCCCGCCACCAGGCCCGGCTAATTTTTTGTATTTTTGGTAGAGACGGGGTTTCACCGTGTTAGCCAAGATGGTCTCGATCTCCTGACCTCGTGATCTGCTGCCTCAGCCTCCCAAAGTGTTGGGATTACAGGCGGGAGCCACCGCACCTGTCCTGGAGTTCAACTTTTACTATCAGGAGTCTGACAAGCTGGTGAGACCAGACACCTGGGCAGTTAAATATGGGGCTAAAGAGAAAGATCTGGAGTTGTCTATAACATAATGTAACTTCAGAAGAGGGGTCTATAAAGGAAGGACAGTGAAACAGTCAAAAATCAGAAAGCAGTATGGAACAAGGAAAGAAAACCATTGCAGTTTTTTTTTTTTTTTTTTTTTGAGACGGAGTTTCACTCTTGTCACCAGGCTGGAGTGCAATGGTACAATCTCGGCTCACTGCAACCTCCGCCTCCAGGTTCAAGTGATTCTCCTGCCTCAGCCTCCAGAGTAGCTGGGATTACAGAGCCCACCACCACGACCAGCTAACACACCTGAGCACCTGTCTCCTGGGCCAACTCGGTGCAGATTTCTGGGGCCTCCACTCACACAGAACACTGTATGGGAGGCGGCCCCAGGAGCTGTGCAGGAATCAAATAGCTTCTCTCCAAGCAGACAGTGCATTTGTGGGGCAGAAGAACTGTGTTTGGCACCTTTCACCCTTAAAGGTTAAGACTTTTTATGAAACACCCACAACCAAGGATTCAAGGAAAAGAGGGAGAAGATTCATGCTGCAACACTGAACTAACTGCCAGGTTATCAAGAAGTCAAACATATTTGCATGTAAGTCCATATTAACTACTGATTATACAGCTTTCAAATATCTGCATTTCAAATGTCTCTAGTAGGGCTGGGCACAGTGACTCACACCTGTAATCCTAGCACTTTATTTAGGAAGACAAGGTGGGACTATTGCTTGGGCCCAGGAGTTCAAGACCAGCTGGGGCAACATAACAAGACCATGTCTAAAAAAAAGAGAATTTCTCCAGTTAAAAAGATTCACTCAAGCTGAGCATGGTGGTGCATGCCTGTAGTCCCTGCTACTTGGGGGCCGAAGCAGGAAGATCATTTGAGCCCAGGAGTTCAATGCTGTGGTGTGCTATGATGGCGCCTGTGAATAGGTACTATACTCCATAGCAAGACGTTGTCTCTAAAAAAATTTTTTATAATTAAAAGAAGATTCATTCAACAAGCTGCCTGGTTATTCTGCAACTATCTCAACTCAGCCACCAGTTTTTTGATCCAGATAAATTGTTCATGTGATTCCTAACCTGAGGGTTTATTTTGTCTTGAAAGATGGCCCATTTAATAATGAATCTGTAAGACTCCTGAAATCACTGGGAGTTTTTAAATTTCACTCACTTCATTTAAACATTTTTCTGGGTGGTAGTAATTTAGAGAACTGCTTCTTGATGGTCATTCTAGTATTTAATTCTTTGAAGAATTCAGTCATCTGAATTTCATTTAAGGTAAATGTTGATACACAGATTGCAAAAGTCATTACTTGGAAAAGCCCTAACTATACTGCTATATACTATCTCTCTAGATATCTATATCTCTCTAGATATCCATATCTCTCTAGATATCTATATCTATCTCTATCTCTCTAGATATCTATATCTATCTAGATATCTATATCTCTCTAGATATCCATATCTCTCTAGATATCTATATCTATCTCTATCTCTCTAGATATCTATATCTATCTCTATCTATATAGATATCTATATCTATCTATATCTATCTCTATCTATATAGATATCTATATCTATGATAGATAGATATAGATATAGATATATTGTTGCCCAGGCTGGAGTGCAATGGCATGATCTCCGCTCACTGCAACCTCTATCTCCCAGGTTCAAGTGATTCTCTGCCTCAGCCTTCCCAGTAGCTGGGACTACAGGCCAGGCATGTGCCACCATGCTCGGCTAGATTTTTGTATTTGGAGTAGAGACAGAGTTTCACCATGTTGGCCAGGTTGGTCTCGAACTCCTGGCCTCAAGTGATCCACCCGCCTCGGCCTCCCAAAGTTCTGGGATTACAGGCGTCAGCCACCACACCCAGACTTGCCCCACTAACTTTTAGTTGCTGATCAATGCATCTGAGACCAAAAGCCAGGAAGGAGGTAACCTGCTAATTGCAAATACTAAAAAGGAGAATAAAGTCTCAAAACCTCAAAAGGGTCAGATATTTACAGATATTTAATCCAGATAGCCGTATGTCCACACTTGGTGCCCTGACTCACTGGCTTGTTCCTGCAGGTTCACAGACTGCCTATGATTTCAGCCTCTCCAACAAACCTGCCAAGACTATGGTTCTCTCAGATCAGTTCTTCCAATAAAATGCAGAATGCAGGGTATACTCTTCTGCCTCTCACCTCTTCATATATATATATATATATTTTAAACAGCTTGTTTTAGCAGCTTGAGCAGAAGAGAAAGCTCTTTAGCTAGATCTCTAAATATCTCAAGTTTTTTTTCTAGCTCAGCTCAAGGCAACAAGTCCTTGAAAATGTCTATTAAAAAAAAGCTAAAATACTATCCATTGCTACAGATAGTAGGGTATTTGATTCAACCCCACTAACATGTATTTAATGTTTATTAATACAAAAGACCTTACGGAAGCTAGGGAATATTTTCCCTATTGTTCTTAAGACTATTATCCTCATATTAAAAAAAAGAAATGTTGGCTGGGCACAGCGGGTTACACCTGTAATACCAGCACCTTGGGAAGCCAAAGCAGGAGGATCGCTTGAGCCCAGAGTTCAACCAGACTGGGTAACATAGCAAGACCCTGTCTCTAAAAAAAAAAAAATTAGCCAAGCATAGTGTCTTGCATCTGTAGTCCCAGCTACTCAGGAGGACCACTTGAGCCCAGGAGTTCAAGGCTGCAGTGAGCTGTGACTGCACCACTGTACAGCAAGACCCTATCTCTTAAAATTTTTTTTAATCTAATAAACAATAAAAATCGGAAACGTGATCCTTTTGTAGTTTGTAAGGGTGATGATTGGGGTTTCATGCTTATATGTGAGACATGCCTCCCTCAAACCTTGTTATGTCAGCACATTACCCATCTGATGTGAAAAAAATAAGTAACAAATGTGACTTTCTCATCTGTCTATGAGACTAACTGGTACCCAGGTAAACCAAAAAGTTGTGCAAAATACGAGATAACTTTTTTCAGGTGTTGGATTAGGGCCAGTACCGGAGCATGACTCCCAGGAGAAGGGAAATTTACATGCTTAGCCCCATGACCACCATGGCCCTCTGCCTAGGTACAATTTTCCAACTGGGGTTCAGCAAGCTGGGTCCAAGCAGGGGTCAGGGCCTGCTGAGCTGAGGAGTAAAATCCTCAGTGTTCAGGAGAGCTAAAGTGGCTGGAATCTGCAGGGCACAGCACCAGAGAAAAGCAAACCACAGAGCAAGGGAATGGGGAGTGTCTCCAGTGAGGACAGCTGAGGGCTGGACTGCACACACACAGGGTGACACTGCCTGAAGCTCACCACAATGTACCTGCTTTAAGACTGAGAGATGCGGCTGGGCATGGTGGCTCACGTTTGTAATCCTAGCACTTTGGGAGGCTGAGGTGGGTGGATCGCTTAAGGTCAGGAGTTCCTGACCAGCCTGGGCAACAAGGCGAAACCCCATCTCTACTAAAAATACAAAAATTAGTGGGGCATGGTGGTGCACACCTGTGGTCCCAGCTACTCCAGAGGCTGAGGTGGGCCCAGGAAGTTGAGACTGCAGTGAGCTGTGACCACACCACTGTACTCCAGCCTGGGTGACAGAGGGAGACCCTATCTTAAAAACAAACAAACAAAAAAAACAAAAAGATTGCAAGATGAATGAAGATACCATACATCTAGCAATGTTAGAGGATGCTGGATTTCAAGCCTAGCCAGCGTGCAAAGACCTACTTAACATCTTAATAACCTCCCAGACCTCACGCATCCAGCTAGACCATGTCCTAGAATAAGGCCTATTCTAGACCAACTGCAACAAAGCCTAAAATCAACCTCTGATGAGATCCACAGGCAGAATTTGAGGTTGAATCCCACCAAGGAAAGACCCTGGGCTATCCACAGATCCTCCCCAAAGCATAAAACCAAGCCTACGCAAATTCAGTGGCATCAGCTGGTAACTGAACTGCCTACTACGACAAAACGTCGACATTCTTCCGAGGGAGATAATAGGATCTAGAGTCCCTATGATGTCTCACAAGTAATGTCCACTGTACAGTAAAAAAATTACTAGACGGTTGGGCACAGTGGCTCACATCCATAATCCCAGCACTTTGGGAGGCCGAGGTGGGTGGATCCTTTGAGTCCAGGAGTTTGAGACCAGCCTGGGCAACATGGTGAAACTGCATCTCTACAAAATATACAAAAATTAGCCAGGCGTGGTAGTGCATGCCTGTAGTCCCAGCTACTTAACAGGCTGAGTGGGAGGCTCACCTGAGCCCAAGAGGTTGAGGATGCTGTGAGCTGAAATTGTACCACTGCACTCCAGCCTGGATGACAGTAAGACCTTGTCTCCAAATATATAAATTACTAGACAAAGAAACAGGATAACATGGCCCACAGCCAATAGAAATTGACCTTCATATATCCCAAATGTTGGCTTTAATACTAGAAGACTTTAAAGCAGCCCTCATACAGTAAATATGTTCAAAACATAAGAGAAGAATATGGTCTTAATAAACAAAGATGGGGAATCTGCAGATAAATGAAATGTATGAAGAACCAAATGGAAATTCTAGAACTGAAACCACAATAACTAAAATTTAAAAAAATACAAAAAATAAACTGAAATTCTAAGAAAAACCCAGCAAGTTGCAGATAATAAAAAAATTCTCAGAAGATCAGAAATTATCCAATCTAAAGGACAAAAAGAAAAAAGACTGAAGAAAAATGAAAAGTGTCTGAGGGACATGCAGGACAATATACAATTGTAGGATGTGAGGTCCACAATAGAGAAAGTTCTTGCTTGATCAAGGTCACAGATGTTCTAATTAGCAGAACCAGAAATGACATCCAGATCTCATTGCATAAGAATACACCATCAAATTACCTGAACATAACAAATTCACAACATAAATCTGAGTGCATCTCGGCCGGGCACAGTGGCCCATGCCTGTAATCCCAGCACTATGGGAGGCCAAGGCAGGAGGATCACCTGAAGTAAGGAGTTCAAGGCCAGCCTGGCCAACATGGTGAAACCCGGTCTCTACTAAAAATGCAAAAATCAGCCGGGTGTGGTGCACACCTGTAATCCCAACTACTTGGGAGGCTACGGCAGGAGAATCGCTTGAATCCGGGAGGTGGAGGTTGCAGTGAGCCAAGATCACGCCACTGCACTCTAGCCTGGGTGACACAGCCAGACTCTGCCTCAAAAAAGACAATAAACAGGCCAGGTGAGGTGGCTCACGCCTGTAATGCTATCACCTTGAGAGGCTGAGGCAGGTAGATCACCTGAGGTCAGGAGTTCAAGGCCAGCCTGACCAACATGGTGAAACCCCGTCTCTACTAAAAATACAAAAATTACCCAGGCATGGTAGCAGGCACCTATAGTCTCAGCTACCCTGAAGGCTGAGTCAGGAGAATTGCTTGAACCCGGAAGGCAGAGGTTACAGTGAGCCAAGATGACGCCACTGCACCCCAGCCTGGGCGACAAGAGCGAAACTCCATCTCAAAAAAAAAAAAAAAAGAAAGAAAAGAAAGAAAGAAAAGTACAAGAATAAATCTGAGTGCATCCCAACAGGCATGGTAGCCTAAAAGAGCTACCATATTTTAAAATGAAAAAATGTTTTTAAACCAACCAAAACAAAACTGACAATCCTCAACATGGTATGGGGTTCGCTATCACCAGCGTGAAGATGGAAAACGCTGTGTACAAAGTTTCAGATTTCAGTTTCGAAATATACTAAATTACTTGAACAAAGACAATGATCTTTGAGTTGCTAGTAAAAAGACTGACAAAGCAGGACAGGAAAGTGAATAAGAATATTTACCTCAAAATGAAAAATAGAAAATATAATGCTCATACCTCAAAATTTTCACTAACTTCTTGCATCATTTTCAACTTTGTTTCATCAGCTGTGAACGGCAAAACAAGCATCAGGTAATTGAAATTATGTTAAGGAAATTATGTTAATGCAAAACTTGGATTTAGTAATTTAAGAGAAGCAATCAGATCTTATCAGTTTGACTGTCATGGCCTAATAGAAGGCACATAGCTAGTTCCCTACAACCAGTCGCACCCATTTGTACTCCCAGACATACACGTGCATGCACTGACAAGCATATACACACACACACAAACACACACACGTGCCTCTTTGGGGCTCCAGCCAGTATTACTCATCACTTTGCTTCTCTACAAGGTAGAGAAAAGGAAAATGAGAATAAAAGTTACTGTTACGATTAATCTCAAAGTACACAACATCTGAGCTGAGATAAATGTGTCATATTTATGCATTTCTCTTTTTTTTTTTTTTTTGAGAGGGAGTCTCGCTCTGTCACCCAGGCTGGAGTGCAGTGGTGCGATCTCAGCTCACTGCAACCTCTGCCTCCTGGGTTCAAGCGATCCTCCTGCCTCAGCCTCCCAAGTAGCTGGGACTACAGGCGTGAGCCACCACACCTGGCTAATTTTTGTATTTTAGTAGAGACGTGGTTTCACCATGTTGGCCAGGCTAGTCCCAAACTCCTGACATCAGGTGATCCACCCGCCTCGGCCTCCCAAAGTGCTGGGATTACAGACGTGAGCCACCGCATCCGGCCTTATTTATGCATTTCTTAATGATAAAAAGGATCAACTCACGTGTATTCACATCTGTGAGAGCTGCCACAAACTGAAGGTACTTTTTCATCAAAGTGGTCTGGTCAACCACCGTGGCCCCCTGTGTTGCAACAAACGCCATTTTTCTTTTGGGCTGGTTTGCTTCTCAAGAGAAAAGTATCAGGTCCATGAGTTCAACCAGCCTATGAAAAGAAGCATAGAGTTAGTCAATTTATGGAGGGCACAGGATCACAATCTCTGTGAAAATCTTACCTAAAGGCCTACATAATCGATACGCTTTCATCTTAATCCAGAATCTAACACTATTCCTTCTGGTTTTTTTAATATGAAGTTTACCCAACTCCAATTTTGTCTATTAATTTTGAAACATGATTTTTGTATGCAGATACTGTTCCTTCCTACGGTATTTTCTCTTTCTCTGAGTCAGGGGTTGGCAAACATTTTCTGTAAAGAGCCACATAGTAGATATTTTAATCTTTGTGGCCACGCAGTCTGTCACAACTACTCAGCGCTGCTATAACCAGAAAGCAGTCACAGACAGACAACATGTAAATAAATGAGGCTGTGTTCCAATAAAACTTTATTTATGGACACTGAAATCTGAATTTCATATAACTCTCATTTACCATGAAATATCCTTCCTCTTTTCCCCAGCCATTTAAAAATATAAAACCATTCTTAGCTCATGGGCGGTATAAAATCATGCAGCAGGCCAGGCGCAGTGGCTCACGCCTGGAATCCCAGCACTTTGGAAGGCGAAGGCAGGGAGATCACGAGGTCAGGAGTTCCAGACCAGCGTAGCCAACATGATGAAACCCCATCTCTACTAAAAATACAAAAATTAGCCAGGCGTGGTAGTGGGCACCTGTAATCCCAGCTACTCAGGAGGCTGAAGCAGGAGAATCACTTGAACCCAGGAGGTGGAGATTGCAGTGAGCCAAGATTGTGCCACTGCACTCCATCCTGGGCAATAGAGCAAGGTTCAGTCTCGGAAAAAAAAAAAAAAAAACAACAACAACAACAAAACGCAGGCAGCAGGCTGGATTGGGGCAACCTTGGTCGTACGTGTGACTGGTTTCCAAACTTCAGCGGACATCAAAATCCCCAAGTGCCAAAGGTGGGCTCCCAAGCAGCACCCCTCCAGACTGTGGTTACGTGACGGGCACGGGAAACTATAAATTCTGTTTGTAGCTGCCAGGCAGCAGGCACTCAGTGGCTGCTCCCAGCTGACACACAGATGGAGACTTGGTTTCTATTTTAACAGGTGTCACAAAGTATCCCGAGAAGCTGGTGAAATAAGTTGCTTTCACCCCTCCTCCTTGCATAATCCTGCTCTGCACTAACAGGTGGTTTCATGGCTTCGTTTTCTTTCAACAGACACACCAGGACCTCCTTTGCAGGCCTACCGGATACACTGCTTTGCAGCTGACACAGGTGACACTAGAGAGCTCCTTCCGGCCACTCTCTCCTAGACACCAAAAACCCTTCTTCCATGCAGAGAGCATGCCCACAGGTGTCCCACAACAAGCCCACCAGAAGCCCCAGCCCTCTGGCTCCGGGTAGGAAAAGCCAAGAAGGAAACCAAGGCGGGGGAGTTTGTCAAGCCCTGCTAGGGGACCTGGCAACTGCCTGTTTCAGGTGACACCCCCTTCCCCATCTCCATCGGCCCAAGGCATGGGGGTCACGGACTCTCCCTGCCCATCCCCATCCGAGGGGACCCAGGACTCGGGATCACGGTCTCTCCCTATCCATCCCCATCCGAGGGGACCCAAGACTCGGGGTTACGGTCTCTCCTTGCCCATCCCCATCCCAGGGTACCCAAGACTCGGAAGTCACGGCCTCTCCCTGCCCATCCCCATCCCAGGGGACCCAAGACTCGGGGTCACGGCCTCTCCCTGCCTAAGAACCTCCCTAGTCCTGTCCAAACTTCCCCCTTCCCACGGAAGTCGTCAACTCTTCCATTTCCCGGGGTCCCGCGGAGCCTGGGGGGCCCTGGCCGGGGGGAAACGCCCCCATTCTGCGTGTCTGAGGAAAAGCAACTTCACCACCCCGGACGCCGAAGGCCCAGGCCGGGCTGGCGCCGGGCCTGCTCCTACTCCTGGGGACAAACTGCCCCGCCGCCCCCAGACCCCGCCAAGCCCGGCCTGAGGCGGCGCCGCCGGGCCAGAGGGGGCGCTGTGGTCGCCGCTACCTTCGCTCCCCGCGCCGGGCCTAACGAGTCCAGTGCCGGCGTAGAGGCCCGGAGGTGCCAGGTTGGCCGGGGGGCGCCTCCGGAGGGACAGGCCCCCAACGTCCCACCCGACCTCTCAGCTCACAAACGGCCCTCCGGTTCCCTCCTTTGGTCGCCGTCCCGGGCGCTCCGTGACCGCGTCCCAGGCCGAGCTACGGCGAGCGCCGAGCGCCAATTCCCGCGCCCGCGAGCGCTGCGCCTCCCACAGCTTCCTCTCAGCTCGGCCGCAAACGCCATCGGCCCCGCAGCCCCAGGTGGGCTCTGGCTGGGGCCTAGGGGATCCCGGGGCGCTCGGAGCCCCCAGCTCCATCCCTCCGCGGAGCCGCCGCGCCGCAGAGGCCTCCCCGCGCCTGAGGGCCGCGCGCACCTCCCGGGGCCGTTCGGACGCCCGCCCGCCAACTTACCCCGACCTCGGCGGCCCGGCTCCTGCAGGCCCGGCCCGCGACCCCGGCGACCCCCAGCCGAGCCCTCGTCGCAACCGCTCGGCCGCGCGCAGTCCCGCCCCCGCTTAAAGCGGCAGCACCCGCCGACCGAGCACCAGGCCCCGGCGCGCCGCCCCCAAGTGGGTGCGGCCTGCGCGGGCACGGGGAGGGGCGTCCGCCGTCCGGGTGGGTCCCGGCCCTTTAAATCCCCGACAGCCTTGACGGGGCCGGGCCGGCGCCCAGGTTCTAGGAGCTCCTTTTTCCCTGAGTCTCCTCCCAGGAGCCAGGCCTCGGGGAATGCCCGGGTACCCTGGGGGCGGTGGGCACCTGGGGGGGGGCGCGGCTTCCCGAGTTGGCAGCTATGGGGTCCAGGTATTGTCCACCACTGGACTGAAGGTGGCAGGCAGGGTAGGGTTTGCCACCCCCACTCCTCGCTCCCGGTCCCCGCTGCTCTCCTGGGGTTCTTCTCGGCCCGCAGAATGGAGAGGAGGCCAGGAGGGTCTTTGGGAAGGTGACGGCTGGAGATGGACCGAGACCCTGTTAGTAAAAGAAAGTCCGGGTGGGCTTTCTGGAAGTGGCCGCCCAGGTGCAGAAAGGCCCCATTGATTCTGCAGCTGCTTTACCTCCGAGGCTGGATCCACATGGCAGGCAGAGCTACCTCCATCAAAACTGGATGGAGAGAGGCCTCAGGCCAGGCCAGAGCAATGAAGGGATAGAGTGGGATGGAGCCAGGGGAGGTGGCATGGGCCGGACCAAAAGGTGTCTCCAAGGGAAAGGTACAGTCAGGCGCCATGGTTACCATGTTACAGGGACAGAGTGTGGAAGCATGACATGAACTTGGCCACCTCCAGGCCCTGGTTCCACCTCCTACACCTTCCTTCACCTACCCCCCACCCTCACCCCATTTATCACTAACCCACCAAGATCATTATGTTCCCTTCCTAGACACATTTCACACCCTGCAATAAATAAATGTTTCAGTGCCCGTGGATACCCTGGAGGGGAGGTGCTCTTTTCTGAAACAAGCTCCTTGCTCGTTTAATGTTGCCACTCGAGAACAAGGCCACAGCTGAAATGCTGGGATTGTGAATGGATGTTTTTAGTACCAGTTAATTCTGCCCCAGGAGAAACAAAATGGCTCAGAATAGCCCTTCCATCACGGAAGAGGTTGCCTGTTTGCAAGCAAAATCTGCTATTGTCTTACCTCCACTGCCCCCAAAAAAGTGGGAGGTCCAAGCCGGCTGTGGTGGCTCATGCCTGTAATCCCAGCATTTCAGGAGGCCAAGGTGGGAGGACTGTTTGAGTTCAGGAGTTCATGACCAGCCTGGGCAACATAGCGAGACCTCGTCTTAGCAAAAAATACAAAAATTAGTCGGGCTTAGTGGCAGGCATCTGTGGTCCCAGCTACTGGGGAGGCTGAGGTGGGAGCGAGACTTTGTCACAGAAGATAAAAAAAAATAAGAGGTCCAAAGTTGAAGACTGAAATATTTGAGGGCTGAAATTAGTGTGCTAAACGATTGTTTAATATTGTTTTTTGAGGGGAGTTAGGAAAACAGCTGTAGACGCTTTTTTAAAATAAGTTTTGGCTCAATTGCATATGATAAAGACCTACAGTCAAGCCTGGCCCTAACATTGGCAAAATCCCTGCACTTTCAGGTGGCCTAAGCGTCTTATCAAATTAGTCATCACACTTTCATGATTTTTGCCTGTTTTCTCATCTGTCTCCTGAATTAGAGGTGAGGGACAGTGTCAACTTCATCCTGATCAGGTAAATTAGATCACATTCACTCCTCTGCTTAAAATCCTTCAGGATTTTTGGAGATTTTTTCGGAATCCCAGCTATTCAGGAGGCTGAGGTGGGAGGATTGCTTCAGGCCAGGAATTCGAGACCAGCTTGGGCAACACAGCGAGACCCTCATCTCTAAAAAATATTTAAAAAATTAGCAGGGCATGGTGGCATGCACCTGAAGTCCCAGCTACTCGGGAGGCTAAGGCAGGAGGATCGCTTAAGCCCAGGAGTTCTACTCTGCAGTGAGCTATGATCATGCCACTGCACTCCAGCCTAGGCGACAGGGAGAGGCCCTATCTCTAAAAAACAAAGGAATAGGCCGGGCGCGGTGGCTCACACCTGTAATCCCAACACTTTGGGAGGCTGAGGCGGGCAGATCACTTGAGGCCAGGAGTTTGAGACCAGCCTAGCCAACATGGTGAAACCCTATCTCTACTAAAAATACAAAAATTAGCCAGGCGTGGTGGTAGGTACCTGTAATCCCAGCTATTTGGGAGGCTGAGGCAGGAGAATCGCTTGAACCCAGGAGGTGGAGGTTGCAGTGAGCCAAGATGGCACCACTGCACTCCAGCCTGGACGACAGAGCAAGACTCTATCTCAAAAAAAAAAAAAAAAAAAGGATATCCCCGAACTCATTTTGCTCCCTCCAAGCTACTCCAGGATTTAGCCCCAAATGCTTCTCCCAGGAGCTGATTCTGAGTCATTGTTACCTGCCCAGCGGCCCCCCACCTCCCATAGTTAATTTCCAATGCAGGACAACGAGGATGTGTGGTAGGGATACGGACCCTAGGGCTGCTGCCCTCGAATGACCAAAGATTTGATTATACCACCTTGCTAGGGCCAACAGACCAACTAACACTAACTTGCTTTAGAAAGAGTTTCATCAACAAGAATTGACACCAAAGAAGTGTGAACTTTTCATTACCCAGAAAAATTTAATTAACCAAAACAGGCCACCGTCCCTCCCCCACCGCCCCCCCAGAGCCAGGCGAATGAGGTCTGACTGTTCACAACATCTGATCTGTCCCCAGGTCCCAGACCCTTACCTGTGGCTACTGTTCTGGACGTTTGGCCCCAGGCATTGCCTGTTAAGGCTGCCCTCAGTGTCTGTTCTGACCGATGCTCACCTCGCCAGGGGAGAGAATGTCCCCTCTGTGCTGCCTTGTGATCATATGAGATGGTGTCTGTGAAAGCAGTCCAAGGTCAGTCCAGAGAAGGCACCGACAAATGGTTTCCAACACCGAGTCATGTTCAAGGCTTTGGGGGCGTTATCAAGGGGAGGCCTCATCTTATTCTTTCAGCCATTCCACAAGCATCTACTTTGCACCAAACTACATGCTAAGTACCAGACACGCAGACACATGGCATAGGCGAGGATGCTGGGAGGAGGGTCAAAGTCACCCCGGTAAGAGGTATTTGTGGCCCCTATAGGCTAGACTGGGAGAATTTGTGGGAAAAAAAAAATGACTCTTGAGGCCGAACACAGTGGCTTATGCCTGTAATCCCAGTACTTTGGGAGGCTGAGGCAGGAGGATCACTTGAGACTAGGAGCTCAAGACCAGCCTGGGCAACATAGTGAGACCCCCATCTCTACCAAAAATCTAAAAAATTAGCTGAGCTACTTGGGAGGCTGAGGTGGGAGGATCATTTGACCCTAAGAGTTAGAGGGTGCAGTGACCTGTGAGTCACAATTGTGTCACTGCACTTCACACTGGGCAACAGGGGGAGAACCTGTCTCAAAAAAAAAAAAAAAAAAAAAAAGGAGGATGACCAGGAAGACTCTTGGGATGGTCAGACGCATTTGTACCCAGGCAACTTAGTGCTGTGCTTTCCACTTCAGTAGCCACTAGCCCCATGTGCAGTGTGGCCCATCTGAATGGAGATGAAATCTCAGCGTAAAATGCACACGAGATGGTGAACCCTTACAACAACAACAACAACAACAACAAAAAGGCTAGAGTGCAGTGGCACGATCTTGGCTCACTGCAACCTATGCCCCTCAGGTTGAAGAGATTCCTGTACCTCAGCCTCCAGAGTAGCTGGGATTACAGCACCTGCCACTGGGGTTCCCCGTGTTGGCCAGGCTGGTCTCAAACTCTTGGCCTCCTCTGCCTCGGCCTCCCACAGTGTTGAGATTATAGGCGTGAGCCACTGCTCCCGGGTTATTGATCATTTTTACGTTGATTATGTGTTGAGATGATATTTTGAATATGTTGAGTTTTGTAACAGCATTAAAATTGATTTCACTTATTTCTTTTTCTTTTTTGAATTGTGGCTACTTGAAAATTTAAAATTACATACATGGCTCCAATTCTGTTTCTAGCCAAGAACATTAATTTAGGAAAGCCAAGCTGCACTTGGTGGTGCACACCTGTAATCCTTGCTACTCTGGAGGCCGAGGTGGGAGGATTGCTTGTGGTCAGGAGTCTGAGACTAACCTGGGCAACATATAAAGAGACCCCTCTCTGAAAGAAAAGAAAAGAAAAAATAAAAGAAAAGCTAGCTCTATGGACTGGGCACAGTGGCTCACGCCTGTAATCCTAGCACTTTGGGAGGCAGAGGCGGCAGATCACTTGAGGCCAGGAGTTCGAGGCCAGCCTGGCCAACATGGTGAAACCCCATCTCTACTAAGAAATACCAAAATTAGCTGGGCATGGTGGTGCATGCCTGTAATCCCAGCTACTCAGGAGGCTGAGGCAGGAGAGTCGCTTGAATCCAGGAGGCAGAGGTTGCAGTGAGCCAAGATCGTGCCACTGCACTCCAGCCTAGGCAACATTTTTGAGACTCCATCTCAAAAAATAAAAGGAAAAGAAAAAAATGAAAAGGAAACCTAGCCTTCTGAGAGGATTTCCTGCCCCTCCCTTATCAGATACTCCCTGGAAGAGTGAAGCTTCCCAGTCTGCTATGGGATGGAGCAGAGATGGGTACTGTGAGGGTGGTGGTGGTGGTGATGGGATAAGAGTAACGCCTATGGAAAATCCTGGCCGGGCGCGGTGGCTTATGCCTGTAATCCCAGCACTTTGAGAGGCCAAAGCGGGTGGGTCACCTGAGGTCTAGCGTTCGAGACCAGCTTGGCCAACGTGGCGAAACCCCATCTCTACTAAAAAAAAAAAAAAAAAAAAAAAAAAAAATACAAAAAATTAGCCAGGCGTGGTGGCGGGTGTGTGTAATCCCAGCTGCTTGGGAGTCTGAGGCAGAAGAATTGCTTGAACCTGGGAGCCAGAGGTTGCAGTGAGCCGAGATCACACCACTGCGCTGTAGCCTGGGTGACAGAGCAAGACTCCGTCAAAAAAAAAAAAAAAAAGGAAAGAAAATCCTGGGTGGCAAACAGGAATTAGCCAAAGGGCTGGCCGGGTGCGGTGGCTCACGCCTGTAATCCCAGCACTTTGGGAGGCAGAGGCGGGCGGATCACGAGGTCAGCGGATCGAGACCATCCTGGCTAACACGGTGAAACCCCGTTTCTACTAAAAATACAAAAAAATTAGCCAGGCGTGGTGGCAGGCGCCTGTAGTCCCAGCTACTTGGGAGGCTGAGGCAGGAGAATGTCGTGAACCCAGGAGGCGGAGCTTGCAGTGAGCCGAGATCGCACCACTGCACTCCAGCCTGGGTGACAGAGAGAGACTCCATCTCAAAAAAAAAAAAAAAGGAATTAGCCAAAGGGTGGCATCAGCATCAATTTCAGGGTGGCCTTGAAGGTGGCTTCTGTAACACTGTGGCTACTGTAAAATTATTACTCAGTGAAATAAAGTTACACATTTTAGAAACAATACATCTTATGCTATTTGATACATTTTTAAAAAGCAGGAACGACCTGGCCTTCCAATTATGTTAAACCGTCTTAAAGATTTGCAACTCTGCAAGCTTGACTGTTTTCTTCTCAAGTGCTTCAAAGTCCTGCTGAACAAGCCAATTCCTCCCAAGTCCTTCAGCAATTCCCATTTGACACCCAACACTGATTGAACCCTTTACTATGTCCTAAGCTGTGTTCTACGTGTTAATTCCTTTTATCCTTATAATAGTCTCATGGTGTTGGGACTATTATTATGCCCATTTTAAAGAAAAAGGGGGACTGACATGGTGGCTCATGCCTGTAGTCCCAGCTACTCTGGAGGCTGAAGCAGGAGGATCGCTTGAGCTCAGGAGTTTGAGACCAGTCTGAGCAACCTAGCAAGATCCCATCTCTGTAAAAAATAATTTTTAAAACATTAGCAGGGAGGAAAGTGACTTCTCCAAGGTCCTGTAACTCTCAGGGAGAACCCAAAGTCCCCTTGTTCCTAGGCCTGGTATTTATCACCACCGTGACAGTTGATGCCACTAGGGGGTGACATCCGTCTAGCACTTTTTTTTTTTTTTTTTTGAGATGGAGTCTCATTCTGTTTCCCAGGCTGGAGTGCAGTGGTGCAATCTCAGCTCACTCAAGCTCTGCCTCCTGGGTTCACACCATACTCCTGCCTCAGCCTCCCGAGTAGCTGGGACTACACGCCCGGCTAATTTTTTGTATTTTTTTTAAGTAGAGACGGGGTTTCACTGTGTTAGCCAGGATGGTCTCGATCTCCTGACCTCATGATCTGCCCGCTTTGGCCTCCCAAAGTGCTGGGATTACAGGCGTGAGCCACCGCAACCGACCCCCCCAACTTTTTTTTTTTTTTGAGACGGAGTCTTGCTCTGTTGCCCAGGCTGGAGTACAGTGGTGCAATCTTGGCTCACTGCAAACTCCGCCTCCAGGTTCAAGCAATTCTCCTTCCTCAGGCTCCCAAGTAGCTGGGATTACAGGCGCCTGCCACCGAGTCTGGCTAATTTGTGTATTTTTAGTAGAGACGGGGTTTCACCATCTTGGTTAGGCTGGTCTCGAACTCCTGACCTCGTGATCCACCCGCCTCGGCCTCCCAAAGCGCTGGGATTACAGGTGTGAGTCACCATGCCCTGCCCTGTCTAGCCCTTTTAACTTTTCATAGGGGCTCACTCAAATCTATTCTCCCTCCATTCCCTGAACATAGCAGTGGGGCCAGTGGGGCCCATTCTTAGGGAAGCTCACAGCTGTCCCAGAGCCAGGGGCCCTTTAGACCAGTAGTCCCCAACCTTTTTGGCACCAAAGACAATGTTTCCACGAATGAGGGGTTGGAGGGATGGTTTCGGGATGATTCAAGCGCATTACTTTTATTGTATACTTTATTTCTATTATGATTACATACTCACCATCATGTAGAATCAGTGGGAGCCCTGAGCTTGCTTTCTTGCAACTAGATGGTCCCATCTGGGGATGATGGGAAACAGTGACAGAACATCAGGCATTAGATTCTCATAAGGAGCACGCAACCTTGATCCCTCACGTGAGCAGTTCACAGTAGGGTTTGCGCTCCTATGAGAATCTAATGCCCTGCTGATCTGCCAGGAGGTGGAGCTCAGCGTGGCTCACAGGCCCTGCTCACCTCCTGCTGTGCAGCCAGTTCCTAACAGGCTATGGACTGGTACTGGCGGCCAGGGGCTTGGAGACCCCTGCTTTAGACGCCTTGATGTCAATGCACTGGGTGGTGCAGTGATGGTCCATCCGTGCTCCACGGGCCAGAGAGGAGGTCAAAGGCCCTCACTGTGTGGGAGGATCCCTCGCCCAGGTAGCCGTAGCAAAGCGGAAGCATAGCTGGGACCAGAACCCACCGGGCTTCCAGCGTTTAAGGCCAGCCAGGCCCCTCCAGCTTCTAGGAGAGCCCAGCCCTGCTCCTCTAAGGCAAATGGCAGTAACTGTGTAGGCTGGTCACCCCTCACCGCAGTAGCCTGACTCCCACAAGGCCCTCAGTGACAAAGAAGTTGCCCTGGGCCCAGATACGAGCAGGAGCCCCATCTTAACAGCAGCTGTGAGAGGGTAAACCGGGGGATGACATCAAGCCCACGGCAGGGGCCGGGTGCTCAGGCCCCTCTATCAAGAAGGGGCAAGAGGCTGGGCACAGTGGCTTACACCTGTAATCCCAACATTTTGGGAGGCTGAGGCGAGAGGATCACTTGAGGCCAGGAGTTTGAGACCAACCTGGCCAACATGGTGAAACCCCGTCTCTACTAAAAATACAAAAATTAGCCAGGCCTGGTGGCGGGCACCTGTAATCCCATCTTACTAGGGAGGCTGAGGCAGGAGAATCGCTTGAACCCGGGAGGCGGAGGTTGCAGTGAGCCGAGATCGCGCCATTCTGGGACAGAGCGAGACTCTGTCTCAAGATTAAAAAAAAAAAAAAAAGAAAAGAGGAAGCAGCAGCAGCAGCAGCAGCAAGAGGAATTTCGAGGCCTTTCGCCCAACGCCTGGCGCACCTTAAGCTCTCAACAGTTCTTGAATGAGGAGTAGCATCTCGGAGCCACGAGCGTGCAGAGAGAAGGCACCTGGAGGAGAGCCCCAAGGGACCTGCAGGCGGCTTGCAGCGCA
This sequence comes from Homo sapiens, assembly GCF_000001405.40. Classification (NCBI taxonomy): domain Eukaryota; kingdom Metazoa; phylum Chordata; class Mammalia; order Primates; family Hominidae; genus Homo; species Homo sapiens. The sequence continues at coordinate 98,870,421 of NC_000007.14, read as the reverse complement.
GCGCAC